>NC_000023.11:55078964-55395019 GCF_000001405.40 Homo sapiens | reverse complement strand
AGACATCTGAGCATATGCATACACAAGCACAAAAAAGATTTAACGAAGAGCCAAATGGAAATTTTAGGAGTTAAAAAAGGTAATATTAATCTGCTTCACTATAGTAACCATTTTCCTATTGTGAAAGGAAAATAAATCCGGGAACACCAAACTCACTAAGCCAAAGGGAAAAGTCAAGCTGGGACCTAGGTCACACAAGGCTACCTCACATTTTATTCCAAATAAGATAGCTACAAACATAAGCAAAATAAAAGCTGCATACTTCCCTCATAATTTGCCCACAATGGGCCCCAAGCTCTTTACCCTAAAATAGTTCTGTTAAATTTCACCCTGACAATGTAAATTAATAACTTACCTTCACAGGTACCAGACAAAGGACGAACTAAAAAGTCATCCCTCTGCTTACCTGAGAAAAATGCATATCTGATTGTTTCCTCTGCCCTATGTTTATTTTATCCTATATAAAAATGAAGATTCACTGAATGTGGAAGTGGTGATTCCTCTACCCCACCTTCCACATGTAAAATGTGTAGTCAGTGAAGCAAATCAAAGACTAACTTAATGTGTATACATCAGTGTCAGGTGTTCCCAAGACTACCACAAGTTTGATGAGTTCCTAGGAAAACTCACAGGACTCAGCTGATAGTCAAATTCACAGCTCAGATTTACTACAACAAAAGGGGATCTATTGTTGAATGGGTATAGTTTTAGTTTTTCAAGATGAAAATGTTCTGGAGATTAGTTGCACATTAATGAAAATATTCTTAACACTACTGAACTCAGAAATTGTTGAGACGATAAATTTGTTTTATGTGATTTTACCATAATCAAAAGGAAAAAATACGTTTACTACAGTAAAAGGACATAAAACAAAAATGGCAAAAGGAAAAGATGCGTGGAGTGAAGACTGAAAGATATCTGTACAAGTTTTCAAAAGTCCTCTCCTTGTGGAATCACACATTTTGTTCCTCCAGCAATGATTTGTAACAATTTGTGTGAAATGTTGTCTACCAGGGAAGCTCATTGGAGACTCAGCATGTGAAGTTTTTATTGAGAGCTGGTCACTTAGGCACTCTCTGCCTAGCACATACCAATATTCTAGACTCCCACAAACAAAAGCACTCAGTTTGAAATACTGTCTTCCCTCAGTATCCATGCAACAAAGGAAAGAGGAACGTGTGTGGAAACCAAAACCCACAGATGCTCAAGACCCTTATGTAAAATGGTGTAGTATTTGCATAGACCTATGTACATCCTGCTGTATACATCTTTCTTATTGTCTGTCATTGTTTAGTGGATTTCTGTAGTGGTATCATTTGAGTCCTTTCTCTGAGTCCATTGTGTAATTGCCTTATCAGTGAGTTGTACTTTCATGTGATTTCATGATAGTATTAATAAATGTTATCCTTTCACTTCCATGTTTAGGACTCCCTTGAGCATTTCTTGTAGAGCTGTTCTATTGGTAGCACATTTTCCTAAGCATTTGCTTGTCTGGGAAAGACTGTATTCCTACATTTTTGCTGGATATAATATTCTGACTAGCAGTTTTTTCTTTCAGCATTTTGAATATATCATCCCATTCTCTCTCACTCTCTCTCTCTCTTCTCTTTTTTTTTTTTTTAGTAGAGACGAGGTTTCGCTATGTTGGCCCATCTGGTCTCAAACTCCTGACCTCAAGTGATCTGCCCACCTAGGCCTCCCAAAGTACTGGGATTACAGGCGTGAGCCACCATACTCAGTCTATCATCCCATTCTCTTTTAGCCTGTAAGGTTTGTGCAGAGAAGTCTGCTGTTATTCTGAAGGGGTTTCCTTTATAGGTGGCTAGTTGCTTTTCTCTTGCTGTTTTTAGGATTTTGCTTTTTTTCCTAAATAGTCCGACTACAATGTGTCATGTAAAAGACATTTTTGTATTCTATCTGCTTAGGGATCATACAGTCTCCTGTATCTGGATGTCTAAATCTTTTGCTAGACTTGGGATGTTTTTATCTATCATTTTGTTAAATAGATTTTCTAATACTTTTGTTCTCTCTTTGCCCTGGGGGATACCAATTATTCTACTATTCAGTCACTTTATGTTATTTCAATTTTTTTGTTAATTTGCTTAATTTAATCATTCTATAATATATACATATATCAAAATACCACATTGTACCACACAAATATATATAATTATTTATCAGTTAAAACACACAAAAGAAAAATGATAATACAATTAAAACATAGCAAAATATAGAATTTCAGACAAAACAAGAAGTGACAGACATTGTCAATATTAAATATATTAGAAAAGAAGGAATTTCAATATAGATGCCACAGGCTTTACAAAATTCCCTTAGGTATGCTTCCCTAAATAAGAGCTTTATGTAACAAAAGAACCATGCACACATACTTTGTATAATCTTCTTTCATTTACTCAACATCATGATTGGAAATTGAACTACATTGCTGCTTGTAGTTTTCATGTATGCATTTTCACTACCTTATAATATTCCACAGAGTGTACATACCCTCCTTTGGGTAGATGGATTTTTGTATAAGTTTTAGCTAATAAGGACAACATTCTTATCAACGTTCTTGTGAATATTTTATGGTGCATATGTACACATTTTTCTCTGGGGTATGTACTTAAAAGTCATAGCTGTGTGCCTCTTCCTTTTAGCTAGATAATTCCAGTCTACTCCCATAATTGATTAAAACAACTTGTACTCCTATCAGTGATGTACTGAAATTTTGCAGGATCAATATTTTTGCCAAACATGGATGTTGCTATTTTTTTTGCATCCATTGTGCTATGATATTTTTTTTAATTTTTATTTCCATAGTTTTTGGAGAACAGGTGGTTTTTGGTTACATGGAGAAGTTCTTTAGTGGTGATTTCTGAGATTTTGGTGCACCCTTCACCAGAGCAGTGTACACTGTGCCCAATGTGTACTCTCTTATCCTTCATCCCCCTCTCACTCTTTCCCTTGATTCCCCGAAGTTCATTATGTCATTCACATGCATTTGCATCCTCATAGTTTAACTCCAACTTATAAATGAGAACATATGATATTTGGTTTTCCATTCCCGAGTTGCTTCACTTAGGATGATGATCTCCAACTCCATCCAAGTTGCTGCAAATGGCATTATTTCATTTCTTTTTAGGGCTGAGTAGTATTCCATGGTGTATATATACCACATTTTTTTATACACTCATTGATTAATGGGCATTTAGGTTTCTTCCATATTTTTGCAATTGCAAATTGTGCTGCTATAAACATGCATATGCAAATGTCTTTTTCATATAACGACTTCTTTTCCTTTGGGTAGATACACAGTAGTGGGATTGCTGGATCAAATGGTAGTTCTACTTTTAGTTCTTTAAGGAATCACCACACTGTTTTCTATAGTGTACTGGTTTATGTTCCCATCAGCAGTGTAAAAGTGATCCCTTTTCACCACATCCACACCAACACCTATTATTTTTTATTTTTAAATTATGGCCATTTTTGCAGGAGTAGGGTGGTATCTCATTGTGTTTTTAATTTGCATTTCCCTGATAGTCATGTTGAGCATTTTTTCATGTTTGTTGGCCATTTATATATCTTCTTTTGAGAATTGTCTATTCATGACTTTGGCCTTCTTTTTGATGGGTTTATTTGTGGGAGTTTTGCTGATTTGTTGGTGTTCTTTGTAGATTCTGGATGTTAGTCGTTTGTCACATGCGTTGGTTGCAAATATTTTCTCCCACTCTGTGTGTTGTCTATTTACTCTGCTGATTATTTCTTTTGTAGTGTAGAAGGTTTTTAGTTTAATTGGGTCCCATTTTTTTATTTTTGTCTTTGTTGCATTTGCTTTTGGGTGCTTGGTCATGAAATTTTGCCCAAGCCAATATCTAGAAGAATTTTTCCAATGTTATGTTCTAGAGTTTTTATGGTTTCAGGTCTTTGATTTCGGTCTTTGATCCATCCTGAGTTGATTTTTGTATAAGGTGAGAGATGAGGATCCAGTTTCATTCTTCTACATGTGGCTTGCCTGTTATCCCAGGACCATTTGTTGAAGAGGGTGTCCTTTCCCCACTTTATGTTTTTGTATGCTTTGTCAAAGATCAGTTGGCTATAAGTATTTATGTTATGTTATTTCAAATGTCATGAAGGCTTTGCTATTTTTTTAATTCTTTTTTTCTTTAGTTTTTTTTCTGACTGGATTATTTTTAAATACCTGTCTTCAAGTTCTGAGATTATCTCTTCTGTTTGATCTAACATATTGTTGAAGCTTTCAAATGTTTTGTACTTTCTTCAATAAATTCTTCTGTACCAGGATTTCTATTTTGTTTTTTTAAAAAATAGCTATCATTTTGGTAAATTTGTCATTCATATCTTGAATTGTTTTTCTGATTCTTTGTATTGTTTTTCAGAATTCTCTTGTATTTCACTGAGCCTCTTTAAAATCAATATTTTGAATTCTTCCTCTGGGATTTTGAGATTTTCTTTTTGATTAAGGTCTATTGCTGGAGAATTATTGTGTTCCTTTGGAAGTAACATATTTCTTTGGCCTTTCATGTTTCTTGTGTCTTTATATTGATATCTGAGCATCTAGTGTAACAGTTGCTTCTTCCTATTTTTGAATTTACTTTTGAAGGGGAGGAGGTTTTCCTGACTATGTATTTATGGTGTTGATTGAGTAGGGCATTTTGACTTTGATTCTGGGTGTATACAGTAGTGTAGTCTCTGTATGATTTCTTTGGCTGTAAACAGCATTAGTAGTATCTATGATTTACTTGGTGGGTTAGGTGTAGTTATTAGTACAGGCAGGAATGAAGTTGTGCTTGGGACTCGGACACTGGGTGAGTAAGTCCTCAGGCCCCAGTAGTGGCAGCAGTGGGCTGAATGTGCCTATCTTTGTGCCCCAGGGCAGTGTACACTGGCATGTGTTGGTGGTTACCAGCAGGCCAATTTTTGGGCGTCCAGGTGGCTTGTTTACATACCAGTAGTAGCAATGGTGAACCAGGTGGTTGGGTGCATTCTTGAGCCCCTAGGCAACTGGAGTGACATGGGCAATGGTACTAGCAATGGTGGGATAATTTTCTGGGTCCGGAGCAGTATGCATTGATGTTGGCAGCGGCTGCAATGGCTTGGATGGGTCAGTCTCCAGGCCTGAAGATGGTGCTTGCAGGCAGAAGCTAACTGTGGTGGCAGTGGCCAGGAGTTTTTGCTCAATCTCAGGCACCTGGGAAGAGTGTTCAAGTGTTCGATGTGATGGATTGGGTTGGGCAATCCGCATGACCCCAGGTTATATGCCTGGGGTCTTGGAGGGAGTGTGTAAAGCCGGGCTGAGTGGGCTTGTACTCAGGCCCTCCAATGGTGACAGTAGGCACCAGCTGTGGTGAGCAGGGACAGCTAATCCTCAGACTCCAGGTGGAATGCTCAGGAGAGAGGTGGTTAGTAGCTGAGCTGAGCTGAGGCCCTGCCACTGGACAAGGTGGGGCTCACCTCAGTGGCCACGGCCTGGGCTAGTAGGTGGGAAATGCATGTCCCTCTCATGCTCCAGCTCCAGCAAGCCTCACCCCTTGATCCTGGTGGTGGTAGCCCACACCTAAGTCTCACCCTAGCCCTAGCTGCAGGAGTCCCTCACCCAGCTTGAAACTAAGTCCCAATGGCAACTTGCACCCCCTTTCACCTCTCAGTCTCAATACTAGTAGTGTTCAATTCCCAACACTGACAGCTGCAGCCCACGCCTTGCTTGCTTCTAAGCCCCAGCCGTGGGAGCCTGTTTCCATCTTGCTCCCCAGCTCCAGCAACAACTGCCCAAGCTTCACTAATGCCTCAGTCCTGGCATACTCTGTTAAAGGCTGGGATTTCAAATGGCACCGTGCTAACTAAAGTAGCCATTTAGTTCTCAGAAAGGGTTTGGGACCCAGTGCAGGCTCCCTCCCTGTAGCAGTTTTGTCTCATCATCTCCTGCCAGCTCCTTATGTTAATTTCAGTGCTTGGAGGATCGAGGGGCTCTTCAAGTGATCAGGATTGCAGATTCTATGGTGGGGATGTGGGCCGCTGCATGTCTCTCACTTACCTTTTCCCCATGTAAGGAAGTCACTCCCAGTTCCCAGCCAATCTCAGTCAAGCAGACTGCCTCTCTTCCTTCTCTTTTCTTGCTTTCTGTCACTTTTCTGTTGAATTTCAGTGTTCTCTATTGGATAATGTATTTGAAATGTGATTGTCTATACACTATTTTGGTTCTTCTAAGCGAAGGAGGGAGGTGAGCAAGAAATTCTTCTATTCAGCCATCTTGAAGCCCTTCCTCTCTCATATACTTTAAATCATTTCTAGATTACTTATACTACCCAATACAATGTAAATACTATGGAAACAGTTGTTATACTGTATTGTTTAGGAAATAATGACAAGAAAAATGTTTGTACATGTTTGAAACAGATGCAGCCATCCTTTTTAAAAAAATATTTTCAATCTGCCGTTTGTTGAATCCAAAGGAGATAGAGCCCATGGATACTGGGGACTGATTCTATTGTTTACACAAATAGATGAGGCACAGTAAACCACTTTTATCAATTAAGAAATAATGAAAATACTCTCAATATCCAAGTTTTTAGATTTCTGGCAAGGGCCAACTTTGCAAACTGGCCTTTTCTAGGATAGCAGAATCAGGCCAACTATAATTAACACTATTTTATACTACATTCAAACACAGAAATTTAAAATACGTGAGCAAAATCAGGCAGAACTGGGAAGACACATGAACAAGTGTACAATTATACTTGGAGATTGAGCAGTGGACTATTATCAGCATTGCAAATGTCCACTGGATTCCTTCCCAATCAGTGTTTTTTTTCCCATTGTCCCCAGCTTCCCCTTTCTGCCTTTCTCCCATATCCCAATGCCTTTCTCATTCCTAATGTCCTTCCTTTCACCAAAAGTAGAAATGTTATGATGATCATGGTTACTCTATTATAACTTTTCATTTATACTGACTGGTTAGCTGACATCCATTGTGCATGGTGTCTACCCTCTAGCTGTAATGTTCAAATCTTCTGTCTCTCATAATGAAGATTTTGTTCCTCCTTTAGGAATTCCAGGTGTGAACAGGAAAAGAGGCTCAGGGAAATTCTCAGAGTCTCAGGTTTTTCATTTATACAATGGAAATAAACCCACCTCTCTCACAGGTTGTGGGAGAAATAGAGTTACTATTGCTAGGTGGCTTTCAATGAATGCTATGTACCAAAACCTGGGATGATGAGGGGTTTACCAATATTACAGGAGTCAAATTTCAGAAACACACCAAGTTTTCTTCTCAGGGCATGTATTAGTCCATTTTTATACTGCTATGAAGAAATACCTGAGACTGCATAATTTATAAAGAAAAAGAGGTTTAATGAACTCACAATTCCACATGGCTGGGGAGGCCACACAATCATGGCAGAAGGTGAAGGAGGAACAAAGGCATGTCTTACATGGTGGCTGGCAAGAGAACATGTGCAGGGGAATTGCCTTTTATAAAGCCATCAGATGTCATGAGACTTATTTACTATCATGAGAACAGCATGAGAAAAACCACCCCCATGATTTAATTACCTTCTATCGGGTTCCTCCCATGACACATGGGGATTATGGGAGCTACAATTCAAGATGAGATTTGGGTGGAGACACAGCAAGACCATATAATTTCACCCCTGGCCCCTTCCAGATCTCATGTCCTCACATTACAAAACCAGTCATGGCTTCCCAACAGTCCCCCAAAGTCTTAACTCATTTCAGCATTAGCTCCAAAGTCCACAGTTCAGTCTTACCTGAGACCAGGTAAGTCCCTTCCACCTATGAGCCTGTAAAATTAAAAGCAAGTTAGTTACTTTCTAGAAACAATGGGGGTACAGGCATTGTGTAAATACACCCATTTCAAGTGGGAGAAACTGGCCAAAATGAACAGGCTACAGGCCCCATGCAAGTCCCAAATCTAGTGGGGTAGTCCAATCTTAAAGCTCCAAAATGATCTCCTTTGACTTCATGTCTCACATCCAGGTCACACTGATGTAAGAGGTGAGTTCCCACAAACTTGGGCAGCTCTGAACCTGTGGCTTTGCAGGGTACAGCCCCTTTCTGGCTGCTTTCATGGGCTGGCATTGAGTGTCTGCAGCTTTTCCAGGTGCACGGCAGAAGCTGTTGTTGGATCTACCTTTCTGGGATCTGGAGGACGGTGGTCCTCCTCTCACGTCTCCACTAGGCAGTGCCCCAGTGGGGACTCGGTTGGGGGGTCCCACTCCACATTTCCCTTCCACACTGCCCTAGAAGATGTTCTCCATAAGGGCTCTGCCCCTGCAGCACACCTCTACCCGGACATTCAAGCATTCCCATAAATCCTCTGAAATCTAGGCTGAGGTTCCCAAACCTCAATTCTTGACTTCTGTGCACCTGAAAGCTTAACACCATGTGTAAGCCACCAAGGCTTGGGGCTTGCACCCTCTGAAACACTATCCTGAGCTGTACTTTGGCTCTTTTTAGCCACAGCTGAGACACAGGGCACCAAGTCCCAAGACTGCAGAAAGCAGCAAGGCCCTGGGCTCAGCCCATGAAACCATTTTTTCCTCCTAGGCTTCCAGGTCTCTGATGGAAGGGGCTGCCATGAAGACCTCTGACATGCCCGGGAGACATTTTCCCCATAGTCTTGACAATTGACATTTGGCTCTTCATTACTTTTCCAAATTTCTGCAGCCCACTTGAATTTCTCCTCATAAAATGGGTTTTTCTTTTTTATTGCATCATCAGGCTGCAAATTTTCCGAACTTTTACGCTCTGCTTCCCTTTTAAGCATAAGTTTTAACTCCAAACTACACCCTTGTGAATGAATAAAATTGAATGGTTTTAAGAGCACCCAAGTCACCTATTGAATGCTTTGCTGCTTAGAAATTTCTTCTGCCAGATACCTTAAATCATTTCTCTCAAGTTCAAAGTTTCACAGATATCTAGGGCAGGGGCAAAATGCCACCAGTCTCTTTGCTAAAGCATAGCAAGAATCACCTTTGTTCCACTTCCCAATAAATTCCTCATCTCCATCTGAGGCCACCACAGCCTGGATTTTATGGTCCATATTACTACCAGCATTTTGGTCAAAGCCATTCAACATGTCTCTAGGAAGTTCCAAAGTTTCCCACATCTTCCTGTCTTCTGAGCCCTCCAAGTCTCTAGGAAGCTCCAAACTTTTCCACATTTTCCTATCTTCTTCTGAGCCCTCCAAACTGTTCCAACCCCTGTCTATTACCCAGTTCCAAAGTTGCTTCCACATTTTTGGGTATGCTTATTGCAGTACCCTACTCTACCAGTACCAATTTACTGTATTAGCCCCTTTTCATACTGTTATGAAGAAATACCGGAGACTAGGTACTTTATAAAGAAAAAGAGGTTTAATGGACTCACAGTTGCACATGGCTGGGAAGGCCTTACAATCATGGTGGGGAGGCAAAGGAGGAGCAAAGGCACATCTTACATGGTGGCAGACAAGAGAGTGTGTGCACAGGAACTGCCCTTTACAAAACCATCAGGTCTCATGAGACTTATTCACTATCACGAGAACAGCACGGGAAAACCTACCTCCATGATTCAATTACTTCACACCAGGTCCCTCCCACAATACGTGGGGATTATGGGAGCTACAATTCAAGATGAGATTTGGGTGACGATACAGCCAAACCATATCAGGGCACCTACTGTTCCTTCTGCTTGGAATGTTCTTTTTCTAGGTAATTGCAAGGCCTGCTTCCTCACTTCCTCCAGGTCTGATCAACAATCATGTTTTCAGGGAGGCCTTCCCTGATATACTTGAATGCTGGGAGCAAGCCCCCCAAAGTCTGGCCATAAACTGGCCCCAAAACTGGCCACAAATAAAATCTCTGCAGCACTGTGATATGTCCATAATGGCCCTAACGCCCAAGCTGGAAGGTTGTGGGTTTACGGGAATGAGGGCAAGGAACACCTGGCCTGCCCAGGGCAGAAAACCGCTTAAAGGCATTCTTAAGCCACAAACAAAAGCATGAGCAATCTGTGTCTTAAGGGCATGTTCCTGCTGCAATTAATTCGGCCCATCCCTTCGTTTCCCTTAAGGGATACTTTTAGTTAATTTAATATCTATAGAAACAATGCTAATGACTGGTTTGCTGTTAATAAATATGTGGGTAAATGTCTGTTTGGGGCTCTCAGCTCTGAAGGCTGTGAGACCCCTGATTTCCCACTTCACACCTCTATATTTCTGTGTGTGTGTGTGTCTTTAATTCCTCTAGTGCTGATGGGTCAGGGTCTCCCCAACCGAGCTGGTCTCAGCACTTGAATACAGTAACAATTCTTTTCACATATCATTCCTCCTGACCGATCTTTCTATGCAGTACCTACTACCCTCTAGTGGGCTATACATTTCCTGGAAAATTCTATGATATTAGATATTTGTGAATGTTGTTTGCTATTGTATTCTTGGCACTGAAAATAGCAACAAAGCACACAGCAGTTGCTCAGAGAATTCTTGTTGAAGGACAGCTAGAAACCAGGCCCTGTACACACATAACTAACATGCACAAATACCCTCCAAGATAAGTATCGGCACCATTTTACTTGAATCTGGGGATGGAGTTCAGGGAGTATATAAAATATGGAATTGTTAGAATTTAAATATAAATTTAATTAATTAGTTAATTTATTTATTTACTTATTTTTGAGTCAGAATCTTGCTCTGTCACCAGGCTGGAGTGCAGTGGCGCAATCTTGGCTCACTACAATCTCTGCCTCCTGGGTTCAAGCGATCCTCCTGCCTCCACCTCCTGAGTAACTGGGACTACAGGCGTATGCCACCACACCCAGATAATTTTTGTGTTTTTAGCAGAGACAGGGTTTCACTATGTTGGTCAGGATGGTCTCAATCTCTTGACCTTGTAATCCGCCCGCCTCAGCCTCCCAAAGTGCTGGGAACACAGGCGTGAGCCACCATGCCTGGCCTTTTTTCCCTAATTTTGTGAAAAATGACATGGGTACTTTGATAGGAACAGCAGTGAACCTGTAAATTGCTTTAGCCAGTATGACCATTTTAACAATATTGATTCTTCTTATCCATAAGCATGGAATGTTTTCCATTTGCTTGTCATCTGGGATTTCTTTGAGAAATGTTTTGTAATTCTTCTTGTAGAGATCTTCCACTTCCCTGGTTAGCTGTATTCCTAGATATTTTATATTTCTGTGGCTTTGTGAATGCGATTGTGTTCTTGATTTGGCCCTAACCTTGGATGTTATTGGTTACTGATTTTTTTGTACATTGATTTTGTATCCTGAAATTTTGCCAAAGTTTATCAAATATATGAGTCTTTAGGTAGAGACTATGAGGTTTCCTGGGTATAGAATCATATGGTCTGCAAAGAGAGATCGTTTGACTTCCTGTCTTCCTATTTGGATGCCTTTTATTTCTTTCTTTTGCCTGATAGCTCTTGCCAGGACTTCAAGTACCATGTTGCATAGGTATAGTGAGAGTGAGCATCCTTGTATTGTTCTGGTCCTCAAGGGGATTGCTTCCAGCTTTTGCCCATTCATTATGATGTTGGCTGAGGGTTTCCCATAGGTGGCTTAATTATTTTGAGGTATGTTCTTCCAATGCCTAGTTTGTTGAGGGCTTTTAACATGAATGAATGTTGAATTTTATCAAGTCTTTTCTGCATCTATTGAGATGGTCACGTAGTTTTTGTTTTCTGTTCTGTTTATGTGATGAATCACATTTATTGATTTGTATATGTTGAACCAACTCTGCATCCCAGGAATAATGCCTGCTTGATCATGAGGGATTAGCTTTCCCATGTGCTTTTGGATTTATTGTGCTAGTATTTTGTTGAGGATTTTTGCATCTATGTTCATCAGAGACATTTGCCTGAAGTTTTCTTTCTTGTGTCCCTGCCAGATTTTGATCTAAGAATGATATTGGCCTCATGGAATGAGTTAAGGAGGATCCACTCTTCCTCAAATTTTGGAAAAATTTCAGTAGAATTGGTACCAGCTCTTATTTATATGTCTGGTAAAATTTGGCTATGAATCCATCTGGTTCAGGCCTTCTACTAGTTGGTAGGTTTTTTATTACTGATTCAATTTCAGAACTCATTATTGGTCTGTTTATGGTTTCAATTTCTTCCTAGTTCATTCTTGGAAGGTTATAAGTTTCCAGGAATTTATCCATTTCTTCTAGGTTTTCTAGTTTATGTGCGTAGAGGTATTTGTAACAACTTCTGAGAATGTTTTTTATTTCTGTGGTATCAGTGGTAATGTCCCCCTTGTCATTCCTGATTGTGTTTATTTGGATTTTCTCTCTTTATTTCTTTATTAGTCTAACTAGTAGTCTATCTTATCTATTCTTTCAAGGAACCAACATTTGGTTTCACTGATCTTTTGCATCTCAATTTTATTCTGTTGAGCTCTGATTTTGGTTAATTTTTTCCTGCTAATAGCTTTGGTGTTTGTTTTCTCTTATTTTTCTAGTTTCTCTAAGTGTAACATTAGTGTGTTAATTTGAGATTTTTCTAACTTTTTGATGGGGGCATTTATCACTATAATTTTCCCTCTTAACACTGCTGTAGCTATGTCCCGGAGATTCTGGTATTTTGTATCTTTGTTTCAAAGAATATATATTGTATATTAGTTTCAAAGAATTTCTTGATTTCTATCTTAATTTCATTGTTTACCCAAAAGACATTCAGGAACAGGTTGTTTAACCTCCATGTAATTGTATGGGTTTAAGTAATCTCCTTAGTATTGATTTCCATTTTTATAGCACTGTAGTCAAAGAGTGTGGTTGGTATGATTTTGGTTTTTGTGAATTTGCTGAGAATTGTCTTATGGCTGATCGTGTGGTCAATTTTAGAGGCTGTGCCATGTGCAGATGGTAAGAGTGTATATGCTGTTGTTTTAGGGTGGAGCATACTGTAGATGTCTGTTAGATCCATTTGGTCAAGTGTTGAGTTCAGGTCCCAAATATCTTTGTTAGTTTTCTGCCTTCATGATCTGTCTAATACTGTCAGTGGAGCGTTGATGTCTTCCACTGTTATTGTGTGGTTATCTAAATCTTTTCATAGGTTCCTAATAAATTGTTTTATGAATCTGGGTACTCCTGTGTTGAGTGCCTATATGTTTAGTATAGTTACATCTTCTTGTTGAATTGAACTTTTTACCATTATGTAATGACCTTCTTTGTCTTTTTTGATATTTGTTGGTTTAAAGTCTATTTCATCTGAAATGGGAAGAGCGACCCTTGATCTTTTTTGTTTTTCATTTACTTGATAGATCTTTCTCCGTACCTTTACTTTGAACTTATGAATGTCATTGCATGTGAGATAGATTTCTGAAGACAGCATACTGTTGGTTCTTACTTTTTTTTTTTTTTTTTTTTTGACGGAGTCTTGCTCTGTCGCCCAGGCTGGAGTGCAGTGGTGCGATCTTGGCTCACTGCAACCTCTGCCTCCCAGGTTCATGCCATTCTCCTGCCTCAGCCTCCAGAGTACCTGGGACTACAGGCCCCCACCACCACGCCCGGCTAATTTTTGTATTTTTAGTAGAGACAGGGTTTCACCGTGTTAACCAGGATGGTCTTGATCTCCTGACCTTGTGATCCACCCACCTGCGCCTCCCAAAGTGCTGGAATTACAGGTATTAGCCACAGCACCTGGCCTTTCTTCTTTATCCAACACACTATTCTGTGCCTTTTAGGTTGAGTGTTTAGCCCATTAATCTTTAGCCCAAGATTAATACTGATATAGGCAGATTTGATCCTATCATCATGTCGTTAGCTGGATGTAATGTAGACACGATTGTATAGTTGCTTCATAGTGTCAATGGTCTATGTACTAAAGAGTGTTTTTGCTGTGACCCATAATGGACTTTTGTTTCCATGTTTAGTACCCCTTTGAGGACCTCTTGTTAAACAGGTCTGGTAATGATGAATTCCCTTTGCATTTGCTTTTCTGAAATGCTTTTATTTCTCCTGTGCTTCTGAAGCTTAGTTTTTCTGGATATGAAATTTTTGGTTGGAATTTATTTTCCTTAAGAAGGCTGCATATAGGCCCCCCAATCTCTGCTGGCTTGAAGGGTTTCTGCTGAAAGATCTGCTGTCAGCTTAATGGGGTTTCTTTGTAGATGACCTGCTCCTTCACTCTAGCTGCCTTTAATGTTTTATATTTTGCATTGACTTTGGAGAATCTGGTGACTATGTGGCTTGGGGATAATTACCTTTTATAGTACCTTGTAGGGGTTCTCTAAATTTCCTGAATTTGAATGTCAATCTTTCTAACAAAGTTGGGACAATTATCAGGAGCAGTGTTCTCAAAAATGTTGTTCAAGTTGCTTGCTCTCCCTCTCTTTCAAGGTCACCAATGTGTTTTAGGTTTGGTCTCTACATGATCCCATATTTCTCGAAGGTCTTGTTCATTCTTTTTTACTTCTTTTTCTTTATTTTTGTCTGACTGTGTTGATTTGAAGAACTGATTTTCAAGCTCTAAAATTCTTTTGTCAGTTTGGTCTATTCTTCTGTTAATACTTCTGATTGGTTATGCAATCCTTGCAGTGAGTTTTTTTAGCTCTATCAGATTTGTTTGGTTCTTTCTTAAAAATGGCTATTTCATCTTTCATCTCTTGCATCGTTTTACTGGATTCCTTATATTCCCTTGGATTAAGTTTCAACTTTCTCTTGGATTTCGATAATTTTCATTGCCATCTGAATTCTGAATTCTTTGTCTATCATTCTTGCCATTTCAGTCTGGTTAAGAACCACTGCTGGGGAGCTAGTGCAGTCATTTCTAGATAAGACACTTTGGCTTTTTGAATTGTCAGATTTCTTGCGCTGGTTCTTTCTCAGCTTGGCAGGCTGTTGTTCCTTTAATCTTTGAAGTTACTGTCCTTTGGATATGGTTTTATATTCTTACAAATTCTTTATATTTATATGTTTATATTATTTGATGCCCTAGAGGGTAAGACTGTGGTATAAGTTGGGTTCAGTTGACTGGTTTCATTTCTGGACCATTTCAGGTGGCCAAGGTTCAGCTCTGCACTCCCGGGATTCATATTCTAACTTTGGGGGGTTGGGACAAAGCCAGTTGCTTTGTTCTCTGGTCCTTCAAGGTTGACCACCTGCTGTGCTGGAAAGACCAAGGTGTTCTTCATCTGCTGGCAAAAACACTCCAATGGGGAGTGCTGGCAAAAGTTCTTCATCAGAGTGGTGGCAGCAGGATCCACATTCATGCACATGCCCCAATAGCAGCAGCATGGTGGTATATGTGTGTAGAACATGCCAGTGGTGGCAGGGCAGCAGGGTATGCACATGTGGACCAGCCTGAGTAGTGTGGCCTCAGCAAGGTCCACACATGCTGGTGGCAGTGACCAGTGAGGCCCATGTGCCTGCACCAGCAAACCAATGGGGGAAGGCTGCAGGGAAGTGAAGGCTGGCAATGCGGTTGGGGTAGGCAGTGGATAGGCGCATGCCAGCAGGGGCACATTTGCAGAAGCTCTCTGACAGGCAGGGTCTGCCAGTGAAGGAGCTATGGTAGTAGCCCCTGAGGAGCACCTGGGTTGGGTATCCGAAGCTGCACTGCTAATGAGTGCAGTCCAACACAGACCCTGACAGGGATGTTCAGATTGGATTGGCCCTGTCCCACAGGCAAGATATCCTTGTTCTGTTCAGGTTCAATAGTCAACAAAAGCCAAAGCCCCCTAGAGGAGCATGGCAAGCCTTGGAGGATGGGCGTCCCTGGCTGTGCTCCACTGCAGCCATTCCTACACCAAACCTTCTGGGCTTTGCACAGCCTGGAGTCCTGTCCCTGCCAACTCTCCAAACAGCTCTCCCTGCCAGTTCCAATGTCAATGGGGACCATGGGGTCTCCTGCAGCTATGGTTTCAGAGGTTCATAGTGAGAGTGGGCAGCCACTCAGGGCCAGGAATGAGACCTAGTGCTCAGCAATCCCATGCAGGCTTCCCAGAATTTCACCAATTTTAAACAAAATGAAACATAAAAACATGAAGCAAAACCATCACTTACCCCACATTTCATTTGACCTGCTAAACAAGACAAAAGTTAAAAAACAAATGAGTAAGTTATTTCACATTACAATAAATGCTTTGAAGGTAATAATCAATGTGATAAAGTAGAGGCTAACTGCATGAAGCGTATTGTATTATTAGGGTAGGTAAAGTTAAGCTGTAATAGGAAACAACTCCCAGATATGAGATCCTGAAAATCTTGAAGATTTATTTACTACTGCTAATATTTATGCATCCCAGGGCAACAATAGGGCTCTGTCGTCAATGTTACGAAAGCTACAATCCCTAAGGGTACCTATCTCATAGCAGAGCAAAAGAGAGATATCTAGAAGGTCTCACATCAGCAATTTAGTGTTCCATGTTGGAAGTGTCATCACTTCACGATTGGTCACATGGTCCCACCAAACTACAAGGAACAAAGATGTGCAGTAAGGTTGTATGCCTTGACGTGAGAAAAAACATGAGAATATCTTGTCAGGTAATACACAAACCAAAAGTGATTTCAAAAAGGAAGTTCACTTTTGTGGTAGGCTGAATAATGGCCCCTCAAGGTTTCTATGTCTTAACCAGTGAAGCCTGAGTGTTACCTTACAAGCACAAAAGAGATGTTGCAGGTTTGACTAAATTAAGGGTCTTAAAATAAGGAGATTATCCAGGATCACATTAAATTAATAAATTAACTTCAAGAAAAATAAAGTCTGTGATGTTGAGTTGTCTGATGCAAGATAAATTAGTATCATTCCATTTGTTTACTTTTCTTTCACACGTGTTTTTTAAATTTTTAATTTAGAAATAATTTTATGAATTTATGGGGTACAATGTGATGTCTTGATGTATACTTACAATGTGAAATGATTAAATCTAGCTATTAACAAAGTGTTTTAAGGTTTTATTCACTTGTTATGTTTATTCCTATATATTATTTTGCTGATAAAAATAGGATTTTCTCTACTATCACATCCTCTGGCTGGTTATTTTTGGTGTATATGAAAACTATTGAACTTTGCATATTTCTTTTATTATCCATTACTTACAGAGTTACTTAATATTTTGAGTACTGTTGACATTTTAGTGCTGTTGACATTTTGAGGTGGATAATTCTTTGTCGTGGGGGGAGGGGCTCTCCTGTGCATGGTTGGATTTTTACTAGCATTCATGGCCTCTATCCACTAGATTCTAGTAACAACATCTCCCCAGTGTGACAAACAAAAATATTTCCAGACATTGCTAAAATGCCCTGGGATGCACGGCTGATTCAACATATGCAAATCAATAAACGTAATTCATCACATAAACAGAATCAACGACAAAAACCACATGATTATCTCAATAGATGGCGAAAAGGCTTTTGATAAAATTCAACATCCCTTCACGTTAAAAACTCTCAATAATCTAGGTATTGAAGAAACATACCTCAAAATAATAAGAGCCACATATGACAAACCTAAAGCCAATATCATACTGAAAGGACAAAAGCTGGAAACATTCTCTTTGAAAACCAGCACAAGACAAGGATGCCCTCTGTCACCACTCCTATACAACATGGTATTAGAAGTTCTGGCTGGGGAAATCAGGCAAGAGAAGGAAATAAAGGGCATTCAAGTAAGAAGAGAGGAAGTCAAATTATCTTTGTTTGCAGATGACATGATCTAGAGAAGCCCATGGTCTCAGCCCAAAAGCTTCTTCGGCTGATAAGCAACTTCAGCAAAGTCCCGGGATACAAAATCGATATGCAAAAATAGCTAGCATTCCTATACACCAACAATAGACAAGCAGAGAGCCAAATCATGAATGAACTCCCATTCACAATTGCTACAAAAAGAGTAAAATACCTAGGAATACAGCTAACAAGGGAAGTGAAGAACCTCTTCAAGGAGAACTATAAACAACTGCTCAAAGAAATCAGAGAGGACACAAACAAATGGAAAAACATTCCATGCTCACAGATAGGAAGAATCAATATCGTGAAAATGGCCATACTGCCCAAAGTAATTTATAGATTCAATGCAATTCCCATTAAGCTACCGTTGACAGTCTTCACAGAATTAGGAAAAAAAAAGTATTTTAAAATTCATATGGAACCCAAAAATAGCCCAAATAGCCAAGACAAACCTAAGCAAAAAGAACAAAGCTGGAGGCATCACACTACCCAACTTCAAACTATACTACAAGATGACAGTAACCAAAACAGCATGGTACTGGTACAAGAACAGACACATACACCAACGGAACAGAATAGAGAGCTAAGAAATATTTGTCAATTTAAAAAATTAAATTAAATTTTAGAAATCTTGAAAGAATGTTAGCAGTTACTATAAAGTATTGATGCTTCAAAGAATAGATTCTTGGTTAGAAACTCCTAGCTGATATCACTTAAGCAATTTTCAGACTGTACCCTTTGGCCTTGGTATTTTTGCCAGGATCACCTTTTGACTGGAAGCATATGGCTACATGGAAGGAGACTGTTGAACTGCTTTGTTCTGAAGATTTGTGTCTACCCAAAATTTATATGTTGAAACCTAATCACCAAAGTGAGGGTACTAGAAGGTGGGTCCTTTGGAATGTGATTATGCCATGAGGGTAGAAACCTCATGAATACAATTAGTATCCTTATAAACAGCTCCTCAGAAAGCTGCCTTGCCACTTCCATAATGTGAGGACACAGTAAGAAGAGACTGTCTATGAATCAGGAAGTGAATCCCCATCAGACACTGATTTTGCTGACATATTGATCCTGAACTTCCTAGCCTCCAGAACTGTGATGAATAAGTATTTGTCATTTATAAGCCACCTAATTTATGACATTTTATTGCAGCAGCCCAAACTGATTGAGTCATGACCTAACATCCACCAGAACACGAATTAAATACATAAATATGTCTTATGGTTTGAATGTGTTCCCTTTAAAATTCAGATGTTGCCAATGTGATAGTATTTAAAGATGGAGCTTTTAAGAGGTGGTTAAGCCATGAGGGCTTCTCCTTTGTGGATGAGATTAAATGCCCTTATCAGCAAGTCTCAACAAATTTTTAAAAATGAAATAATATCAAGTATCTTTTCTGACCACAATGGAATAAAACTGGAACTCAAGAACTTCAGAAACTAACTATATAAACACACGAAAATTAAACAACATGCTCCTGAATGACAAATGGGTTGAGGAAAAAATTAAGAAGAAACTTTTTAAAATTCTTCAAACAAATAAAAATTTCATCACAACATGTCAAACATATGAGATATAGCAAAAGCAGTACTAAGTGGGAAGTTTTTTGTTTTTTTTTTTTTTGAGACAGAGTCTTGCTCTGTTGCCCAGGCTGGAGTGTGCAGTGGCATGATCTCGGCTCACTGCAAGCTCCGCCTCCTGGGTTCACGCCATTCTCCTGCCTCAGCCTCCCAAGTAGCTGGGACTACAGGTGCCCGCCACCACGCCCAGCTAATTTTTTGTATTTTTAGTAGAGACGGGGTTTCACTGTGTTAGCCAGGATGGTCTCAATCTTCTGACCTCTTGATCCACCTGCCTTGGCCTCCCAAAGTGCTGGGATTACAGGTGTGAGTCACCACACCCGGCCCTAAGTGGGAAGTTTAAAGCAACAAACACCTACATCAAAAAAAGTGGAAAGACTTCAAATAAACAACCTAATGAAACAGTTCAAGCAACTAGACAAGAACAAATTGAACCCAAAATTCGTAGAAAAAAATAAATAATAAAGAACAGAACAGATATAAATGAAATTGAGACTAAAAAATATGAAAGATCAATAAGATGAAAAGTTGGTTTTTTGAAGAGGATAAAAAAATTGACAAAACATTAGCTAGGTGAAGAAAGAGGAGACTCAAATAAAGAAAATCAGAGACAAATACAAAAACATTACAACTGATACCACAGAAACCCAAAGAATCATTAGAGACTATTATGAACAAATATACACCAACTAATATGGTTTGGCTGTGTCTCCACCCAAATCTCATTTCGAATTGTAGCTCCCATAATCCCCACATGTCACAGGAGCAACCCAGTGGGAGGTAACTGAATCATGGGGGAGGGTCTTTCTCATGATGTTCTCATCATAGTGAATAAGTCTCATGAGATTTGATGGTAAAGGGGCATTCCCCTGTACATGCTCTCTTGCCTGCCACCATGTAAGACTTGACTTTGCTCTTCATTCGCCTTCCACCATGACTGTGAGGCCTCCCCAGCCATGTGGAACTGTGAGTCAATTAAACCTCTTTCCTTTATAAATTACCCAGTCTTGGATATGTCCTTATAGCAGCATGAGAAAGGACTAATACACCAACAAATTGGAAAACCAAGAAGAAATGGATAAATTCCTGAACATATACAACCTACCATATTAAAACATGAAGAAACAGAAAACCTTAACAGACCAATAATGAATAACTAGATAGAAGCAGCAATAAAAAGTCACCCCTGAAGCAATCACTGCTGAGTTTTACCAAAAATTTAAGAACTAATACCAATCCTGCTCAAAATATTCCAAAACATTGCAGAAAAATATACTTTCAAACTCATTTTACAAGGCCAGCCTTACCCTCATATCAAAACCAGACAGGCACCAAAAAAAAGGAAAACTACAGGCCAATATTCCTGATAAACATAGATGCAATAATCCTCAACAAAAACTAGCAAACTAAATTTAACAACAATAAATTTAAAAGACCATTCACCATGATCAACTTGGATTAATCCCATGAATGTTAGAAGGATTCAACAAACACAAATAAATAAATGTGATACATCACATCAAAAGAATCAAAGCCAAAAACCACATGGTTATTTCAATAGATACTGAAAAAGCATTCAATAAAATTCAAATTCAACATCCCTTCATGAAGGGTTAAAAAGTCTCAACAAGCTGGGTGTAGAAGGAACATGCCTCAAAACAATACAGGCCATATATGACAAATCCACAGCTAATATCATACTGAACTGGGAATAATTGAAAGACTTTCCACTAAAATCTGAAACAAGACAAGGGTTCCCACTTTCATCATTTATTCAACATAGTTCTGGATGTCCTAGCCAGAACAATTAGGCAAAAGAAGGAAATGGCACCCAAGTTGGAAAGAAGGAAGTCAAATTATCCTTATTTGCAGATGACATGATCTTATATTTAGAAAAACCTAAAGACTTCACCAAAATCCTCTTATAACTGACTGATAAATGAATCTAGTAAATAGTAGGATACACAATGAATATGAAACAATCGGTAGCACTCCTGTACTCTAACAGCAGTTGATCTAAAAAAGAAACAATTAAAACAATCCCATTTACAATAGCTAAAAATATTAAAACCCTAGTAATCAATGTAATCAAAGATTGCAAATAGCTAAAGCAATCCTGAGCAAAAAGAACAAAGCTAGAGGTATCACACTACTTGACTTCAAATACACTACAAAGATATAGTAAACAAATAAGCATGGTACTGGCATAAAAACAGACACATAGACCAGTGGAACGAACCCAGAAATAAATCTATGAACTTACAGCCAACCCATTTTCTAAAACAGTTCCAAGAACATATATTGAGGAAAGAATACTCTCTTAAATAAATGGTGCTGGGAAAACTGGATATCCATATGAAGTTGAAACTAGATCCCAATCTTTCACCACATAAAAAATCAACTCAAAACGGATTAAAGACTTAAATGTAAGACCTGAAACTATGGAACTAGTAGAAGAAAATGTTGGGGAATTACTCTAGGACATTAGTCTGGGCACAGATTTTTTGTGTGGGACCTCAAATACACAGGCCACAAAAGCAAAAATAGACAAATGGTGTTAAATCAAACTAAAAAGTTGCTACACAGCAAGGAAAACCATCAACAAAGTGAAGAGACAACCTACAGAATGGGAAAAATGATTTGCAAATTATTCATTTGACAAGAGATTAATATGCAGGATATATAAGGAACTCAAACAACTCAATAGCAAAATACCAAACCAAACAAAAAACCCAAATAATTCAATCTTAAAAGGGCAGAATATCTGAATATACATTTCTCAAAGGAATACATACAAATGTCCAGCAGGTATATGAAAATATGCTTAACATCACTAATCATCGGAGAAATGCAAATCAAAACCACAATGAGCTATCATTTCACTTAAGATGGAATGGTTATTATCAAAAAGACAAAAAATAACAGATGCTGGCAAGGACATGAAAAAAGGGGAATACTTGTGCAGTATTGGTAGGAATGTGAATTAGTAAAACCACTATAGAAAACAGTATGCAGGTTCCTCAAAAAATGAAAAATGGATCTACCATATGATCCAGAAATACCACTGCTGGGTATATATCCAAAAGAAAGGAAATCATTATATCGAAGGGATATCTGCACTCTCATGCTTACTGCAGCATTACTCACAATAGCAAGGATACGGAATCAACCTAAATATCCATCAATGGATGAATGGATCAAGAAAATATAGTGTATACACACAACAAAATAGTATTCAGCCATAAGAAAAATAAAATCCTGGGTTTCTGCAGCAATATGGGCAGAACTGGAGGACATTATGCTAAGTGAAATAAGTCAGGCACAGAAAGGCAATTTTCACATGTTCTCACAGATATGTGAGAGCTAAAAAAGTGGATCTCATTGAGGTAGAGAGTAGAATGGTCATTACCCGAGGCTGAGAAGAGTGGGTGGAGAAGAGAAGTTGGTTAATGGGTACAAATATCCAGTTAGAGGGAATAAGTTGTAGTTTTGGATAGTACAAAAGGGGGACTAAAGTTCACAGTAATTTCTTGTACGTTTAAAAATAGTCAGAAGAGCTGTACTGTTCCCAACACAAAGGAAAGATAAATATTTGAGGTGATAACCCAATTACCCTGATTTAATCATTACATATTGTATTCATGTATCAAAATATCAAATGTAACCCCAAAATATGTACAACTATTATATATCAATAAAAAAGGGCTTGACAGTGGGAGTTTGTTCTCTCTTGCCCTTCCTCCTTCTGCCATATAAGGATGTAGCAAGAAGACCCTCACCAGGTGCTAGCACCTTGATTTTGGAGTATCCAGCCTCCAGAACTGTGAGAAATAAATTTATGTTCTTTATAAATTGCCCAGTCTCAAAGTGAGGAGTGCCTCTGCCTGGCCACCCCATCTGGGAAGTGAGGAGCGCCTCTGCCCGGCCGCCCCATCTGGGAAGTGAGGAGCGCCTCTGCCTGGCTGCTGTACAATCTTCCAAGTGTGAAGTGACAGCCTTTCCGCAGGTGTACCCAACAGCTCCGAAGAGACAGCGACCATCCAGAACGGGCCATGATGACGATGGCGGTTTTGTTGAAAAGAAAAGGGGGAAATGTAGGGAAAAGAAAGAGCGATCAGATTGTTACTGTGTCTGTGTAGAAAGAAGGAGACATAGGAGACTCCATTTTGTTCTGTACTAAGAAAAATTCTTCTGCCTTGGGATGCTGTTAATCTATAACCTTACCCCCAACCCTGTGCTCTCTGAAACATGTGCTGTGTCAACTCAGGGTTAAATGGATTAAGGAGGGTGCAAGATGTGCTTTGTTAAACAGATACTTGAAGGCAGCATGCTCGTTAAGAGTCATCACCACTCCCTAATCTCAAGTACCCAGGGACACAAACACTGCGGAAGGCTGCAGGGACCTCTACCTAGGAAAACCAGAGACCTTTGTTCACGTGTTTATCTGCTGACCTTCTCTTCACTATTATCCTATGACCCTGCCACATCCCCCTCTCCGAGAAACACTCAAGAATGATCAATAAATACTAAAATAAATAAATAAATAAATAAATAAATAAATAAATTGCCCAGTCTCAGGTATTCTGTTATAGTAACACAAACGACTAAGACACTATTAATGAAATAATGAGGGAAAGTTAATTGTGGCTATTTATTGGAAATATGTTGATGTTGTTTTAAGAAAATTGTTATTTTCTGATGCATATATGAAGAAGTCCCTCATATTCTTTATCAGTCTATCTCTAACTCACAATTTATTTGACTGTGCTTTTGTAAATTGAAATAAAACGTTTTAAAATGGCATCTGCTTCTCACTGAACTATTAGAATTCAGAAACAATTATTTATAACTGAGTTTTCTTGCTATTCATGGCAGCATAGCTTTTTATATGGATTAAATAAGAATTTGTTCTCCTTTTAACCAGGATATAGTTGGAAAAATCAATTGTGCAACCAGGGCAATGCCTAAAGTGTCACTTAATCATTTATGTCAAGGCCACTAAGGAGCAGAGATAGACTTTACATGCAAACCAATGACTACAAACCAGTGCCATCCACAGAAGTGGTAAGAAAGTTCACTTCTTGGCATGCTACAAACCACAGCAAATTTGGTGGACCTTGAGAAAGGAGAAATCCCCTCGAATTTATAGGAGCTTCAGGTGAAATATGGTAAAGCTAATTTCTTGGGTTTGATTTTCTCTCCTTGAGATAGAAGAGTAAATAATAGAAGAAGTTGTAAAGTCCTTTCCAAGATTCAGTTGGACAACTTCCTGGCAGAAATTAATTATTGGGCATTAGGAGTTGCTCAATATTGCTAGCAGCTGAATTTGAAACACAAACTCAAAGATTTCTATATTATTAATAAGCACTCCTGCTACACTTATGTAAATAACTGGGCAAAACATAATAAGTTATTTTGTGAATCTTTCGAGGTTATTTATAAGCACAAAGCTGAGACTTTAATGAAAAATTATTCAAAATGTGGATATTCTTATCAGTGTAGTGCTGGGCATACAATGATTGATTTTTGTTTGGCTACTCTTTTACAGCACTGTACAGGTAGAGGTTAACTTGCAGAAAACTGATAACAATGCAAATGATTCTGGTCTGAGAGAAATACAAATGATTCCTATATATTTCAACACAAATGAATTTTATCTGGTATAATTAATTATAATAATTATAGAGGCAATTAACATTATGTAGAAAAGATAATCCTTAATAATACAATTTATTGCTTTTCAAGATATTAACCAGTTTTGCATCTATTAACAAGTGCATTTAAGAATATTTCTGACTGACTACATAAATTCCTGTTCTTCAATTTCTTCTTTGAACCTGTGTCAACATCTCACTGGTATGTCCATTAATTGAATTGAATAAAGTCATTGATATGTTCTGTCTATTAAAAATTACATGTTCCCAGAAAAGGAAATGCTTATACACTGTTAGTGGGAATGTAAATTAGTTCAGTTACTGTGGAAAGCAATTTGGAGATTTCTCAAAGGACTTAGAACTCCTTTTTAACCAGCAATCCCATTCTTGGGTACGTATCCAAAAGAAAACAAATCGTTCTACCAAAAAGACATGCACTTGCATGATCGTCGCAGCACTATTCACAATAGCAAAGACATGGAATCAACCTAGGTACCCATCAATGGTGAATTGAATTTTTAAAATATGGTACATATTGAGAGGCCGAGGTAGGCAGATCACAAGGTCAGGAGATGGGGACCATCCTGGCTAACACGGTGAAACCCCGTCTCTACTCAAAATAAAAAAAAAAAAAAATTAGCCGGGCGTGATGGCGGGCGCCTGTAGTCGTAGCTACTCGGGAGGCTGAGGCAGGAGAATGGTGTGAACCCGGAAGGCAGAGCTTGCAGTGAGCCGAGATCGTACCACTGCACTCCAGCCTGGGCGACACAGCGAGACTCCATCTCAAAAAAAAGGAAAAATAAAAGGTACATACACACCATGGAATGCTACACAGCCATAAAAAAGAATGAAATTATGTCTTTTACAGAAACATGGGCGCAGCTCGAGGCCATTATACTCAGCGAATTAATCCAGGAACAGAAAACCAAATGCTGCATGTTCTTATTTATAAGTGGGAGCTAAATATTGGGTACTCATGACCATAAAAATGGCAACAATCGACACTGGGGACTACTAGATGGGGGAGGAAAAGAGGGAGGCAAGGATTGAAAAACTAACTACTGGGTACTATGCTCAGTACCTGGGTAGCAGAACATTTGTACACCAGACCTCAGCAACATGCAATATACCCAGGTAACAAAACTGCACATGTACCCCGAATCTAAAATAAAAGTTGAAATAAATAAATGTTTAAAAATCACGTTTCCTTTAGTTGTATTTTTTCACTGCACCTTTATTCCATAAACTGAAAAATTATGTTCATATTTATATTTCCTTATTATTCCAATCATAATTGCCATACAGTCTTTTTCTTTTCCAAAACCGTGTGCCAGAAACTGTGCTAAGCACTGAACATTGAGAAGCAGCAAGACAGAATGGGTGTTGGAGAAGATGGCAATACAAAAAACAGTGACATCAAACTGAGAAAGTGTTCTTCAAAATAAAGTTTGCCAATGGGTACACATGATCATGAAGATGAAATAATAGACACTGAAGATTCCAAAAGGTGGGAGAGTGGGAGGGGAGTGAGGGTTGAAAAATTACCTATGAGAGACAATGTTCACTATTTGGGTACTGGGTACACTAGAAGTCCAATCTTCACCAGTATGCAATATACCCATGTAACAAAAAAGCACATGTACCCTGAGTGTAAAATAATAATAATAATAAAAGGTTTGGTGTGGCCTCAGTTTAGCACATATCAGGAAAATCTCCCCTGAGGTTCAGTGGCTAGGGTAATTCTCTCAAATAAATATATAGTGTTAAAGATTTCTGGCTCGGGTAAAATGAGTAAACAGCAGCGGCTTTCACCTTGTTAGGCAACACTAAAGGAGTGCACGATTTCAGGGTAGAGGGAAGATGATTTCATTATGGACATGTTGATTGTCAGGTGCCTCTGAGAACCCACGATTGGCCAGGAAACATGTAGATTAGGAAACAGGCCTGAGCTAGAAATGTGGATCTGATGTTCATCAATATACGGTTCTCTCACGAATTACTCCTGTGATTTTGGAGATCATATTTTACTTAAACATAATTCAGTTTTTTTCATCTGCAAATGAAAATAATAAAAATTTGGGATAATTCTTCACTTCTCCCTTCTTCTTTTAGACTATGAATATATTACTTCTATTTGTAACAACAAAGAGCTGTTCTAGTATCAATTTCCTCCCTACAAGAAGAGAATCTCTGTACACGTTTCCCTATAGTTAGGCATGAAGATGTTTCCGGCATTTTTACCATGTACCTGTATTGCTTATGCAAAAACAGTAAGCATTTAAGCAACTTTACAAAAAAAGGTATTTATTCTTATGAATATGCACTATAATAAATATATTATTACTATAATAAAAATAAACTTACCAGTCAGCCCCACAGAGAAGCCCACTTCATTTCCATCCTTCTAGTCCCAACCCTAGGACCTAGAGCTGGGATATTTAGGGTCCACTTTTTGTAATGAAAACCCTCTCTGTGAAGTCACTCATATAGTCCGAAAACTCTTCTTTCCTCCTCAAGAAGCACTTGTTCCAGCCAATCACGTCTATTGGGGATAAGTCACTCCCATGCTGCTTCTACTTTCATGTGCTGAGATGTTCTATATTTCAGTGCTCAACCCCCTTTCTCCTCAGAGTAGAGCTTTATTTTTTGTTACCCAAAAAAGCCTACCTCCCCTTCCACAGCTTCACCCTCTCTTCCTCCAGCCCTGTCTACTTCAGGCCTGAGGGAGGAAACTAGGATTCAGTTTCTCTAAGAAGCTCTTTCCCAGTGGCCTGAAGGCCAGGTGGCCTCATGACTCTGTGGTCCTTCTCCTGTCATTTAAGGAAGTCTAGGACTTCCGAAGGAGTACTTTATTCATAGATCTTAACCTCTTATTCTGGGGCAGTGGTGCTTAATGTAGCAGATGTAGACAGATAATTTGAAGTAGCACTTGGAGTAAGGACAGCTTGGGCCTGAGAGACATAGACAGAGAGAACGAGATTAAAGAATGAGAGAGAGAATATGAAAATAAAAACACAGGCCAGGGTATGACTTAATGTTTCTAGAATTCCAATATTGGCTGGGTGCAATGGCTCATGCCTGTAATCCCAGCACTTTGTGAGGCCAAGGTGGGCAGATCACTTGAGCCCAGGAGTTTGAGATCAGCTGGGGCAAAACAGTGAGACTCTGTCTCCACAAAAAATACAAAAATTAACCTGGCATGGTAGTGCACACCTGTAGTCTTAGCTACTCAGTAGGCTGAGGTGAGAGGATCACCTGAGCCCAGGAAATCGAGGCTGCAGTGAGCCATGATTTCACCACTGCACTCCAGACTGGGCGACAGAGTGAGACCTTGTCTCAAAAACATAAAAATAAAATTTTAAAATACAGTTCCATAATTGAACATAGTCTTTCTCTTTTCCTGACCTTAAACTGCATTCAGCAATTGTTAGACTCACACACATTGCCTCTTCAAGAACAGAATGTTAATTTAAAATTTGTGTATGAAATGTTTCTCTTTTCATGTTAGGAATTTCCCTTATAGGTGGAGAGTAAGATCTTTAAACCTTCTATGGGTAATGTCAAACACAGAGACCTAACTGGGCTAGGAGGATTGCTCCTCCAAAATTGTTCAAATAGATAGATAGATAGATAGATAGATAGATAGATAGATAGATAGATGATAGATAGATAGATAGATAGATAGATAGATAGATAGATAGATAGATATACATATAGTTAGATATGGCAGGGAGGAGAGGGCATGATGCCTCGCAACTAAGTCCCAACCCCATGGAAAAAAGATAAAGAAACTGAAGTGTTTTCATAGAAACTGACGATTCACTTACTGAGATAATCAGAGAAACTCTGGAATGTGTGTGTGTCAGACCAGTCACCACATAATATATGATTAGCTCCAATTTAAACATGATCTGTTTTTATTTTAATCAGTACGGGTTGAGTATCCCTTATCTGAAATGCTTGGGACCAGAAGTGTTGGGATTTGGGATTTTTTGGATTTAGGAATATGTACATTTATTAGGTCCATGCAAAAGTAATGGCAAAAATGGTAATTTTGTTATTTTGTTTTTGCCATCAAAAGTAATGGCAAAAACCACAATTACTTTTGCACTGACCTAATACTTATACTTACTGGTTGAGCAGCCCTAATCCAAAAATCTGAAATCCAAAATGCTCCAATGACCATTTCCTTTGAGAATCATGTTGGCACTGAGAAAGTTTCAGATTCTGGAGTGTTTCAGATTTCACATTTTCAAATTAAGTTTGTTCAAACTGTATAAATTTAATTAGTCAATTGTTTCAATATTTTCAGAGAATGAGAGGACTCTTGGTTCAATTTTCTAGAGTGGATCAGATCTATGGAAGGAAAACTACACTGTTATGATGAATTTGGTTGTATGGTTAATAATTTGTATTTCAAGGCAATTTCTCTATGTAAGAATACACCAGGCTAGGCAGAGTGGCTCATGCCTGTAATCCCAGCACTTTGGGAGGCCAAGGCAGGAGGCCAGGGGTTTGAGACCACCCTGGGCAACATAGTAAGACCCCATCTCTGAAAAGAAAAACCCACTTTTTAAATTAGCCAGGCATGGTGGCATGGGTGTGTAGTCTCAGCTACTTCGGAGGCTAAGGTGGGATGATCATATGAGCCTAGGAAGTTAAGGCTGCAGTGACCTGTGTTTACACCACTGCACTCAACCTGGGTGACAGAGTGAGACCCCATCTCAATAAAAAGAAAAAACCCAACAATAAAATAATGCCCCAATTGTGAAGTAGAATTTTGTACTGTTGTTGCAAAAAAATAAAATATTCCTTATTGTATATGGTTAGCTTTGTCCGTTTTCTTTACGATTATGTAAAATTAGTAGATCCTCTATTCATAGATGTATTTAAAAGTAGCAGTCTTTTTAATTTACTAGTTGGGTTATTTTTTCCTTTTTTTCTTTTAGTTTTTATTTTTAGTTCTGGGGTACATGTGCAGGATGTGCAGGTTTGTTACATAGGAAAATGTGTGCCATGGTGGTTTGCTGCACCCATCAACCCATCACCTAGGCATTAAGCCCAGCATGCATGTTGTTGCAAAATGGCATTGCTTAGACAAACTGGTCAGTGTAACAGCAATAGAGAGAAAAATATCCAAATATGTATATAGAATACTTTAGTCCTTCCCATACATGGTACACGTAAATGTGAAAAATCAACAGGGCTATCTCCCCCAGCATATTAATTCCTAGAGTTTGATAAAAGTTTCAGAGGGTACCATAATTTTAAAGGTTTTTGGAAGAAGTACGGGTTTCCAGGTCTTATTTGCATATATATTAAGATTTAAGTTGTATTTGAGTTTGGAAGAAAGAGATAGTTCAGTATTCTAAATTACAACCATCTATTTTTCATCAGCCAGGATAAGGGGGCAATATAAATTAAACACAAATGTTCAGTTTTGAGTTGTGCCTAGATATATGACAGATAGATTTCCTTTACTAAATAAAAATGATTTTTATGTAATTGACTGACTCTAAAATTCATTTAGCAGACTTAAAGAACTTATATGAATTCTGGCTTCTGCATAAGATTGAAAAACTGGAAAGAGCACTACTCCCACACAAACAGAAAGAAAGAGCTAAAAATCGTAACTTTTCTTGAACTAATCAGAAAGCTTAGTTTTCAGAGATACTTGCTAGCCCGAAATCTAAGGAAAGAAAAGCACCTGTAAGAATTTTCAAAACAAGAATGATGACTCCCCCACCGCAGGGCAGAGCATGGGAGGACACACTGGATGAGTAGACTTCAGTCAACACTTTTAACAAGCTGATAAGGGCCTAGTGTGGCCTACCATGATGGTATAGAACTCTTGAGAGCCACAGACACAAGGAATATTGTGCCCTCTTGCAAGTTCTTCCAAATATACTTTCACTGAATGCTCCTGAGAAAGATGGGGGGAATTTGCAAAATTGCAGAATGATCAGTATCCAAAAAGTACACATCTGTATATCAGATCAGTTGCAATATAAAATTTCAGAAAAATATACGGTTTATAATAGCAAGACATGCAAGACTTTTTTGGATAAATTATAAAACTTTGTTGAGAGAATTTTAAACAGTCAAATTTGCAACATAAGGACAGCATGTCTTCCTTGAAGAACTTTGTCTTCCTTGAAAGCTACAATTGCCTTTCACCTATAAAATAGACATAATAGTTGGGAAAACGACTAGCAAAATTTTATTTAGATGACAGTAAAAGGTCCAAAGAACACTGCAGTTAAGGTTTTATAGAGTGAACTAAAAACAGAATTCTAAGGTCAACCCTTGGGTTTATATCTAGTTAAAGGTCTATACAGACTCTGAAGGTAGAATTTTAGGCATATTAACAATATTTTTATTAAATATACTACCCCTTCTAGTAGAAGGGGATTCAAACTGACTATTCAAGTAAAGAACAGATTAAATCAAAAGAAGTTATTTAAAGGTACTTTTAAGTCGAAAGCAAAAATCTTGTAACTTTTTTTTTTAAATCTTGTAACTCTTAATAACAACGCAACTAAAGCAAACAAATATCAAAACAAAGAGAAATATTTAAAGCTATCATTGAGATATTTTGTCTGGAAATGATATTCTCAACACAAGATAGCTAAAATGATGTCAGTCTCAGAACTGCTAGGTAAAGTGAATAAAAAGACCACCATTATATTTACTTTATCTTTTTTGTGGAAAAATACAAAAATGTAACTTTGGGCTAATTTAGCCGTTGTGTATTTGTTTTAATTAGAGTAGCCACTTGTCCTCTTTCTTGCCCATACTCCTGCGTTAATTATAAATAATGCCTCTTTATACACTTAAAGTTTTTTTCAGTTTGTAAAATAAATTATAGGAACACACTAGTTTTAAGTCATATAAATTTAGGAAACAAAACAAAGTAAAGAAAAAATAATACAATTAATTTCTCCTGGTCTGGGAGAAAGAGACAGAGAGAGAGATTGGGAAAAGTCAGTGTACATATATACAGATTATTATTGGCTTCTAAAAGATAATTGCTCTGGAGGGATAACTGACAAATTTTAAAAGCTCATCCATATTATTTGTGTTGTTTAGATATCTAGTTACTCTTGCAATATGTTAAAGAATTTATGTTTTCCTAGCACATTTCGTTCATATTTTAAAAATATTTAGATTTCAAAAATTTATTAACTTTTAATTATACAACATGTGTTAGCATCTTGTCCACATTCCTTATTGTATATGGTTGGCTTTATCCATTTTCTTTAAGATTATATAAAATTAGTGGATCCTCTATTCGTAGATGTATTTAAAAGTAGCAGTCTTTTTAATTTACTAGTTGGGTTATTTTTTTCATTTTTTTCTTTTAGTTTTTATTTTTAGTTCTGGGGTACACATGCAGGATGTGCAGGTTTGTTACATAGGAAAATGTGTGCCATGGTGGTTCACTGCACCCATCAACCCATCACCTAGGCATTAAGCCCAGCATGCATTAGCTATTTTTCCTAATATTCTCCCTTCCCCCAACACCAACCAACAGGCCCCAGTGTGTGTTGTTCCCCTCCCTGTGTCTATGTGTTCTCATTGTTCAACTCTCACTTATAAGTAAGAACATGCGGTGTTTGTTTGGTTTTCTGGTCCTGTGTTAGTTTGTTGAGGATAATGGCTTCCAGCTTCATCCATGTCCCTGCAAAGGACATGATCTCGTTCCTTTTTATGACTGCATAGTATTTCATAGTGTATATGTACCACATTTTCTTTATCTAGACTATTGTTCATGGGCATTTGGGTTGATTCCATGTCTTTGCTATTTTGAGTAGTGCTGCAATAAACATATGCGTGCATCTATCTTTGTAATAGAATGATTTATGTTTCTTTGGGTATGTACCCAGTAATGGGATTGCTAGGTCAAACGGTATTTCTGGTTCTAGATCTTTGAGGAATTGCCACACCTTCTTCCACAATGGTTGAACTACTTTACACTCCCACCAACAGCGTAAAAGCATTCCTATTTCTCTGCAACCTCACCAGCATCTGTTGTTTTTTCACTTTTAATAATCGCCATTATGAGTGGCATGAGATGGTAACTCATTGTGGCTCTGATTTGCATTTCTCTAATGATCAGTGATGTTGAGCTTTTTTCCATATTTCTGTTGGCTACATGAATGTCTTCTTTTGAAAAGTGTCTGTTCATGTCCTTTGCCCACTTTTTAATGTTTTTTTTTCTTGTAAATTTGTTCCTTGTAGATTCTGGATATTAGACCTTTGTCAGATGGATATATTGCAAAAGTTTTCTCACACTCTGTAGGTTGCCTGTTTGCTCTGATGATAGTTTCTTTTGCTGCACAGAAGCTCTTTAGTTTAATTAGGTCCCACTTGAAAATTTTTGCTTTTGTTGCAATTGCTTTTGGAGATTTTATCATGAAATATTTGCCCATGCCTATGTCCTGAATTGTATTGCCGAGATTTTCTTCTAGGGTTTTTACAGTTTTTAATTTTACATTTAAGTCTTTAATCCATCTTGAGTTAATTTTTGCATAAGGTGCGAGGAAGCGGTCCAGGTTCCATTTTCTGCATATGGATAGCCTGTTCTTTCAGGACCACTTATTAACCAGGGAATCCTCTCCCCCATTGCTTGTTTTTGTCAGGTTTGTCAAAGATCAGATGGTTGTAGAAGTGCAGTCTTATTTCTGAGTTCTCCACTCTGTTTCATTGGTCTATGTGTCTGTTTTTGTATCAGTACCATGCTGTTTTGGTGATTGTAGCCTTACAGTATAGCTTGAAGCCTGGCAGTGTGATGTCTCCAGCTTTGTTTTTTCACTTAGGATTGTCTTAGCTATACAAGCCCTTTTTTGGTTCCATATGAATTTTAAAATAGTTTTTTCTGATTCTGTGAAGATTGTCAATGGTAGTTTAATGGGAATAGCATTAAATCTGTAAATTACTTTGGGCAACGTGGTCATTTTCACAATATTGATTCTCCTATCCATGAGCATGGAATATTTTTCCATTTGTTTGTGTCCTCTCTGGTTTCCTTGGGCAGTGGATCGTAGTTCTCCTTGAAGAAGTTCTTCACTTCCCTTGTTAGTTGTATTCCTAGGTATTTTATTCTTTTTGTAGCAATTGTGAATGGGAGTTCATTCATTATTTGGCTCTCTGCTTGTCTGTTTTTGGTGTATCAGAATGTTTGTGACTTCTGCACACTGATTTTGTATCCTGAGACTTTGCTGAAGTTGCTTATCAGCTGAAGAAGCTTTTGGGCTGAGACAATGGGGTTTTCCAGATATAGGATTATGTCATCTGCAAACGAAGACAATTTTATTCCCTCTCTTTCTATTTGAATACTCTTTATTTCATTCTCTTGACTGATTGCCCTGGCCAGAACTTCCAATACTATGCTCTATAAGGGTGGTGAATGTGTGTAAAAATACTACAAAGGATAAAAAGGAAAGTGAAAAAGTAAAAAAAAAAAAAAAGGGTGGTGAGAGAAGGCATCCTTGTCTTGTGCTGGTTTTCAAGGGGAATGCTTCCAGCTTTTGCCCATTCAGTATGATATTGGCTGTGGGTTTGTCATAAGTAGCTCTTATTATTTTGAGGTGTGTTCCTTCAATGTCTAGTTTGTTGAGAGTTTTTAACATGAAGGGATGTTGAATTTTATCAAACGTTTTTTCTGTGTCTATTGAAATAATCCTGTGGGTTTTCTCTTTAGATCAGTTTATGTGATGAATTATGTTTATTAATTTGCATATGTTGAACCAGCCATGTATCCCAGGAATGAAGCCAACTTGATCATGGTGGACAGGCTTTTTTACGTGCTGCTGGATTTGGATTGCCAGTATTTTATTGAAAATTTTTGCATCAACATTCGTTAGGGATACTGGCTTAGTTTTTTGGTTGTTGTTGTATCTCTGCCAGGTTTTGGTATCAAGATAATGCTGGCTTCATAGAATGAGTTAGGAATAAGTTCCTCCTTTTCAATTGCTTTGAATAGTTTCAGAAGAAAGGGTATCAGCTCCTTATTGTACTTCTGATAGAATTCAGCTGTAAATCCACCTTGTCCTGGGCTTATTTATTTATTTATTTATTTATTTATTTATTTTTGGCTGATAGGCTGTTTATTACTGCCTCAGTTTCAGAACCTGAATTGGTCTATTCAGGGATTCAACTTCTTCCTGGTTTAGTCTTGGAAGGGTGTGTGTGTCAAGGAATTTATCCATTTCTTCTAGATTTTCTAGTTTATGTACATAGAGGTGTTTACAGTATTCTCTGATGGTTGTTTGTATTTCTGTGTTGTCAGTGGTGATATTCCCTTTATTATTTTTTATTGTGTCTATTTGATTCTTCTCTCTTTTCTTCTTTATTACTCTAGCTAGTGGTCTATTATTTTTTTTCAAAAAAAAAAAAAAAAAACACCAGCTCCTGGATTCATGTATTTTTTAAGGGTTTTTCTTGTCTCTATATCCTTCAGTTTCACTCTAATCTTGGTTATTTCTTGTCTTCTGCTACCTGTGGGGTTTGTTTGCTCTTGGTCCTCTTGTTCTTTTAGTTGTGATGCTAGGGTGTCGATTGAGATCTTTCTAGCTTTTTGATGTGCGCATTTAGTGCGATAAATTTCCCTCTTAACAGTGCTTTAGGTACCTCCCAAATATTCTGGTACATTGTCTCTTTGTTCTCATTGGTTTCAAAGAACTTCTTGATTTCTGCCTTAATTTCATTATTTACCCAGGAGTCATTCAGGAGCAGGTTGTTGAATTTCCACGTAGTTGTGTAGTTTACAGTGAGTTTCTTAATCTTGGGTTCTAATTTGATTGTGCTGTGGTCTGAGAGACTGTTTGTTGTAATTTCAGTTCTTTTGCATTTTCTGAAGAGTGATTTACTTTTAATTACATGATCAATTTTAGAGTAAGTGCCATGTGGCACCAAGGAGAATGTGTATTCTCCTTGTTGTTTTGGGGTGGAGAGTTCTGTAGATATCAATCAGGTCCACTTGATCCAGAGCTCAGTTCGAGTCCTGAATATCTTTGTTAACTTTCTGTAACATTGATCTGTCTAATATTGACAGTGGGGTGTTAAATCTCCCACTATTATTGTGTGGGAGTGTAAATCTCTCTGTAGGTCTCTAAGAGTTTGTTTTATGAATCTGTGCTCCTATATTGGGTGCATATATATTTAGGACAGTTAGCTCTTCCTGTTGAATTGACCCCTTTACCATTATGTAATGCCCTTGTTATTTTTTATCTTTGTGGGTTTAAAGTCTGTTTTGTCAGAAACTAGAATTGCAACTTTGCTTTTTTCTGTTTTCCATTTGCTTGGTAAATTTTCCTCCATCCTTTTCTTTTGAGTCTATGTGTGGTTTTGCATTTGAGATGGGTCTCTTGAATAGAGCACACCAATGGATCTTGACTTTTTATCCAGCTTGCCACTCTGTATCTTTTAGTTAGGGCATTTGGTTCATTTACATTTAAGTTTAATATTGTTATGTGTGAATTTGATCCTAACATCATGATGTTAGTTGGTTATTTTGCAGACTTGTTTATGTAGTTGTTTCATAACGTCACTGGTTTGTGTACTTCAGTGTGTTTTTGTAGTGGCTGGTAATGGTTTTTCCTGTCCATATTTAGTGCTTCCTTCAGGAGTTCTTGCAAGGCAGGCCTGGTGGTGATGAATTCCCTCAGCATTTGCTTGTCTAAACAAGATTGTGTTTCTCCTTCACTTATGAAGCTTAATTTGGCCAGATATGAAATCCTAGGTTGGAAATTATTTTCTTTATGAATGTCGGATATTGGCCCCCAATCTCTTCTGGCTTATAGGGTTTCTGCTGAGAGGTCTGCTGTTAGTCTGATGGGCTTCCCTTTATAGATTACCTGGCCCTTCTATCTGGCTACTTTTAACATTTTTTCCTTCATTTTGATCTTGGAGAATATGACGATTATGTATCTTGGGGTTGATCTTCTCATGGAGTATTTTACTGGGGTTCTCTGGACTTCCTGAATTTGAATGTCTTGCTAGGTTGGGGAAGTTCTCTTGGATGGTATCCTGAAGTGTGTTTTCCAACTTGGTTCTATTCTCCCCATCTCTTTTAGGTACTCCTGTCGTTGTAGGTTTGGTCTTTTAACATAATCCCACAGTTCTCGGAGGTTTTGTTCATTCCTTTTCATTCTTTATTCTCTAATCTTGTCTGCCTGCCTTATTTCAGCAAGATAGTCTTCAAGCTCTGATATCCTTTCTTCTGCTTGGTTTATTCAGCTATTGATACTTTTGTTTGATTTGTGAAGTTCTCACATTGTGTTTTTCAGCTCCATCAGATTATGTTCCTCTCTAAACTGGTTATTCTGGTTAACAGCTCCTGTAATGTTTTGTCATGGTTTTTAGTTTCTTTGCAGTGAGTTAGAACATAAAACTTTAACTCAGTGAAGTTCATTATAATCCATCTTCTGGAGCCTTTTTCTGCCAATTCATCCATCTCAGCCTCAGCCCAGTTCTATGCCCTTGCTAGAGACGTGTTGTGATCATTTGGAGGTGAAAAGGCACTCTGGATTTTTTGGTTTTCAGCATTTTTGCAATGATTCTTTCTCATCTTCTTGGGTTTATCTACCTTTGATCTTTGAGGCTGCTGACTTTTGGGTGGGGTTTTCCTGGGCTCTCTTTCATTGATGTTGTTGTTGCTATTTCATCTGCTTTTAGCAGTCAGGCCCCTCTTCTGTAGGGCTGCTGTGGTTTGCTTGGGGTGCACTCCAGACCCTATTCACCTGGGCCCCTCCCACCCCTGGAGATATCACCAGTGGAGGCTGCAGACCAGCCAAGATGGCAGCCTGCTCCTTCCTGGGGGAGCTCTGTCCCAGAGGGGCACTTACCTGATGCTGCCTGGAATGCTCCTGTATGAGGTGTCTGAAGACTCCTGTTTGTAGGTCTCAGTCAGGAGGAGCAGGATCAGGGACCCATTTAAATAAGCAGTCTGTCTGCCCCTTGGTGGGGCACATGTGCTGCACTGGGTGGAATCCAGGCTGCCCTGACTCTCCAGAGCCAGCAGGCAGAAAAGACTGAGATTACTGATCCACGATATTGCAGCCACCCCTTCCTCCTAGGGGGTCCTCTCAGGGTTATCAGAGTTCTGTCCATAAACCCCTGGCTGTGGATGCTAAGATTCCCACAGGGAGACCCTGCCCAATGAGGAGGAGTGGATCAGGGTCCTGCTTAAAGAAGCGGTCTGGCCACGAACTGGTCCAGCAGCTGTGCTGCACTGTGGGGAACTGCCCTGGGTCCAGACCACACATCTCAGTGGCATGGGTAACCGGGGAAAGCGGCCTACTGGAGCTGCAGTGATTGTGTTGCCTCTCCCCACCCAATCCCCGGAAATTCGGTCCTCTTAGGCAGTCTCTAGAGGGCTGGGCTGGCTGGGGAAGATTCCAAGCCAGTGGGTTTTAGTTTGTGGTGTTCCATTGGAGTGAGGCTGCTTGGCTCCCTGGCTTCAGCTCCCTTTCCACAGGAGTGGAGGAATCTCCTACCTTGCGGACGTTCCCAGAGCTGGAGTATGCAAATAGTCCTGTGTTTCAGTGCCTTCTCACTCAGCCACTTGCCTGAGAAGCCACCAAGGATCTCCCCAGCTTTGTGTTTGGGACCCGAGGCTCTAGTAGCATGGGCTCAGTGGGGGACCTCTTGATCTACGGGTTGGGTAGCAAGGATTGGGAAAAGCTGTGGTTTTCAGGGAGAGGAGACACAATCCCTCACTGTCTCCTTTGCCCTGTGCAGCTGCTGGGTGGGCCATCACTCCACCCTGCTTTCCTCACTCTCTCTGGGTTGTGCCAACCACCTAGTCAGTCCCAAAGAGAACCCTGGTACCTCAATTGAAGATGCAGAGTTCACTCACGGTTTTCATCCTTCTTAGTGGAAAGTGCAGAGAGGAGCTGTTTCTATTCAGCCATCTTGGCTGCTCCTCCCTTTCTCTGGCACTATTTTTTCTTTTACTAATGATTCATACCTGTTTTTTCATTGAGTACCTCACTCCTTTTCCCTTAGGTTTATTTTGTTACTCTTTTCTTCTTATTTTTGTGTTGGGTGCTCATGCAATTTATTATATTTTTAATAACAATGATTGAAAGCTATGATCTTTCTATGAATACATTTAGCCATGTTTAATAGGTTCCTAAGAGTAGTTTAAAAACAATTTTTTAATCTAAATATTCTGATGGAATGGGTAAGGAATGCAGAATGAAAAAATGTAGAGTGCATTAGAAGACTAACCCAAGGTAATTTCCTCCCTAAACATCAAGAGCTTCTTTTAAATTCAGAAGCTTGTGTAATTAATGGTGAGAAATTTGGAAAACACATATGTAAAACACTAAATTACTCAATAAGTACTGCTGTTATGGTATTTGAACTTGAACTCTATAGTGTCCACAGTCGTCTTAGAAGACTGACAGGAGCAAGAAGCATGCTTAGCATGGGCATCCTACTTGCACCCATCCAGAGTATCAGTGACCTATATGCACTCTCCCTACTTCACCAACTACAGTAACTAGAAACTAGATAGCCTGTCACCATTTTATCATTAAATCATTTGCAGTTACATTTGGAGAAGGATTTAAAATGTAATTATTCTTTAAAAGTCAGAAGAATTAAATTGGACTCAGGCCAGAGTCTGATGAAGTATGATAAACAAAATCACACAAAGCAGATTATATTTTATGAATTCTAACCAACAGAACCAGAATACACTGAAAATCATTTTAAAATATCTGACTTGAACTCACTGTTTTCTTCAATTTTGTTTCTTTATTTTTAATTGACAATAATGGTGTATATTTATGGAGTCCAATGTGATATTTGTACATATTATAAAAAGATCCTATCAGGCTAGTTAACACATCTCTTACCTCACGACTTTAGCACTTTTTTGTGGTGAGAATGTTAAAAAAATTGATTCTTTTAGCAATTTTGAAATATACAGTAAATTATTAACTGAATTTAGAGTTTTTATAACAGCAAAGATAAGTTTAGAACTTAAGGGATTGACCCAGAGTCACAAAACTTATGTTAGAGCTGGTAGTACAACCAACCTCAGTACACAGCATATTTCATACACACTGATTTGCATTATAAATGTATTATTTATTTGTAACAATCAGAGCATTATGATAGTATCTTGAAGGTTAAAGGACACTGAAAAGTAAGTAAACACCTTCACGTTTTATAATACAATATTGCTTTGACCCAATGTTTTTCTCTCATAGTTTATAAGTCAAGTATATATGGGATCTGAACTACTTTTCAAAGAATCTTTATGTGTAAACTCTACTACTAAAATAGCAGCATTGTTACCTCTATATGTCTTATGAAACCTTATTTTAAATGACAATGTCAGAGCCATGCTAAACCTACATTTCCTGTATTTCCCCATAGTGTATTAAGAGCAATAAACATCAGCTGTCAAAGAAATCTGAAATCTACACCATGAACAGGATTTCAATTACATTTAAAAGGTAATTTTCTAAAGGATCAGCCAAATGGATTTGAGGGCCCATGGCAAATCTTATAGTCATGACCTCCACCCACTATTGGAGTAACCTGAAACATACTTTGTTAAAATTATCCAAAAGTCCTATGTGTAACTTTCCATAAATGAATCCCAAGCAGAACAAAGAATCAAAAATGACAGAAAAATTATTTGTGAGTTCAGAAAAATTCCTGTCTTCTACTGAGAATAAGGGAAGAGGGGTGAAGACAAATGAATGGGCATTGTTTGAGTCATATTCTGGAAATCTGTTCATAATGAACCACTAAAATAATCCACAGCCTAAATTATGGAAATATTTTGCTTAAAAATACTCTATCTGGAAAAGATGATTCTTTTTCCTGTTAATCTTAGGAACTCAGTCTTTTGAGTTTCCTCACCATAAGATGACTTAACCACCTTTAAAAGTGACTTAAATAATTATAGTAAACCATGTACAAGTATGTCAGTACCCTGAATTATCCAGCTCTTACCAAGCTTACCACACAAAAAATGTAAATCAAAGAAAACAATGGCCATCATTCATTGAGCTCCTTTCCAGAGTCTGCCCCGTTCCTTTCAACTAGATCTATGCCTGTGCCAGCACTGAGCTATCTTACAGTATAGAAATTTGGGTATTAAGCATTTTAAGCAAAATCATTCATTTTTTCTTAAAGCAACATAGATTTTAGGAAGAACACAACCTCTGGAATGAAACATGAATTCTGTAGCTATCATTTGCATCCTCTTTGGTGAGACACGATGACCTAGCCTCAGTTTTCTCATTTACAAAGTAGCTTAACATTCCTACACAACGGGGCTTTAATCAGAGTGTTTCAAGGTATGTTCTTTACATTTTGGCACTTTACATTTGGCACTTTACATTTTGACTTGGCACTCTACACGTGCTATTAAAAGTTGCTTACACTTTTAATGCAATGATTTAAAAATCCAGCAACAATGTTCTAATATCAAATTTAACTAGTGAAATGATGTACAATTTTATGACTAAAATTAAGTAGTTTTCTTAGATTCACTAGAGATTAGCTCTGAAAAGTACTGTATTTTCCAAGCACACCAAGTAAGTCTTGACGAGAAAGGGAAAATTCATGACGAGGGACTGCACATGGTTGCAAGCCCACTTCACTTTCAAGCCAATTTTTAGGGAATGTTTGATATCCTTCTCTAATGCTCTCTCTTCTGTTCCTGATCTGTCATAATGCATGATGCACACATAAACCTCCATCCATAGGCATTCTTCTTCCCCTTCTTTTCACTTTGAACCACAGATATTTCTTCATCTCCTTTCTCTTGAACGGAAGAAATATTCCAACTTTTAGGTGGTGGTGTCTCTTGTTGAGGTTGTTCATCACCGGGCTGCTGGACCTAGGAATATGTGTGCGCAAATTCAAAGTTTTGTTATTAATACATGCCAATAGAGATGACATCAACAAGATGGTGGAGTAGAAAGTTTCAAGCTCCAACCCCAGCCCACAGAAAGTTCGACTAGCAACTATTCACAGACAAGAACACCTTTTTGAAAACCCCAATAATTGGAATCAAGCCCAAGACAACTGTGTGATCCTCAGAACTGAATGAAAACCAATTTAAAGGGGTAAGAAGAATGGTCTCACTTCAACTGCACCACCCTTCCACCTCCCCTAAGTTGGCACAGTTCCATATGGAGAGGATTTCTCTGAGTGCATGGTTGCTACAAGGGGAAAAGAGAACCAGAGGCAGTCATCCAGCTTTCCTAGCATTCTTAGATGCTCCTCAAAAAGCCTACTCTAGTCTCACCTCATGGGAAACACCAAATGTAATGGGCCCAGGTGGCCAGGGTCAGATAGAAACAAAGAAAGGAGGCAGAGATCATGGTGACCAGCACATGGATCTTCGTGGTACCTCTGTTTTCCTGCTACCTGTTGCACATGATTGGAGACATCAGCCAACTTTATAGCCACCTACAAAGCTGAGTTGGTCACTTTCAGAAGCACAGGGGAAGGCCAACACAGCTTAAATCCTTAGATGGCTAGTTTCCATGCTTGGCCTCAGAGCCCATTCCAATGACTCACCCAAGCAAGGAGATGCCCACCTCTGGCCATCTTGGAGATGTGTGTAGACTAGATCTGCTTGACTCACAAGTCTTCACTCAGCCAAAACATCCGCCCAAGCAGAAAGACCCCTACCTCTGCACATTTCAGAGAAGTGTAGGGGCTATACCTACTCGATCTAGAAGGTCAAAGAGCTTTTCAATTCAGCCAAAACCCCACCCCACAGCTCTTCCAGGACAGGGAGGTAATCCTACATCATGCATTTCATAGAACCGTATCTTCTGGTCCCACCCATCCTGAGCAGCAATTCTGCCTCACCTCAGAGCCCAGCTTGCAGTCTTGCCCAGCTACTCATCTCAAAGAGCAGAACTGCCCAGCCAGGGAATGCATCCTGTGACCAACCTGACCAGAAGCCATTGCAGTACCTAGCCATCAGCTCCGACTGACAACAGTCTCACCAGTGGTGTCACCAGACAGCAGAACCTAGACAGCAGCCCCACCCAACATCAGAGCAAAGACAGTGCAGCAATCCAGCCAACTAGGGAACTCACAACAAGCTCTGCCTACCCATCAACAGCTAGACTTTCCAGAATCACAGGCTAAAGACTTCAATATCCCACTTTCAACAATGGACAGATTATCCAGACAGAAAATTAATCAGGAAACATGGGACACGAACAACACTTTAGAACAAATGGGCCCAACATATATATATACAGACCATTCCATCCAATAAAAGAATACACATTATTCTCAACTGCACTTGGAACATTCTCCAGGATTGATCACATTAGGACACAAAACAAGCCTTAGCAAATTTTAGATGACTAAAATCATATCAAGTGTCTTTTCCGACCACAATGGTATGAAACTACAAATGAATAAAAGTAGGAATTCCAGAAAACTTACATACATGGAAATTAAACAACATGCTCTTGAACAACCAGTGGATCCACAAAGAAAGTAAAAGGGAAATTTAAAAAAATATTTGGGAAAAACAAAAATAAAAATGCAACATACCACCCATGTTTATAAAGTACAACAAAAGCAGTTCTAAGAGGAAAGTAATAAATGCCTACATCAAAAAGAAGAAAGCTCTCAAAAATAATTTCACATTACTTTTCAAAAGAAAGGACAAATTAAGCCCAAAGTTAGCAGAAAGAAACATATAGCAAAGGTCAGAGCAGAAATAAACAAAATACAAACTAAAAAGGAATAAAAAAAATCAATGAACTAAGTGTTGGGTTTTTGAAAAGATAAACAAAGCCAACAAAACTTTAGATAAACTACCAAAGAAAAAAAGTGAGAAAATTCAAATGAATCAGAAATAAAAGAGACATTGCAGCTGATAAGAAATGAATAAATTCCTAGACACATGCAACTTACAATGACTGAATCATGAAGAAATAGAAAATCTGAACAACACAATAATAAGATTAATCAGTCATAAAAATTTCTCCCGTCAAAGAAAAGCACAGGAACTGATGGCTTCACTGCTGAATTCTATCAAACATTTGAATAATGAATACCAATATTTCTCAAACTCTTCCAAGAAATAAAAGGAGGAAATATTTTCAAACTGTTTTTATGAGGCCAGCACTATTCTGATACCAAAGCTAGACAAGGATATTACAATAAAAGTAATTAATTAACATAGATGCAAAAATCCTCAACAAAATAGTAGCAAACCAAATTCTACAACACATTAAAAGATCATCCACTGTGATCAAATGAGACTTATCCCTGGGCTTGAAGGATGGTTCAACATATGCAAATCAATAAATGTGATACTTCACATCACATAACAGAATGAAGGATAAAAACTGTATAATGACCTAATGAGATGCAGAAAATAATTTGACAAATTCAACATTTTTTCATGATAAGAACTCTCATGGAATTATGTTTCGAAGGAATGTACATCAGCACAAGAAAGGCCATAGAGAAAAGGTCTATGGCAAACATTATACTCCATGGTGAAAAATCTTTCTTCTAAGATCTGGAAGAAGATAAGGATGCCTACTCTAGCCACTTCTATTCAGCATAGTAGTGGAAGGCCTCGACAGGGTAAATTACATAGGAGAAAGACATAGAAGGCATTCAAATTGAAAAGGGAGAAGATAAATTGCCACCATTTGCAAATGACATAATCTTATATATGGTAAGCCTTAAAGATGCCACCAAAATCTGTTAGAAGTAATAAATGAATACACTGTAAAGTTGTAGGATACAAAGTCAACATGCAAAAATCAGTAGCATTTCTATACACTAACCATTAACTATCTGAAAAAGAAAATGGGAACAATCCTGTTTACAATAGCAACAACAACAAAGAATACTCAGGAGTAAATTTAATCAATGAGGTGATAGACCTGTACGATGAAAACTATAAAAACACTGAAGAAAAAAATCGAAGAAGACACAAAACATGGAAAGATATCCCATATTTCATGGATTACAAGAATTAATATTGTTAAAATATGTATACTACCCAAGGTGACCCACAGAGTCAATGCAGTCCCTACCAAAATTTCAATGTTTTTATTCAGGGAAATAGAAAAAAAATCCTAAAATTCACAGGAAACCACTAAAAATACTAAATGGCCAAGGCAATCATGAGCAAAAAGAACAAAGCTGGAGGCATCATTGTACCTGATTTCAAACTATATTACAAAGCTATAATAAATAAAATAGTATTGCACTGGCAAAAAACAGACACATTGACCAGCAGAGCAGAATAGAGAGCCCAGAACTGAACTCACACATGTACAGTCAATTGATTTTTTTTAACAAAGTTGCCAAAAATACACAATAAGGAAAGGATAGTTTCTTCAATAAATGGTGTGAAAACTGGATATCCACGTGAAGATAATTGTGAAACTGGACCCTTATTTCACACTAGATACAAAAGTCAACTCAGAGTGGATTAAAAACATAAGACCTGAAACTGCAAAATTACTAGAAGAAAACATAGTGGAAAAACTACAAAACATGGTCTAGGCAATGATTTTTTGCATTTGACTGCAAAAGCATAGGCAACAAAAGTAAAAAGAGATAAATGAGATTACATAAAATTAAAAAGCTTCTGCACAGCAAAGGAAACAAGAGTATAAAGAAACAACCTAATGATTAAGAGAAAATATTTGGAAACCATACATACAATAAGGGGTTAATATCCAAAATATATCAGTAATTCCAACAATTCAACATCAAGAAAAAATCTAAAAAATGGACAAGAAACTTGAATAGACATTTTTCTTTTTTTTTTTTTTTTTTTTTTGAGACAGAGTCTTGCTCTGTCGCCCAGGCTGGAGTGCAGTGGCGCTATCTCGGCTCACTGCAAGCTCCGCTTCCTGGGTTCACGCCATTCTCCTGCCATAGCCTCCCAAGTAGCCAGGACTACAGGCGCCTGCCACCATACCCGGCTAATTTTTTGTATTTTTAGTAGAGACAGGGTTTCACTCTGTTGGCCAGGATGGTCTTGATCTCCTGATGTCGTGATCTGCTGGCCTTGGCCTCGCAAAGTGCTAGGATTACAGGCGTGAGCCACTGTGCCTGGCCGAATAGACATTTTTCAAAAGAAGACATACAAATGATCAACAGATATATATTAAAAATGCTTGATATCACTCATCGTTAGTAAAATGCAAATTAAAAACACAATGAGATATTATCTCACACGTGTCAGGATGGCTATTATCAAAAAGATGACAAGTGCTGGCAACGATGTGGTGAAATGGGAACACTTGTACATTGCTGGCAAGAATATAAATCAGTACAGTCATTATGGAAAACAGTAAGGAAGTTCCTCAACAAACTAAAAGTTGATAAACCATATGATCCAGCCATCCCCCTTCTTGATATTTGCCAAAAAAATATTGAAATCAGTTTGTTGAAGAGATGTCCGCACAGCACTATTCACCATAGACAAGTTACGGAATCAACCTAAGTGTCCATGAACAGATAAATGGATAAATAAAATATGGCATATATACCCAGTGGAATATTATTCAGCCTTAAAAAAGAAGAAACTTCTGTCATTTGCAACAACATGGATAGAACTGGAGAACATTACACTAAGTGTAATATGTCAGGCATAGAAAGACAAATACTGCATGATCTCATTTATATGTAGAATCTAAAACAATGAAACTCATATAAGCAGAGAGTAGAATGGTGGTTACAGAGTCTGCAAGGGTTGGGGGAATGAAGAGATGATGGTCAAAGAGTACAAAATATCAGATAGATTGAAAGATAAGTTTTTTGAGATCTATTGCACAGCATGGTAAATATAGTAAATAAACTTGGATTGTACATTTCTTTTCTTATTATGCATTAAGTTTTATGGTACATGTGCACAACATGCAGGTTAGTTACATATGTATACATATGCCATGTTGGTGTGCTGCACCCATTAACTCGTCATTTAACATAAGGTATATCTCCTAATGCTACCCCTACCCCCTCCCCCCACCCCACAACAGGCCCGAGTGTGTGATGTTCCCCTTCCTGTGTCCATGTGTTCTCATTGTTCAATTCCCACCTATGAGTGAGCACATGCAGTGTTTGGTTTTTTGTCCTTGCAATAGTTTGCTGAGAATGATGGTTTCTAGCATCATCCATGTCCCTACAAAGGACATGAATTCATCAGTTTTTATGGCTGCATAGTATTTCATGGTGTATATGTGCCACATCTTCTTAATCCAGTCTATCATTATTGGACATTTGGGTTGGTTCCAAGTCTTTGCTATTGTGAATAGTGCTGCAATAAACATACGTGTGCATGTGTCTTTATAGCAGCAAGATTTATAGTTCTTTGGGTATATACCCAGTAATGGGATGGCTGGGTCAAATGGTATTTCTAGTTCAAGATCCCTGAGGAATCGCCACACTGACTTCCACAATGGTTAACTAGTTTCCAGTCCCACCAACAGTGTAAAAGTGTTCCTATTTCTCCACATCCTTTCCAGCATCTGTTGTTTCCTGACTTTTTAATGATTGCCATTCTAACTGGTGTGAGATGATATCTCACTGTGGTTTTGATTGGCATTTCTCTGATGGTCAGTGAGGATGAGCATTTTTTCGTGTGTTTCTTGGCTGCATAAATGTCTTCTTTTGAGAAGTGTCTGTTCATATCCTTTGCCCACTTTTTGATGGGGTTGTTTGTTTTTTTCTTGTAAATTTTTTGGAGTTCATTGTAGATTCTGGATATTAGCCTTTTGTCAGATGAGTAGATTGCAAAAATTTTCTCCCATTCTGTAGGTTGCCTGTTCACTCTGATGGTAGTTTCTTTTGCTGTGCAGAAGCTCTTGAGTTTAATTAGATCCCATTTGTCAATCTTGGCCTTTGTTGTCATTGCTTTTGGTGTTTTAGACATGAAGTCCTTGCCCATGCCTATGTCCTGAATGATATTGCCTAGGTTTTCTTCTACAGTTTTTATGGTTTTAGGTCTAACATTTAAGTCTTTCATCCATCTTGAATTAATTTTTGTATAAGGTGTAAGGAAGGGATTCAGTTTCAGCTGTCTACATATTGCTAGCCAGTTTTCCCAGCACCATTTATTAAATAGGGAATCCTTTCCCCATTGCTTGTTTTTGTCAGGTTTGTCAAAGATCAGATGGTTGTAGATATGTGGCATTATTTGAGGGTTCCGTTCTGTTCCGTTGGTCTGTATCTCTGTTTTGGTACCAGTACCATGCTGTTTTGGTTACTGTAGCCTTGTGTATAGTTTGAAGTCAGGTAGCATGATGCCTCCAGCTTTGTTCTTTTGGCTTAGGATTGAATTGGCAATGCGGGCTCTTTTTTGGTTCCACGTGAACTTTAAAGTAGTTTTTTCCAATTCTGTGAAGAAAGTCATTGGTAGCTTGATGGGGATGGCATTGAATCTATAAATTACGTTGGGCAGTATGGCCATTTTCATGATATTGATTCTTCCTATCCATGAGCATGGAATGTTCTTCCATTTGTTTGTATCCTCTTTTATTTCCTTGAGCAGTGGTTTGTACTTCTCCTTGAAGAGGTCCTTCACATCCCTTGTAAGTTGGATTCCTAGGTATTTTATTCTCTTTGAAGCAATTGTGAATGGGAGTTCACTCATGATTTGGCTCTCTGTTTCTCTGTTATTGGTGTATAAGAATGCTTGTGATTTTTGCACATTGATTGTGTATCCTGAGACTTTGCTGAAGTTGCCTATCAGCTTAAGGACATTTTGGGCTGAGACGATGGGGTTTTCTAGATATACAATCATGTCATCTGCAAACAGGGACAATTTGACTTCCTCTTTTCCTAATTGAATGCCCTTTATTTCCTTCTCCTGCCTGATTGCCCTGGCCAGAACTTCCAACACTATGTTGAATAAGAGTGGTGAGAGAGGGCATCCCTGTCTTGTGCCAGTTTTCAAAGGGAATGCTTCCAGTTTTTGCCTATTCGATATGATATTGGCTGTGGGTTTGCCATAGATAGCTCTTATTATTTTGAGATAAGTCCCATCAATACCTAATTTATTGAGAGTTTTTAGCATGAAGGGCTGTTGAATTTTGTCAAAGGCCTTTTCTGCATCTATTGAGATAATCGTGTGGTTTTTGTCATTGGTTCTGTTTATATGCTGGATTACATTTATTGATTTGTGTATGTTGAACCAGACTTGCATCCCAGGGATGAAGTCCACTTGATCATGGTGGATAAGCTTTTTGATGTGCTGCTGGATTAGGTTTGCCAGTATTTTATTGAGGATTTTTACACCAATGTTTGTCAGGGATATTGGTCTAAAATTCTCTTTTTTTGTTGTGTCTCTGCCAGGCTTTGATATCAGGATGATGCTGGCCTCCTAAAATGAGTTAAGAAGGATTCCCTCTTTTTCTATTGATTGGAATAGTTTCAGAAGGAATGGTACCAGTTCCTCCTTGTACCTCTGGTAGATTTCGGCTGTGAATCCTTCTGGTCCTGGACTTTTTTTGGTTGCTAGACTATTAATTATTGCCTCAATTTCAGAGCTGTTATTGGTCTATTCAGTGATTCAACGTCTTCCTGCTTTAGTTTTGGGAGGGTGTATGTGTCGAGGAATTTATCCATTTCTTCTAGATTTTCTAGTTTATTTGCGTAGAGGTGTTTATAGCATTCTTTAATGGTAGTTTGTATTTCTGTGGGATCGGTGGTGATATCCCCTTTACCATTTTTTATTGCATCTATTTGATTCTTCTCTCTTTCCTATTAGTCTTGCTAGCAGTCTATCAATTTTGTTGATCTTTTCAAAAAACCAGCTCCTGGATTCACTGATTTTTTGAAGGGTTTTTTGTGTCTCTATTTCCTTCAGTTCTGCTCTGATCTTAGTTATTTCTTGCCTTCTGCTAGACCAAATGTAGATTTGGTCTTTTCACATAGTCCCATATTTATTGGAGGCTTTTTTCGTTTCTTTTTACTCTTTTTTCTCTAACCTTGTCTTCTCGCTTTATTTCATTAATTTTATCTTCAATCACTGATACCCTTTCTTCCACTTAATTGAATCGGCTATTGAAGCTTGTGCATGTGTCACGAAGTTCTCATACTGTGGTTTTCAGCTCCATCAGGTCATTTAAGGTCTTCTCTACACCATTTATTCTCTATAGCCATTTGTCTAATCTTTTTTCAAGGATTTTAGCTTCCTTGCAATGGGTTAGAGCATGCTCCTTTAGCTTGGAGAAGTTTGTTATTACCGACCTTCTAAAGCATACTTCTGTCAACTCATCAAAGTCATTCTCCATCCAGCTTTGTGCCGTTGCTGGCAAGGAGCTGTAGTCCTTTGGAGGAGAAGAGGTGCTCTGGTTTTTAGAATTTTCAGCTTTTCTGCTCTGGTTTCTCCCCATCTCTGTGGTTTTATCTACCTTTGTTGTTTGATATTGGTGACCTACAGATGGGGTTTTGGTGTAAATGTCCTTTTTGTTAATGTTGATACTATTCTTTTCTGTTTGTTAGTTTTCCTTCTGACAGTCTGGTCCCTCAGCTGAAGGTCTGTTGGAGTTTCCTGGAGGTCCATTCCAGACCCTGTTTGCCTGGGTATCACCAGCGGAGGCTGCAGAACAGCAACTATTGCAGAATAGCAAATATTGCTTCCTGATCTTTCCTCTGGAAGCTTTGTCTCAGAGGGACACCTGCCTGTATGAGGTGTCAGTCGACCCTTACTGGGAGGTGTCTCCCAGTTAGGCTACACGGGGTCAGGGACCCACTTGAGGAGGCAGTCTGTCTGTTCTCAGAGCTCCAACGCTGTGCTGAGAGAATCACTGCTCTCTTCAGAGCTGTCAGACAGGGACATTTAAGTCTGCAGAAGTTTCTGCTGCCTTTTGTTCAGCTATGCCCTTCCCACATAGGTGGAACCCATAGAGGCAGTAGGCCTTGCTAAGCTGCAGTGCCCAGTTTGAGTTTCCCTGCTGCTTTGTTTACCTACTCAAGCCTCAGCAATGGCAGATGCCCCTCCCCCAACCAGTCTGCAGCCTCACAGGTCAATCTCAGACTGCTGTGCTAGCAGTGAGCAAGGCTCCGTGGGCACGGGACCCACCGAGCCAGGCACTGGAAAATATCTCCTCGTCTGCTGGTTGCTAAGACCATTAAAAAAGTGCAGTATTTGGGCAGGAATGTCCCGTTTTTTCAGGTACAGTCTGTCACAGCTTCCCTTGGCTAGGAAAGGGAAATCTCCCGACCCCTTGCACTTCCTGGGTGAGGTGATGCCCTGCCCTGCTTCGGCTCACCCTCCATGGGCTCCACCCACTGTCCAACCAGTCCCAGTGAGATGACCCAGGTATGTCAGTTGGAAATGCAGAAATCACCCATCTTCTGCGTGGGTCACGCTGGGAGCTGCAGACCGCAGCTGTTCCTATTCAGCCATCTTGGAACGGGATCCGCAATCCATATTTTGAATTCTTTATCTGTCATTTCAGACATTTCATTCTGGTTAGGATCCGTTGCTAGGGAGCCAGTGTGAGCCTTTGGAGGTGTCAAACTGGATATTTTACTGTTGGAGTCCTTGCTCTGATTCCTTCTCATTTGAGGGAGCTGTTGCTTCTCATTTTTGAATTTCCTATCATTTGAATGGGGCCTTTTAGCTTTTTAATTCTTTTTTTTCCCCTTGAGGGTATGACTGGTATATGTTGTGTAAGACTGACTGGCTTCATTTCCGATGCTTTCATGGGGCCAAGGATCTGTATGGGCTCGTTTGTTGTGGTTAGGTTCTGGGGAGAAGCATTCTCAGATTCTGCTTATTGTAGCCATGTAGTTTTGTTTGGTGGTGCAGTTCAGGATGCAGTCCAGTAGAGGGAGCGAAAGAGTGAGAACCAGTATGGTGCCCAGTGGATGCACCTGCCCTGACAGGGATGGCAGAAAGAAATTGTGTTGGGGTGTGCTGAAAGTCTCGGGATGGTGGCGGGGCAGGGAAGGAATGTGGGGGAAGATGTGCACCAACTCCTTTTCCTGGGCCAGCAGAAACACTATCCACTTCCCTATCAAGCCCCAGTTGCAGGACTCGTGACCTTCTATTTATAAAGGCTTTGTCCTTTGGTTCCTGCCATAGTGCGGCTCTGGCCTTAGATCCTGCTCTCTAATGGTTACCACTAGAATGGGGATGGGGCAGAGCCTCTTCCCCTAGTCCAGGACAGGCAACTCTACACTCTGACCGTTGTTGCCGGGACGCTGCTGCTCTGTGTAGGGTGGGAACTTGGGCCCTGCCCTTCTAGAAAGCCTCAGCAGGCGCAGGCTCACTTTCAGCTAGGGTAGGGCCACCGGAAAAACACAAAAAGCATTTTCTTTTAGTGCATGCTCACCGGGACTCCTGTAAGAACCGCCACTCACTCGGGAACTGTGTGTTGGGACGGGGGTAGGGACGGCGGTGCAGGGATGTTGGCAGAGAGAGACGGTGTAGGGGGAGAGGGGGAGGGGTGTTAGCAGAGGGAGGTTTTTTTGGGGGAAGGAAGGGGTGCTGGAGGAGGGATGTGGTGGGCATTATTGGCGGCGGGTGGGGAGGGGTGTTGGCCAGTGGGGGTGGTGTGTGTGGGAGATGACACTCTCTCCAGGCCCATTCCTGGGCGTCCATGCTGCCCCCTTCAGCAGTTTGTGCTGTGTCCGCATTTCCTTTGTCCCAAGTGGGACCCCCTCCCTTAGGGGCGGACCGCGTTAAGGATTAGATCTCCAAGGGGCCACATGTCCCTGGGGAACTACTGGTTCCTGGTGCTTGTCAAAGTCAGAATGATGTGAAAGCAAAATAAAAACTTGGGGCCCCGATTCACTGCACCAAAAGAAAAAAAAAATAAGCTGAAAGCTGAGTCATGCAAGAAGTTAGCTTTCCTTTTGTTCCTAAGCAGATAGCTACAGATAAAAGGTGGATACTCCGTGTTCACCTTATCATATGTAAAGTGCTGATTTACTGAGCTCAAGGTTAATACATAATTGACTATTCCTCTACCTGCTCCTTTTCTCTTGCAACATGTGAATTACCATACTCTCCTTTTCCCCTCCAGCTTGCTTTTCCCCTTTAAATACTGAAGACTTCAAAATCATCTTTGGAAAAAAACACAGACCTCTCTCCCACCCAGGTCCTTAACCTTGGCAAAATAAAACTTCTAAGCTGATTGAGACTTGTCTCAGATACTTGTTGGTTTACCATGGGTAATGGGGTATGTTTGCAGGTGGTCTGGTGGTGCAGTGGCACTACCCAGCAGTGGGGCTTTGGGGCAGAGGGGCTTTGACAGTCAGCAGATTGCCAGACGGGTGAGGGGAGCAGAGAAGCACTCCCATTTACCCTGTCCACAGGGCTCTGAGATCCTCAGGGATCTCAGCCAGGCTCTTGCTGCTTTCTTTTCCTGAGCTCCAGCTTCTTCCTGTGGGTACTCCTAAAGGTCCTGGCCCTCTTTCCTCCATTTTCCATTCAAAAGTTGTCCATTCACAGTAACTTTGATCTTCTTTCTGAAGAGAACTGGCATGTCCCTAGTCAATCATCTTGAAACCTCTCCTACTGGTCTTAAGTCCTGTTCCTTTCTCTCACCCTCTCCTCTCTCATAGATGATCTTGCCCACTTTCAGGCCTCAGTCTCTATTCACATGCTAATGAGAGTCCTCTGCTCCTGTGGTCAGCCCAGATTTCTCACCTCTGGACTTATTCTGTTTGAATGTCTTATAAATAATCTAAGCACAGTTTCTCCCCTTGACGAGCCCCTAATCCCGTCCCCTTCCTAATGGGTTTTTGTGCTGTTGACTGACAACCGCATTGCATCAAGCAGGAAGTAGCCTGGAAACCACCCTGGACAACTCCCTCTTTCTCACCTCATTCCCTCCCCCACCTCCAGTAAGCACCCTTATCTTCTGGATTCTACCTCACTGACTCAGTCTCTTCCTTCTGCCCTGGTAGCCACTGCCCCAGTTCAGGTCTTGCCTTCCCTTACTTGTACAACTAGGTGCACCAGCCTCCTCATACACAGTCTTGGGCCCAGCCTCTCAGCCTCCACATCCATGACATAAGCAGTCTTTCTAAAACAAGACTTCAGCTAGGGCCTTTGATTTCAAACAGTAAAAACTAATTCTGACTAACCAAAGCAAAAGGAAGTATAATGCAAGGCTGTGGGAGAGCTCACAGAATCAAAATCTAGGTTGACGGCATGAATCAGCTACAGCTATTTTCAGTTCTCAAGTTACTTTAATGAAAATTCAAATTCCAAGGAAGAAAGTCTACTTGTTCCCACTTGTGTCACTGGCCCTCCCTTTTGCCAGAGGAGTTCTAGCACTTCAATTGACTGTCCCACTAAGACTGCATTAAAGAAGGGGGTAAGGGTATAGATATTGGGCAAACAAACCCCACAGATGTCCACTACAGTCCACTGCTTGGCTGCCTGAAGTCTGCATCTGCTCACCTTCTCATATACACAAGATCAATAATACTTCCACTTAGCATGGCACACCTTTTCAGCAAAAATGGCTATTAATCCAAGACATTCAGGTGATGCCCATTCCACTTCTAGTGTTGCCCTAGGCCACTTTATTATTCTCCAAATTATGGACTAAGTAACAAATTTAACTACTTCCAACACAGCTTATGTAATAGTGAAGAGGACTGGTGAAAGGGCTAAGGAGTAGAAATAAATGGAAGAGATTAACTAAATTTACAGTAAAGAACATAAACACAAGTATTAGTTCCTGTTGCAGTTAACATGGCTGCATAATAAATAATCCCAAAGGTATTAGTCAGCGTTCTCTAGAGGGACAGAACTAATAGGATAGATGTATATATAAATGGGAGTTTATTAAGGAGTATTGACTCACATGATCACAAGGTGAGGTCCCACAATAGGCCGTCTGCTAGCTGAGGAGCAAAGAAGCCAGTCCAAGTCCCAAAGCTGAATAACTTGGGGTCTGATCTTCGAGGGCAGGAAGCATCCAGCATGGGAGAAAGACGTAGGCCAGAAGACTAAAGCAGTCTAGACTTTTTACGTTCTTCTATCTGCTTTTATTCTGACAAAGCTGGCAGCTGATTCAATTGTGCCCACCCAGATTGAGGGTGGGTCGGCCTTTCCCAGTCCATTCGCAGTAACTCATATGTTAATCTCCCTTGGCAACACCCTTACAGACACACACAGGAACAATACTTTGCATCCTTCAATCCAATCAAGTTCACACTCAGTATTAACCGTCACACCAAATGTAGTGGATTAAAACACTGACAATGCTGTCAAATATGGAATTTGGGTAGGGCTTTTTAGGAATAGCTAATCTCTGCTTCTCTTGGATTCCACTGGGGTTGCTTAAAGGCAGGAGGCTAGGATCATCTGAAGGCTCACTCAATCACATGTCTGCTAGTAAATATTGGCTGCCACCTGAGACCTGTGCTAGGGCTGCTGATTGCAACACTCATATGTTCTCTTCATGTGGCCTGAGCTTCCCTGTAACTTGGTGGCTGGTTTTCAGGGTGAGCATTCCAAGAAAAAGAGGGAAAGAACCGAGAAGAAACTGTACCTTTTTGATGACCTAGTTTAAGAACTCACTTAGCATCATCTCCTGGGTGCTCTCTCAGTTGGAGGGGTCACAAGCCACCCAAGTTCAAGACGAGAGGAAACAGACTCCACCTCTTTGTGTGAGAATGACAAAATGATCATTTTGGGGAAATATATTCTTCCACAATTACCCTGTTATTCAACTTTGCAACATGTTGGAAAGCTTAGCTGTACTGCCTGGATGGTTTTGCAGTGTCTTCTACTAGGCATCATGGTAGCACAAGCTGCACCCCTAAAGATCCTCTGGGTCCTGTCCACTCTCTTGCTTGCCTCTACTGTCATAAAACAAGCTTCTTATCAATCATCTGGCTGCCACCTTATTTGCTCTTTGCTTGTTAACTCTAAATGCATACATACCTAATGTCCTCAAGTGTAAAAAAGAGATAATCATAGATAGCTTAAAGGGTATGAATTATCAGTTAGATGGGAAGAATATTTTTGAGATTTATTGCACAACATGGTTAATATAGCTAATAATGGAGTTTTCTACATTTCAAAATTACTGAGTGTAAATTTCAAATGTTCGCACCACAAGAAATCTTAAGTATTTGAGGTGATGGATATGTTACCTAGCTTGATTTAATTATTTCACATTGCATTAATAAATTATAACATCATTTTGTACCCCATAAATATATACAATTATAAATTGTCAATTTACAATAAAAATTAAAAGACAAAAATTAAAACTGAAAAAAATAATCAACTAGGAAAATAAACATCAAAATGTTTTATCACCTGGCACATAGCTGGTGCTCAATCTGGTCTATTTCTTTCCCTTCCATTTAGAAAGACCTAGCTCCAGCCTCACAAGTTATTATCACCATTACCAGCACAGTTCATCTTTGCCCCTATTTCATATGTCTTCTGATGCAGTCTAGTGCTGAAGGAATTCCAGGGGCAGTGCTAGACATGCAGTCTTGGCATGACCCATATAGCCTGCATATCAGAAATGCTGTTCCCATCCTCTTAAACCCCACTGCCATTTGGCAATTCTCTTGGGAAACAAACTTACCTACTCTGGTAACCATAGAGTCAGGAAATAATATTAATTCGTGCAAAAAAAATGTCGACAACTGCTAAGGTCAACAACACTGGACTGAGTTCTGTGAAGATGGAGAAGTTGAGAACTATTTCTGATCAAGGAAAAGGTTTAGCACATGATAGAAACCTTATAGAATGCAGCTGGGCACTCTGGCTCACGCCTGTAATCCCAGCACTTTGGGAGGCCGAGGCGGGTGAATCACCTGAGGTCAGGAGTTCGAGACCAGCCTGGCCAATATGGTGAAACCCCATCTCTACTAAAAATACAAAAATTAGCCAGGCGTGATGGCGGGTGCCTATAATCCCAGCTACTCGGGAGGCTGAGGCAGGAGAATAGCTTGAACCTGGGAGGTGGAGGTTGCAGTAAGCCAAGATTGTGCCATTGCACTCCAGCCTAGGCGACAAAAGTGGAACTCCATCTCAAAAAAAAAAAAAAAAGTAAAAATAAAATAAATAAATTCCTTTAAAAAACAAAAAGAAAAAAACCTCATGGAATGCATGTTGTGTATGCTTGTTGAATCAGTAAATGATTGAAGGATATTTGCATCTGAATCATTCATTTGATCTAGGGCAGACATTGGCTGAGATCACTGGTAAATCAAACAAGTGAAAAGAGAAACCATCCCTTAGATTTGGTGCTAGTCTGGGGAAGTAAAAGAGGATGGTTGTATGCACACACAAGCTCCCAGCTGGGACAGCAAACCCCTTCCCTTGACTGCTCATCCCAGGAACCAGATTTTGACCAGTGCCTTGAGCCTTTCTTCCCAGGTTTTACTTTCTATGGAGCAGGCTTGAAAGCAGAGAAAGCAGAGTAGACATGACTTTTTTGAACAAGTCGCTGACTGATAGCTCTCTCCTCTGCTAACACTTGCTTTATAGGATTCTCACCCAGAAATTATATTAAAGATGCATTTATTTCCAAAGAAAAAGCTACTAGTGAAGCAGTCAAAAGCTACTGAGGCCCTTTAAAATCTCTGTGCTAGGGTTGCTGAAGCAAATTTCTTTTCTTTTTGCAGACACGTAAGTTACTAACTTCAGTAGTTGCTAAAAGGTTGTCCTGATTTAAGGAAAACTTCCCGTGGCTGGAGTAAATCTGTATCACAGCCCCAGCCCTGGAAGGTCCCTGAGAAGCCATCTAGAGCCATGGCTACCAAACTTGGCCACGCATCAGATTTTCCTCAAGAGCCTGGGATCCCCAGGCTTGTCAAGTTAGAATCCCTAGGTGATTTTGATGTATCCACAGAAGTAGTTTGGGAAACATTAAATTAACCCTGTCACATAGGGTTTTGCAGATGAGGAAACTGAGGCTCACAAAATCAGAGGGATGCATCCAAGATCAAGCAGGAAGTTAGTGGTGGAGCTAGGACCCCAACCTGGTTTTTGCTCTATAAACCCAGTGTCTTACCATCGTCACACCATGTTTATATGCCTCTTAATGCTTGGGCCACATTCTTTATCTCTGCAGCCTACCCATGACTCTGCCATGGCACATACTAATACCCAACTGATACATGTGGGATTAACAGCAACATTCAACTTGACAAGTGGTTGTTAATTATTCCTCTAATACCTACCTCACAGAGGATGCCAGGAATACAAGAGTTCCAAGCTGTTTGAAATGCCACATCCAATCAGTCATTGAGTCTGATAAATTTTGCATTTCTCAGAGTTTTCATGTTCCCTTGTGTCCCAGACCTGGAGCTAGGGGATGGGAATTCAACAGAGACAGATACATCCAATTCTTGTCCTCATACATTCCACTGGCTGCCTCCTTAGTGGCTTCTTAATCCCTATACTTCTTTCCATGCCTAGACTAACTCTACTAGTCCAGGCCACCACCATCTCTACCCAGGATTGCCAGGCAACCTCCAATTTGGTCAGGTATCCTTTTTCCTGTGTCATGACCCTAAGGGCATTTGTCTGTCCCTGTCACTAGACTGTGACCACTGCAGGACACTGTGTCTGTTTTGCCATCACCATGTATTCCTTCCTTCTCAGAGTATCTGTAACATGATATATTCTTAAAATATTTCTTAAACATTAATGTGCTGCAATTGTAATATTTTACTTCCAATTTGAACAAGCCCTCTCATGTGGAGGAATGATTGGATTCATGACATTTCCCAGGAGTTATTATTAAGCAAACTTTTGGGAAGCAGCCAAATATCTGCAATCCAAAAGCATTTGTCCACTTATACATAAAATACATACAAATACATGGATCAGAGAAGAACTAGGCAATTTAGCTCCAAAAGAACTATTCTTTCTATGTTAAGAAATTCAGAACTCTTAATATCCCTATATATGGGTGGTTTTTTTGTTGTTGCTTTCTTTTTTTCTTTTTTCTTTTCTTTTCCTTTTTTTTTTTTTTTTTTTTTTTTTTTTTGAGATGGAGTCACTCTGTCACCCAGGCTGGAGTGTAGTGGTACAATCTCGGCTCACTGCAACCTCCACCTCCTGGGTTCAAGCGTTTCTCCTGCCTCAGCCTCCTGAGTAGCTGGGACTACAGGCACATGCCACCATGCCTGGCTAATTTTTGTATTTTTAGTAGAGACGGGGATTTACCATGTTGGTCAGGCTGGCCTCGAACTCCTGACCTCAGGTGATCCACCCACCTCAGCCTCCCAAAGTGCTGGGATTACAGGCATGAGCCACAGTGCCCGGCCTATATGGGTGTTTTTCTACCCAATTATGCAGACAAGGATGATGGCTCAGGGATGTTGAGTGTCTTACCAAGTTCACACAGCTGGTAGGCAACAGACATTTAATTGCAGGACCATACACCTTCTGAAATCTTGTTTTATCATCTCTCCCAAATACCTTTCTTTGAGAACTTTGTTTCAGATATGGACACTTGGTTGCATGGCTTAGAAGTCACGAAATCCTGAAACACTGCCTCCTACACTGAGAGACTGAGAGCCATGTTCTTATCACTAACTTTTATAAGCAGTGTCTCTGAACCAGGCCTTTGTTGTGTGTTGCATGTGGCTGCCTGCCTGAAGGGACTGTACAGGCTGCAGAAAGAAAGACAGGATGCAACTATATTAAATGTAACTCAAAACCAATAGTGAGGTATCCAACCAGGTCTTTGTGAAGCTCAAAGGAGAGAGAAAGCCCCATCTGGATGGGGCCCACAAAAGGATTCATGGGGGAGAAAAGAACAGAACTGTGCTTGCATGAGGGACACAATTCTGGTAGGAGAAAATGATGGAAAGTGGGAGGGCATTCTTAACAAGAGAAGAAGGGAGAGAAGGCACAGAGGCAGGAAGTTGGAAACGGATGGGGGAGGTTGAGGAGTTCAATTTGACTTGCACACAAAACACAAAACAGGTTGAGGGTGCAGAAGAGAGAGAAAGGCAGAGAGGTAGCCAGTGTCAGAGCATAGGGGATGATAGGGTAAACCGTGTGGAGGACATGAGCAGTCACAGCCACCTTGAGCTGAGCAGGGCCATGTCAGAGCTGCATATCAGCATTAACCTGCACAGTGCATGCAGGAAAGATTGGGCATTTGAAGGTAGGGACACAGCTTAAGAAGTTTCTGAACATCTGTCACCAGGGCTGTTACCCCCTAACCTAATGTGCAGGAGGTACCTCATTGCCCAACTTTGACCCTAACATAAGCAGTCTTACTGGAAGTGTGAGCATCACCTCCTAGGCTGTTGTAAATACAGGCCTGCTGCATACTGACTGCTTACACCCAGGTCCAGGACTGACCATGCCAATAAACATCTTCAAGCTCCACTCCAGGTCTCTGCTCCATTCCTGCTGCTCCTCCCCACACAACTCCAGGTTTTGGTGGAGCCTTTGGAAGCCTGGCCAATCTATCCTCAAGGAGAGTAAGTTCTGAATTAACCCAAGGCCACTGAGGTTGGTCCAAGAACTAACCTAGGCACTGAGAGGATTCCTGCTGCATAGCACCTGCTACCTGGATGGTACACAGTCAGATTTTTCCTGCATTTGTGGAAAGAGCTTAGACCTGGGAATCAGAAGCTTGGGCCCTACTCTTAGCTGTGCTCCTGTTTTCTTGTGTACTCTTGGCCCCAGAGTGTCTCTTCTCTGAGCCTACATTTTCTTGTCTGCAACACATGGCAGTTGACCCTAAAGTGGACTCTCAAGATCATTCTGGAGACAGCACAGGGTGGTCTTTCATTCTAGAATGCCCTTAGAAGTTCCTATGTGCAGACCTGCATTTCTGTGGCACAAAGCAGCACTTGCAGGTAGAGATGTGCCTGGTTAAGGTTGCTCCCTACTCACAATGGTCCACTCTGGCCTTGGGGCTCTTTCCCTTCCTGGATCTCTGTATAGAGCTGTGATTCACCAGTGCCTCCAACTCATAATACAGGATTGGCTAGGGATGTTTCATCTCCCATCTGGAAATGAAAACTATTTATTTACAGCTGACGTGAGTATAAATACATAATTGTATAGTAGACTCAGTGGGTGCTGATATTAACTTACAGTTCCCTGCATTGAGGGTCAAGTTGGGAGTCTCACGTGGCCCAGAGCAAAATGATTTTCCTTCTCCTGGTTTCTGCCTCATTCTTGCCCTGACTTATTATCCTGGCTCCATGCTCTCTGTCCTGGAGTCATGGCCATCTTCTACTTGGCTCATTACAAGAGTTTGCAAATATTATTACTTTCTCCCAATGCAGCTGAGCAATTGCTTCAATTATCTTGTCATCCTCAGTCATTTCTAAGTGATTGCCACTTTCCAAGTTGGCTGCATTTGTCCTGTCTGATGGCTGGTGTGGGTATGAGCTGTACCCATTCAGTGGCTTAGCCTCTCTCTCCAACACAAAATCCTGTCCTCTGCTCCCATGTTCCCTGTCATAGTTGTCAGTCTATTTAAACCCATACCCACTGTAATACATGAACTGTGGGAGACTCAAGGTTGAGCAAACGCAGTCCTTGTTTTTTAGGAATGACTGTTTGGAGTGGAGATACCAGGGAAGCTAACCCTCAGCTAATGCCTGCAAGGCAGTTATTGACAAGTGGGCTTTATCTCAGGTGAAAAAACAGTGGTTGGAAGAGGTACTCTGGTTGAGTGGTCACAACAGGCTTCCCCCTTGAGGGATGGCTTTTGGGCACAGCTTGGAGAACTGGGAGTATCTCTAACATAAGATGGGGGCCTTATTGAACCTTCAAAGGATAGTCCACTGTGGGCCAAAGTGAAGATGAGATAAAATTCAGGCACTTGGGAGAAGATGTAGAGTTCAATTTGAATGGAGGGAAGAAACACATAAAGAAGAAATTGGAAAAATCTGAAGACTTCTTTTGTAGCTTGATCATGTAACCTGAGCCCAGGATGAAGGGCTTGAAGGCCATTAAGCAGCTCTGGGAGCTATAAAAGGTTTCTCTGAAGGTCGTTACTTTTGTTCCCCAAACTTTCCTATCACCATATCTCCTATGCCTGACACAGACCAAGGCCTTGGGAAATGGCTGTTGAATGAATTAATGAATGTTTGGCCCACAGTCCCTGAAACTGTTTCGAATGCTTCTTTTGGAAAGCACATTTAATGTAACAGCACACATGAAAGGCAGGCAAGGAATTAAGGTTATGAGGAGGAAGGCAGCACTTGGTGGCTTATGAAGTACCTGCAAGATACACTGTCTGGAAGAGCTCCACTGCATCCCTGTAAAGTGAGCATTGTTGTTTCATGTTACAGACAAGGAAAAACAAGTCTCCCCAGGGCTAGTAACTGATGCACCCAATAACCCTTCTTTGGAAAGAGACTGAAGGCAAGCAGCAGACTATGAACAGCCAGCTCTAGAGCGAGACAGACCTTGATTCAGGCCTGGCATCGTGGTCCATGGGACCTTGAGTAAGTTACTTAACTTTTCCCTGCCTCAGACTCCTGACGATCAGGGTGCCCATCTCGCATAGCTGTGAGGAGAATTAGAGGAAAGGTGTCTGTGGAGTGCTTGGATGCTCATGGGTGCTAGGTAACTGATGGTGAGAAAAAAAAAACCACCAAATCCATAGGCCTTATGGTTTCAAAGGCCTCCTATTTTATGCCCACAGATGGATAACAAAGCCCAGAAAGGTTAGCGAACTTTTCAGAGGCTACACTGAGGTCAAGACTAAAACTCAGCCTTCACTTTCTTTTCCAGAAGGCAGTATTGCATGCTGAAAGCAGCACTGGCTCTGGTGCTGTACCAGTATGGATTCCAGTTTCCTTCTGCCACTTTTATTAGCTGCATGATGGTGGGTGATTGCTGCCCTGTCTCTGGCCACAATAGTCCTTCCCTCACAGGGCTGTTTTGAAATTCCCAGCACATCATTTATATGCAAGTGCTTTTAATAATATATATGCAAGTGCTATACGTCCATGATTGCATGGAGACCCTCTGAGATGAAGGGCTGGAGCTGACCACGACAAGTGTGAGGGTCTTTGGTTTGCTGGGCAGATGGGGAGCTAAGAAAGAAGTGAGAGAAGAAAGAGTGAGGTTGTAAAGGCATGATGGAAGTCTTAAATGTGAGAGGATACAAAAGCGGACTTGCTAACTAAATTGTGGTCCCTGGACCAGGAGCATCACCTGGGAGCTTGATAGAAATGCAGATCCTCAGACCCCACTGCCTATTTATTGGCTCTGAATATGCATTTCAAGCAGCTTCCCAGGTGATGTGTGTGTATATGAAACTCTGAGATTACTGACATAGAGAAAATCTCTGTTTTCAGCCTGACAACATAAAGAATATATTCAATAGAATATAATTGTAGCCAATAAAGTCTTGTCCTATTTCCTGACCCCTTTTGTCTTCCTAATGTTCACCATTCCTCCCACCATCTGGCATTTGCTCTGCACCCTCATGTCTTTTCAGTCAGATACCCAGCTGACGGATGCCTAACATTTGTGTGTTCTTTGCTCCAGCCTGTAGTGGCCTAGGCAGAGCCGCCAAGGTGCTTGCCGTTGAATACTCCCAAAGAAGAATATGTTGCACTGCATCTGGATGAACCATAGCACCATCAGAGGAGGGACTGGCTCTTCCTGACAGGTTGAAGATGCCATTTGCATGACAAATTTGGCAGCACTGAGAGATATGAGAGGGATGGGGTGCTGGGGATAGAAGAGAGAACCATTGTTAGGAAAGAAGCCACCATTAACAGAAGCACCATGATAAGTAAATAGTTCTTGACTTGACTATCAGTTCTGATAGGTTGGTTGTGGCTGTAGTCACATAGTGTTGAGAAAGATTCTGAGGTCTAATACAGATGCAGCAGGAAAGAATGTTATATTATTAGTCGGCTCTCCAGAGAAGCAGAACCTATATATTGAAGCAGGGGGGGCGGGGGGGAGAAAAGATTTGTTGTAAAGAAGTGGCTCATGTAATTAGGGACAGTGAGAAGTCCTACAATCTGCCATCTGCACATTCAAGAAACAGGAAAATTCCAGTTTGAGTACAAAGGCCTGGGAACCAGGAGCATAAATAGTATAATTCCCAGTCCTAGAGCAGGAGAAAACTGATGTCCCAACTCAAGCAGAGATAGAATTCAACCTTCCCCCACCTTTTTGTTGTATTCAGGCCCTTAGTGGATTAGATGATACCCATCCACATTGGTGAGGGCCACCTGCTTTACTTGGTCCACCAATTCAAGTGTTAACCTTTGCTGGAAACACTACACAACACACCCAGAAACAATGTTTAGCCTGATATCTGGGCATTCCATGGTCCAGCTTAGTTGGCACATAAAGTTAGCCAACACAAATGTCATAAACTCTCAGCAATAAGTGTAGGTCCCTATGCCAAACATATGCCCTCTCTGATTTAGATAAAATAATTTTGGTGTTGAACAATTTGGTTCAAATCCCAGGCTAACCATTTGCTTACTGTGTGGACTTTGTAAGTTGATAAGCCTCCCTGCCCTTGTTTTCTTCAAGGTTACTGAGAATTAGGGCACAGAGCAGGGGCTTGCTAACTCATCCAGAGGAGGATCATGTGAGAAACAATACAATTTCAGAAGTAACAGAGTTTGGTCTGATAAAATATGGGTGGAAGGAAGGAAAGGACCACTCAGGCAATTGGAACAGCAAGTGTAAAGGCCTAGAGATATGAAGTTGTCTGCAGTCCAGTTTGACTGCAGCGTGAGGTGTCCACAGTGGCAGGATGGAGAGGGAGACTATCTGCAGAGTGACTTCCAGGACAGCTCTAGGCCACGGTGCCCTTCCTTTTCCCAGTGCCATGTGCATTGACCCCTTGTTGGCATTTTAGGCCTTAGCTCATGAGTCATGTGACCATTCTTTGAATCTCAGCTTTACCACATATTAGCTACTTGATCTTGAGGTAATAGTTAATTCCTCAATGCCACAGTGTCATCACCTGCAGGACTGCAATAACAGTGGTATCATCTCATAGAGGGGTCATGAGCATTCAAGGATGTAGTTTATGTCAAGTCCCAAGAATAGTGATTGCCACAAATCATTGTTAAGCAATGTTGGCTGGTGTCAAGATCTGTCCCAAAAATGTCTTGTTCCTCACATAATATTCTTGGGGCAAGAGTTCCATCCATTTCCACTATATTATCCCCTGAACCTAACCCAGAACTAGGCACAATGAAAGAGCTTCATAGATACATATCCCACGATTGCTCCTTCCATACTTGCCTAGCCTCTCCAAGGATGCTCTCCTCTCTTAAAGTTCACTATTACTTGTGGAAGTAATTTAGATAATCCAGTTACCCTCCTTATTGTCAAGTTCAAATTTCTTAGTAAGCAAGTCCATTTATTCACTCTCTTATTCAAATACCCAAACACATAACCCACCACACACACACATACAACCCACCCCTTAGACCCTTCTGCAAGACTCTGCCCCCCTGAAGCTCTGGGCATCATGAAGGAGACAAGTAGGTAATCAGAAAGTTCTAATGCAGGATGATAAGTGCTCTACATAGGAGCACAGAGCAGGGTGCCTCACCTGGCCAACCTAGTGAGGGGTTGACAGAAAAGGTTGAGATCCAGATGCTAAGGAAGACTTAGTTAGCAAATGCAGGTGGGGAGGGGGAAGTCTGACAAAAGTTCAGTCTGGAGGAGAGGAAAGTTCTTTGATCTTAGGGAACTGCAATTGCTCTAGTGTGGACAATGGGGGTGAGGAAGAGGTAGCCATGAGGGTGGAGAAGCTACCAGAGACCAGGTCATAAAGAGATACATATGTCAAGTCAAGAGCATAGATTTTATTCTGAAGGATTTGGTTACTCATGGAAAGTTTTAAGTAGGAGGCAGTGACATGATTAGTTTGCCTTTTGAGGAGCCTTCTGTATGCAATGAGGTGAAGGAATGAATGGTGAGTTGGATACAAATGAACTGGAGGCTGTGAGACCATTAGAAGTCTATTGTAGGGGTCAATGAATAGATGAGAATGGTGGCAATGGAAGATGGCCCTTATTTTTTTCAGTAGAAAAGCTCCAACTTGGCCTATCATCATGGGGTAGAAAAGAGGAGCAAGATTCAGACACTTAGAAGGTGGAACCAATGGCCTGCCATCATCAACTGGATATCAGGAAGGAGACAAAGGGAGAAGGCTATGCAGATGCATGGTGTCTAGTTTGGGGCAGGCTATCTGGCAGTGCCACTCAAGTGAATAAAAAATACACTACAGAGAGCCAAGAGGAAAGAGGATGAACTCAGACCTTTCTCAATCAATTTCTCTTTCCTCTCTCCATCTGGCACCGTCTTTCCCTTCATGTTTCTACTCCAACTGCACCAGAATAATAGCTTTTCCCCAGCCATGCTTCTCCACCTTTGTTCATGCTGGCCCCTGCCTGCTGTGACCTCCTTTTATCTTCTTGTCTTTTAGTGTCCATGCCAAATATCACTCCCCAATGGTCCAACATAAGAATTGGATTTCCTCTTTGCCTGGCCTGCTCCTTGCCTTTATCACTAATCACAGTCATATCAGGAGTAGTTGCCTAAATATATGCTTTTTCCAGCAGGTATTACAGTCATCTCTTTGTGCTTGGACATGGCTGACTTCCAAGTCTGAACATGAATGGGGACTGAATTGACTTTTTCCCTCAGGATGGGGGCCTGTGCACCCATTATCCACATGCCAAATGCCTAAAGTCCCTGAAATATGCTTGTTCCTGCAGAGTAAGTTGTAATGGGTAAGCCTTAATCCCTGTTCTCAGTGAACTATGGGGTCTACTCAGAAAGTCTGAGTCAGAGCAAGCCTGGCTGAAGCTAGAAAGACTGTAACTAAATGATAGCAGTGAATTAGAAGTGAAAAACTGGGATTCATTGCAAGGAAAGGAAATTACCTGATACAGTTGGAGGCTACCAGGAGGAAATGTCATTTAGGGACTTGGAGTATGGGTAGTATATTGTTTATCTATTGCTACATAACAAATTACCACAAATTTAACAGGTTAAAAAAATACATTCATTATCTGACCGTTTCTGATGGCCAAAAGTCTGAATATTATTTAGATGGTTCCCCAGCTCAGGGTCTCATAAGGCTGTAATGAAGGCATCAGTCATGACTGTGTTCTTATCTGGAGGCAAGGCTGGAAAAGAACTCACTTCCAGTCTCAGGTTAGTGGTAAAATTCATTTCCTTACAGGACTGATGGCTCTGGATTCTTGCTGGTAGTCATTGATGGCTGAAGTTACTAGAGTCTGGCAGTTCCTTGCCATGCAGACTTCCCCAACATGGCCACCTCAACGAGAGTCTCTAGAACACGTTTTCTGGCAAGATGGAGTCGTATATAACATAATGAAATCATCTAAGTGACACTAATAACTTGTGCTGTAGTCTAACAGTGTAAAGCAAGTGGATTTATGCTTCTGGGAGGAGGAAATAGGCATACTTTCTCCTATTTCTTCCACTGTACAACTAAAAGCCTTAGGCATTAAATAAAACAAACGCAAGACTCTGAAAGGCAGAGAGAAGAGAGTAAACCAATTATGGACCTCCAAACCCTGGGAAAAAACCGGTGGTGTATACCCTGAGTTTTCTTTTTCTTTTATATATCCTGGACTTGAAGTTGATGAAGACAGTGACCTAGAAACACCAACAGGGCACAGACAAAAAAAAGTCTGAACAAAAGTCTGCTCTTTCTAGCCAAAGAACCAGGGGAAGGGCAGCCTAGCACGGCAGAAAACTTTTAGACAGTAACTGCTTCACTCCAACCAAATAAACGCACACACAAACTCATAAAACTGCTCCACCGCACCCATGCTAGCAAAGTCTGAGCAGGAAGCCTAAACTTACTTCCTTGAGAGGATATAATGAGAAATGTAGCAGCCCTATCAGAGTGGTAGTGAGGAAAGTTGAGTAGGAAACTAGGCCTTTCATTCCCATCAGCGAGTAATTAGCGTTTTCCTTCCTTAGCGTTATCAGTGGAGACCAGGTGGCAAGCTTGGACTTCCACTCCCATCTGGCAGTAAAAAAGCACCTTTCTCCCCTCTAGGGTGGTGTCAGAGGAAGCCTAATAGAGAGTCAGGACTTTCACCACTGCCAAGAAGTAATGAAGTCATCCCTATTGTAATGCTATTAAAAGCCACTCAGCTATAATGTGGTACTGGTGGAAACTTCCCAGCAATAATAATGAACCCGCCATTGGATGTCAGTGAAAGCCAAGTAGAGAAAATGGACTTCCACTTCTACCTGACAATTACAACACTGTACCCTCTTTTTTACCTGCTAGAGTGTAGTCAGAGGAAGTCATTTAAAATAGAAGGTTGTAATAAGATCTAGGGTTTTATAACAGAATATGAAAACGTGCATGTTTCAACAAAATGTAACTTGTCATACTAAGAGCCAGAAAGATCTCAAACTGAATTCTAAAAGACAATTAATAGATTCCAACATCAAAATGACAGAGATGTTAGGATTATCCGACAATTATTTTTAAAGCATCCATGATAAAAATGTTTAAATGAGCATTTATTAACATTTTTTAAACAAATGATAAAAATGGAAGGCTTCAGAAAAAAAATAAAGCTTCAACAACAACAACAAAAAACCCAGAAGATATGAAGAAGAATCAAATGGAAGTTGTTGGAACTACAAAATCCAATTACCAAAATAAGAAGCTCAGTTGACAGGCTCAACAGCAGAATGGGGGAACAGAGGGCAAAAAATTCCCAATGAACTGAGAGATGGAATACAATGAGAAATTACCCAATATGAACAACAAAGAGAAAATACTTCAAAAAATAAATGAACAGAGCTTCAGGGACCTGTGGTACTATAATAAAAGATAAAACTTCAATGTCATTGGAGTCTCAGGAGAGGAAAAAGGAGAAGGAGCTGAAAAACTATGCAAAGAAATAATGGCTAAAAACTTTCCAAATTTGGCAAGGGACATAAACGTACAAATCCAAGAAGGTGAGTGAACCCCAAACAGAATAAACTTAAAGAAATCCTTACCAAAGCCCATCCTGATTAAACTTTTGAATACTAAATATAAGATAAAATCTTGAAAGCAACCAGAGAAAAACAATGCCACGGAGGACTAAAAGAGGTGGCACAATATTTTTTTAATGCTGAAAGAAAAGATTTGTCCACCCAGAATCCTATGCCCAGTGAAAATATCCTTCAGGAATGAAGGAAACGTCAAGATATTATCAGACAAAGAATCTTGAAAATTAAGTAAGAAAAAGCACAGTAAACAAAAAGTGGGTAAACACAGTAGGCTTTTTAAATCCTTTTGATTTTCCTAAATAATGTTTGATGGTTGAAGCAAATATAATATTGTCTAATATTTTTCTAAATGCATATAGGGAAAATATTTAAAAACAATTATACTACAAATACAAAAGTGTAGAGACACAAAGAGAAATAAGTTTTCTACATTTTACTTGAACTAGTAAAATGATGACACCAGTAGACTTGGATTAGTTACTGTATACAATGTAATTCTTATAGTAACTACAATAAAAGCCATACAGAGATATACACTAAAAACACTATAGATAAATTAAAATGAAATCTGAAAAATATTCAAGAAACACAGAGAAAGGAAGAGAAAATAAAAGAGAAACGTACAACAGAAGAAAAAAGAAAACAAAAAATAAAATGGTAGTTCACTTTAAGCCTTACCAAGTTAACAATTACATTAATTGTGAATGGTCTATACATAACAATTAAAAGACAGAAATTGGCAGAGTAGATTTAAAAAACATGACCCAACTATATACTGTTTACAGGAAAGTCACTTCCAATAAAATTATATAGGCAGGTTGAAAATAAAGGATGGAAAAGGATATATAATGAAAACATTAAGCAAAGGAAAGCAGACATAACTATATTATCTGAAAATGTAGACTTCAGAACAAAGAAAATTGCCAGATGTATTAGAGAAATACATGTTTTATGTTCCTAAAAGGTCAATCTGCCAAAAAGACATAGCAATCCAAAATGGGTATACACCAAGCAATAGAGCTGGAAAACATATGAAGCCAAAACTAATAGAACTAAAATGAGAAACAGACATATCTACAATTAGAGTTGTAGACTTCAATACTTTTCTTTCAATGATAATAGAACAACTAGACAGAAAATCAGCAAGAATAGACAACTCAGTAACACCATCAGACAGCAGGATCCAATGAACATTAATAGAGTACTCCACTCAACAACACTACAATACACATTTTCTTCAAGTGTTCAAAAATCATATGCCAAGATAAACAATACACTTAGCCATAAAACATGCCTCAACAAATTTAACAGCATTGAAATCATACAGAGAATATTCTATGATCATCATATTGGAATCAAATTAGAAATCAATAACAGAAAAATAAAAGGAAAGTTTCAAAACATAGGGAAGCTAGACAACACAGTTCCAAATAATACATGAGTCAAACAGAAAATATTAAGAGAAAATATAAAATACATTAAACTGAATGAAAGTAAAAATATAGTATATCAAAACATGTGGGACCCAGCTAAAGCAGTGCTAATAGATTTATAGCACTAAATGCATACATTAGAAAAAAGGTCTCAAATCAATAATCTAAGCTTTTATCGCAAGAACCTAGAACAGTAAAATAAATCCCAAGCAAGTAGGAGGAAGAAAAAAATAAGAATAAGAGCAGAAATTGATTAAATTAAAAATTTTTAAAATAGAAAAAAATCAATGAAAGTGCTGATTCCTTGAAGAGATCAATAAATTGACAAAATTCTAGCAAGACTGACAAAGAAAGAGAAAATACATGAATACCAGGAATAAAACAGGGATATTAATATAGACCATGAAGACATCTGAAGGATAATAATGTGTATACGATTAACTCTACCCAGATAAATTTGACAACTTCGATGAAATGGGCCAGTTCCTTGCAAAACACATACTGCCACAACTCACTCAGTATGAAATGCAAAATTTGAATAGCCCCGTAAGAAAATTACTTTGTGATTAATAAAAAACTCCCACAAAAGAAAACTACAGAGGAAGGGTAACATCAGCAAGATGGTGAAATAAGACTTTTCAGTGCTCATTCGTCTGCATGAACATCAATTTGAACAACTATCCACACATGAAAATGTCTTCACAAAGGCTGAGGAAACCAGGTGAGAGATTATAGCACCTGAGTATAGCACAGAAATAAGAAAAGACACATTGAAGAGGGTAGCAAGGACAGTTCTACATTATCCATGTCAACCCTCCCCCAACCACAGGCAGCACAGCATGGAGAGAGGTACCCTTTGCTTGAAGGAAGAGGGAAGCGAGCACTGTACTTTGCCTCGGACCCCACTACTAGGTCTGTCCCACTAAAACCCAGTGGCAGACAGGCCCTGACACTCCAGACCCTAGACTGGTACATGTGGACTGATCCTCCAGGCCCACCCTGATGATAGACTAAATTCTGCATACCCAGGCTCCATGACTGCCTGGTGGGGTGGACTCCATCACCAAGCCACCCCACTTCCAGGTCAACCCCAGAAGCCCCAGGCCCTGGGCTGGCACCAGCAGCTGCAGGCCCCAGTTCACCCCCATAACCAGCACATGATGGCCCCAGTGGTGCCAGGCTGCAGGCCCACCCCTCTGCCAGGCCAACTGCCACAGCCCCAGCCATCAGGCTGGCCCCTGCAGACACAGACTCCAGGCCCAACCAGCACCAGGCCAGCCCTCTGGCCACAAATGCCAAACCAGTACCCACAGGCAGGGACTCCAAGCCAGGTGTGATCCCACAGCCCCAGCCTCCAGACCTGCCCCACAGACTTGATCTCTGGGCCTGCCATAGCACTCAACTGACCGCAGTGGGCCCAGGCTCCAGACGTTCCCCAGCATCAGATCAGCTCCAGTGAACTGGGGTTTCAGGATTGCCCCAGCACCAGGTCAGTTCCCACAGACTCAGGTTCCACGCCTTCCCCAGGACCAACCCAGACCCAGTGGCCCTGTACTCAGGGCTTGCCCAGTGTCAGGCTGGTCTCCACAGCTCCACTATCCAAGCTAGACTCTGCTGGCCTTCCAGCAGACCCAGGGTGTAAGCCCATCCCAAGACCTCACTGCTGAATCAGTCCCTGTGGAGCCAGGCTCCAGGCCAATCCTCACAGCTTCAGGCTCCAGAAAACCCAGCTTCTTAAGAGCAAAAGACTGAAATTTCCCCCTAATATAGAAAACAAAGCAAGGATACCCACCTTTATCACTCTTATCCAACATAGTCCTGAAAGTTCTAGTTAGTGTGATAATGTGAGAATACAAAATGAAAGTGATACAGAACAGAAAGGAAGAAATAAAATTGTCCCTATTTGCAGATGTCAAAATTAGCTATCTAGAATATCCCAAGGAATCCATAAAAAATCCCCTACAACAAATAAGTGAGTTCGGAAAAGGTGACAGGATACAAGACCAATATCCAAATATCAATTGTATTTATGTATGCTAGCAATGAACTCGTGGACACGTAAATTAAAAATACAATACCATTTACAATCCCTTCAAACAATCAAATGCTTAGGGGTAAATTTAACAAAACATATATAGAACTCTGTTAAAAATCAAAAGAATATTTAAGTAATGGAGAGGCATACCATGTCCATGGATTGGAAATCTTAACATAGTGAAGATGTCAATTATCCTAAATATAAACACAGTTTTAATGCAATGCCTGTCAAATTATCAACAAGATTTTTTTCAGATATAGATAAGATTATTCTAAATTATATATGAGAAAGCAAAAGATCTAAAATAGGTTAAACAGTTTTGAAAAAAAGAGGAGGATGCAGTGAGCCAAGATCACACCTCTGCACTACAACTTGGGTGACAGAGTGAGACTCCATCTCAAAAAAAAAAACAATGGATTACATATTTGAACATAAAATGCAAAATTATAAAACTTTTAGGAGAACCACTACTCTGTTCAAAGCTGTTAGACAGGGATGTTTAAGTCTGCAGAACTTTCTGCTGCCTTTTTTTCAGCTATGCCCTACCCCCAGACCCAGAAATTAATATCCAGCCAAACTAAGCTTCGTAAGTGAAGGACAAATAAAATTCTTTACAGACAAACAAATGCTGAGAGATTTTGTCACCACCAGGCCTGCCTTACAAGAGATCCTGAAGGAAGCACTAAACATGGAAAGGAACAACTGATACGAGCCAGTGCAAAAACAAACCAAATTGTAAAGACAATCAATACTAGGAAGAAACTGCATCAACTAACAAGAAAAATAACCAGGTAACATCATAACGACAGGATCAAATTCACACATAACAATATTAACCTTAAATGTAAATGGGCTAAATGCTCTAATTAAAAGACACAGACTGGCAAATTGGATAAAGAGTCAAGACCCATCAGTGTGCTGTATTCAGGAAACCCATCTCACATGCAGAGACACACATAGGCTCAAAATAAAGGGATGGAGGAAGATCTACCAAGCAAATGGAAGACAAAAAAAGGCAGGGGTTGCAATCCTAGTCTGTGATACAGCAGACTTTAAACCAACAAAGATCAAAAGAGACAAAGAAGGCCATTACATAATGGTAAAGGGATCAATTCAACAAGAAGAACTAACTATCCTAAATATATATGCACCCAATACAGGAGCACCCAGATTCATAAAGCAAGTCCTTAGAGACCTACAGAGAGACTTAGACTCCCACACAATAATAATGGGAGACTTTAACACCCCACTGTCAACATTACACAGATCAACGAGACAGAAAGTTAACAAGGATATCCAGGAGTTGAACTCAGCTCTGCACCAAGCGGACCTAATAGACATCTACAGAATTCTCCACCCCAAATCAACAGAATATACATTCTGCTCAGCACCACATCACATTATTCCAAAATTGACCACATAATTGGAAGTAAAGCACTCCTCAGCAAATGTAAAAGAACAGAAATTATAACAAACTGTCTCTCAGACCACAGTGCAATCAAACTAGAACTCAGGATTAAGAAACTCACTCAAAACCACTCAACTACATGGAAACTGAACAACCTGCTCCTGAATGACTACTGGATACATAATGAAATGAAGGCAGAAATAAAGATGTTCTTTGAAACCAATGAGAACAAAGCACAACATACCAGAATCTCTGGGACACATGTAAAGCACTGTGTAGAGGAAATTTATAGCACTAAATGTCGGCAAGAGGAAGCAGGAAAGATCTAAAATTGACACTCTAACATCAAAATTAAAAGAACTAGAGAAACAGGAGCAAACACAGTCAAAAGCTAGCAGAAGGCAAGAAATAACTAAGATCAGAGCAGAACTGAAGGAAATAGAGACACAAAAAACCCTTCAAAAAATCAATGAATCCAGGATCTTGTTTTTTGAAAAGATCAACAAAATTGATAGACTGCTAGCAAGATTAATAAAGAAGAAAAGAGAGAAGAATCAAATAGATGCAATAAAAAATGATAAAGGGGATATCACCACCGATCCCACAGAAATACAAACTACCATCAGAGAATACTATAAACACCTCTACACAAATAAACTAGAAAATCTAGAAGAAATGGATAAATTCCTCGACACATATACCCTCCCAAGACTAAACCAGGAAGAAGTTGAATTTCTGAATCAACCAATAACGGGCTCTGAAATTGAGGCAATAATTAATAGCTTACCAACCAAAAAAAGTCCAGGACCAGATGGACTCACAGCCAGATTCTACCAGAGGTACAAAGAGGAGTGGTATCATTCCTTCTGAAACTACTCCAATCAATAGAAAAAGAGGGAATTCTCCCTAACTCACTTTATGAGGCCAGCATCATCCTGATACCAAAGCCTGGCAGAGACACAACCAAAAAAGAGAATTTTAGACCAATATCCCTGATGAACATCGATGCAAAAATCCTCAATAAAATACTGGCACACTGAATCCAGCAGTACATCAAAAAGCTTATCCACCATGATCAAGTGGACTTCATCCTGGGATGCAAGGCTGGTTCAACATATGCAAATCAATAAACGTAACCAGCATATAAACAGAATCAATGACAAAAAACACACGATTATCTCAATAGATGGAGAAAAGGCCTTTGACAAAATTCAACAATGCTTCATGCTAAAAACTCTCAATGAATTAGGTATTGATGGGATGTATCTCAAAATAATAAGAGCTATTTCTGACAAACCCACAGCCAATATCATACTGAAAGGGCAAAAACTGGAAGCATTCCCTTTGAAAACTGGCACAAGACAGGGATGCCCTCTCTCACCACTCCTATTCAACATAGTGTTGGAAGTTCTGGCCAGGGTAATCAGGCAGGAGAAGGAAATAAAGGGTATTCAATTAGGAAAAGAGGAAGTCAAATTGTCCCTGTTTGCAGATGACATGACTGTATATCTAGAAAACCCCATCGTCTCAGCTCAAAATCTTCTTAAGCTGATAAGCAACTTCAACAAAGTCTCAGGATACAAAATCAATGTGCAAAAATCACAAGCATTCTTATACACCAATAACAGACAAACAGAGAGTCAAATCATGGGTGAACTCCCATTCACAATTGCTTCAAAGAGAATAAAATAACTAGGAATCCACCTTATAAGGGATGTGAACAACCTCTTCAAGGAGAAGTACAAACCACTGCTCAACAAAATACAAGAGGACACAAACAAATGGAAGAACATTCCATGCTCATGGATAGGAAGAATCAATATTGTGAAAATGGCCATACTGCCCAAGGTAATTTATAGATTCAATGCCATCCCCATCAAGCTACCAATGACTTTCTTCACAGAATTGGAAAAAACTACTTTAAAGTTCATATGGAAACAAAAAAGAGCCCGCATTGCCAATTCAATCCTAAGCCAAAAGAACAAAGATGGAGGCATCACACTACCTGACTTCAAACTATACTACAGGCTACAGTAACCAAAACAGCATGGTAGTGGTACCAAAACAGAGATATAGATCAATGGAACAGAACAGAGTCCTCAGAAATAATACCACACATCTACAACCATCTGATCTTTGACAAACCTGACAAAAACAAGAAATGGGGAAAGGATTCCCTATTTAATAAACGGTGCTGGGAAAACTGGCTAGCCATATGTAGAAAGCTGAAACTGGAACCCTTCCTTATACCTTATACAAAAACTAATTCAAGCTGGATTAAACACTTAAATTGTAGACCTAAAACCATAAAAACCCTAGAAGAAAACCTAGGCAATATCATTCAGGACATAGGCATGGGCAAGGACTTCATGACTAAAACACCAAAAGCAATGGCAACAAAAGCCAAAATTGACAAATGGGATCTAACTAAACTCAAGAGCTTCTGCACAGCAAAAGAAACTACCATCAGAGTGAACAGGCAACCTACAGAATGGGAGAAAATTTTTACTATCTATCCATCTGACAAAGGGCTAGTATCCAGAATCTACAAAGAACTCAAACAAATTGACAAGAAAAAAATCAAACAACCGCATCAAAAAGTGGGCAAACGATATGAACAGACACTTCTCAGAAGACATTTATGCAGCCAACAGACGCATGAGAAAATACTCATCATCACTGGCCATCAGAGAAATGCAAATCAAAACCACAATGAGATATCATCTCACACCAGTTAGAATGGCAATCATTAAAAAGTCAGGAAATAACAGGTGCTGGAGAGGATGTGGAGAAATAGGAACACTTTTACACTGTTGGTGGGACTGGAAACTAGTTCAACCATTGTGGAAGACAGTGTGGCGATTCCTCAAGGATCTAGAACTAGAAATACCATTTGACTCAGCAATCCCATTACTGGGTATATACCCAAAGGATTATAAATCATGCTGCTATAAAGACACATGCACACATATGTTTATTGCAGCACTATTCACAATAACAAAGACTTGGAACCAACCCAAATGTCCATCAATGACAGACTGGATTAAGAAAATGTGGCACATATACACCATGGAATACTATGCAGCCATAAAAAAGGATGAGTTCATGTCCTTTGTGGTGACAGGGATGAAGCTGGAAACCATCATTCTCAGCAAACTATCGCAAGGACAGAAAACCAAACACCACATGTTCTCACTCATAGGTGGGAATTAAACATTGAGAACACTTGGACAGAGGGTGGGGAACATCACACACCAGGGCCTGTTGTGGGGTGGGGGAAGAGGGGAGGGATAGCATTAGGAGATATACCTAATGTAAATGACGAGTTAATGGGTGCAGCACACCAACATGGCACATGTATACATATGTAACGAACCTGCATGTTGTGCACATGTACCCTAGAACTTAAAGTATAAAAAAAAAAGAAAACTTTTAGGAAAAAAATAAGAGGAAATATTTATGATCTAGGACCAGGAAACGATTTTAGCATAGTAACAAAAAGCATGATCTGTAAAATAAAAAATTGATCAATTAGACTTCTTCAAAATAGAAACTACTCTGTGAAAAGTTCTGTTAAGAGGATAAAAAGTCAAGCTATTGATTGGGAGAAAAAATTGCAAAGAGCATATCTGACAAATTACTGGTATTTAAATTATAGAAAAAACTGTCAAAACTCAACCATAAAAAGCAAACAATCCAATTGGAATACAGGCAAAGGCCATAAGGAAGCATCTCACTGAAGAGGATATACTTCATGATGGCAAATAAGCATGCAAAAATATATTTAACATCTTTAGCCATAAGGAAATGCACATTAAAACAACAATGAGAGATCGCTGTACCTATCAGATTAGCTAAGAAAAAAACAAAATTGACAACAACAAATGATGGTGAGATGCAGAGAAACTGGATCACTCAAACATTGCTAATGAGAATGTAAAATGGCACTGTCAGTCTTTAAAATAGTTTAGTAATTCCTTAGAAAACTAAACATGCAACTACCATGCAACCCAGAAATTACACTCCTAGGCATTTGTCCCAGAGAAATAAAGACTTATGTTCTCACAAAAACTCACACACAAATATTTACAGCAGTTTTATTCATAATAGCCCCAAACTGGAAACAGCCCAGATGTGCTTCAATGGGTGACTGGTTAAAAAAAAAACTGACACATCCATGCTAGGTAATACAACTCAGCGATAAAAAGGGAAAATGTTATTGATATACACAACAACTGGGATGAATCTCCAGAGGATAATGCTGAGTGAAAATGATTATTTCATGTTGTATAATTCCATTTATATAACACTTGTGAAATGACAAAATTGTAGAAATGGAGAACGGATTAGTGGTTTCCAGCATTTAAGGAAGGAGTGAGTGTGGAAGGGAAGTGGGTGTGCCTATAAAAGGAAAGCATAATAGATCCTTGTGGTGATGCAAATGTTTCACATCTTGAATAAATAAAACTGGCAAACCATTAGCAAGATTAAACAAGAAAAGAAAACAGAAGATCCAAATAAGCTCAATTAGAAACAAAACAGGAGATATTACAACCAATACCACAGAAATACAAAAGATCATTCAAGGCTACTATGAACACCTTTATATGCACAAACTAGAAAACCTAGAGGAGATGGATAAATTCCTGGAAATATACAACCTTCCTAGATTGAACAAGGAAGAAATAGAAATTCTGAACAGACTAATAACAAGCAGCGAGACTGAAAAGGTAATTCAAAAATTGCCAACAAAAAAGTCCAGGACCAGATGGATTCACAGCTGAATTCTATCAGATACTCAAAAAAAGAATTGGTACTAATCCTATTGACACTATTCCAAAAGATAAACAGAAATTCCTCCTGAAGTCATTCTATGAAGCCAGTATCACCCTAGTACCAAAACCAGGAAGACATAACAAAAAAAGAAAACTACAGACCAATATCCCTGATGAACACAGGTGCAAAAATCCTCAATAAAATACTGCAAACTGAATCCAAAAGCATATCAAAAAAGATAATCCACCATGATCAAGTGGGCTTCATACCAAGGATACAGGGATGCTTTAACATCTGCAAGTCAATAAACAGAATTAAAAACAAAACATAATTAAATATAATTAAAAACAAAAATCACATGATCATCTCAATAGATGCAGAAAAAGCATTTGACAAAATCCAACATCCCTTTATGGTTAAAACGCTCAACAAAATGGGCATAGAAGGGACATACCTTGAGGTAATAAAAGCTATCTATGACAAACCCACAGCCAACATTATACTGAACGGGGAAATGTTGAAAGCGTTCTCCCTGAGAACTGAAACAGGACAAGGATGCCCACTTTCACCACTTCTATTCAACATACTATTGGAAGTCTTAGCCAGAACAATCAGACAAGAGAAAGAAATAAAGGGCATCCAAATCGGTGAAGAGGAAGTCAAACTGTCACTGTTTGCTAATGACATGATCATATACCTAAAAACCCTAAAGACTTATATGAAAAGCTCCTAGATTTGATAAATGAATTCAGCAGTTTCAGGATACAAAATTAATGTACACAAATCAGTAGCTCTGCTATACACCAACGGCAACCAAGCTGAGAATCAAATCAGGGACTCAACCCTTCTTAGAATAGCTACAAAAAAAAAAAATACTTAGGAATATACCTAACCAAGGAGGTGAAACACCTCTACAAGAAAAACTGCAAAACCCTGATGAAAGACATCATACATGACACAAACAAATGAAAACACATCCCATGATCATAGATGGGTAGAATCAATATTGTGAAAATGACAATACTGCCAAAACGATCTACAAATTGAATGCAATTCCCATCAAAATACCATCATCATTTTTCCCAGAACTAGAAAAAACAATTCTAACATTCATACAAAACCAAAAAAGAGCTCACATAGCCAAAGCAAGACTAAGCAGAAAGAATAAATCTAGAAGCAACACATTACCCGACTTCAAACTATACCATAAGGTCACAGTCACCAAAACAGCATGGTACTGGTATAAAAATAGGCACACAGACCAATGGAACAGAATTGAGAACCCAGAAATAAAGCCAAATACTTACAGCCAACTGATCTTTAGCAAAGCAAACAAGAACACAAAGTGGGGAAAGGACACCCACTTCAACAAATGGTGCTGGGATAATTGGCAAGTCACATGTAGAAGAATAAAACTGGATCCTCATCTCTCACCTTATACAAAAATTGATTCAAGATGAATCAAAGACTTAAACCTAAAACCTGAAACCATAATAATTCTAGTAGATAACATCAGAAAAATCCTTCTAGGCATTTGGCTTAGGCAAAGACTTCGTGACCAAGAACCCAAAAGTAAATGCAACAAAAACAAAGATAAATAGATGGGACTTAATTAAACTAAAAACCTTCCGCACAGCAAAAGAACTAGTCAGTAGAGTAAACAGGCAACCCACGGAGTGGAAGAAAATCTTTGCAATCTATACCTCTGACAAAGGACTAACATCTAGAATCTATAAGGAACTCAAACAAATCAGCAAGAAAAAAAAAACAATCCCATCAAAAATTGGGCTAAGGACATGAATAGACAATTCTCAAATGAAGATACACAAATGGCCAACAAATATATGAAAAAATGCTCAACATCACTAATTATCAGGGAAATGCAAATCAAAACCACAATGAGACACAACCTTACTCCTGCAAGAATGGCCATAATCAAAAAACCAAAAGATAATAGATGTTGGCGCCGATGTAGTGAAAAGAGAACACTCTTACTCTGCTGGTGGGAATGTAAACTGGTATAACCACTATGGAAAACAGTGCGGAGATTCCTTAAAGAACTAAAAGTGATCTACTATTTGATCCAGCAATCCCACTACAGGGTATCTACCTAGAGGAAAAAAACTCATTATATGAAAAAGATACTTGCACATGCATGTTTATAGCAGCACAGTTCACAATTGCAAAAATATGGAACCAGCCCAAATGCCCATCAATCAACGAGTGGATAAAGAAAATGTATAAATACACCATGGAATTCTACTCAGCCACCAAAAGGAATGAAATAATGGCATTTGCAGTAACCTGGATGGATTGGAGACCATTATTCTAAGTGAGGTAACTCAGAAATGGAAAAACAAACATTGTGTGTTCTCACTCATAAGTGGGAGCTAAGGATGTAAAGGCATAAGAATGACACAATGGACTTTGGGGACTCAAGGAAAAGGGTGGAAGGGGGGTTAAGGGATAAAAGACTACACACTGGGTACTGTATACACTGCTCAAGTGATGGGTGCACCAAAATCTCAGAAATCACCACTAAAGAACTTACCCTTGTAACCAGACACCACCTGTTCCCCAAATAACAAAATACAAATAAAGTAAATAAAAAATAAAACATTTTGCATTTTGAATATATCAATATTAATACCATGACTGCAATAATGTATTACAGTTTTGCAAGATATTACCATTGAGGGAAAATGGGTGAAGGGTGTAGGGATCTCTCTGCATGTGAATCTTCAATTATCTCAAAAAACAAATAATTAAAATAGTTTTTAAACAAGCAAGTCATATGTCCTGCCCACACCCAAGGGGAGAGGATTATACAAGGTTGTAAACATCAAGAGGCCAAGATCTTAGGAGTCACCCTGGAGTCTGTCCACCACAAGTAGGATGTCAACACACAGAGACAGGGTGCCATGGAATAAGGTTGCAGGGAGGGGGTCTCAGATATGGGGTCTCAGATATGGGGAACAGTACCTGAATAAGGGCTTCAACTGGGATGTTGGGGTCCTGTCCACGCAACAGGAAGTTGCCTAATTTGGTGACAGGAAATGGATCAGTAAGGGATACAGCAGGTAAGACCGTTTGAGGACAGGCGGTTGCAAGCTGTAACTACCAAAATTTGTGGCATGTATGAATGGGCACCAAAAACCTAGTTTAAATGGTAAAAGTTACGGCCATTTATCATGTTGCAGCCACATGATGGCACTGTCCTGTGTTTCTTATGAATTTCTTTGATTCCCATAACATCCCTGCAAAGGAGGTGAGGGGAAGCATTGATGGGTGGTAAGGTAGACGAAGAGGCAAATTGAAAGCCTACAGTTGTAGAAGGGAAGAGCTAAAGGAGAGTCTGGCCCTAGTTACAGGGGCAGAGCTCCAAGGCCAAGCCTTGCTGACTCCCTAGTTCTCCAGGGCTTTTCTACCTTGGATAAGGTATTTGTAACTGAGTCCTCAGTATTCTTCTATCTCCTAGCCTTATGAGGACCCTCAGCTTCATCCTGACCCTCACCCTGGATGAGCACCCTCTTTTCCTCTGTCCAGACACTATCCTAAAAGGCCCCAGTGACTGTGATACTGCCAGGCTGGATTCTTGGTTTGGACATGACTCAGTATCATGCAGAGAGCTTAGCCCTAGGGCATCTCCCATCTTGGTACATATGGAAGATCACAAATCCTGAAGCAGAGCCATTTCCATTACTCATCAAAATGTTATGGTTTGGGAAAAAGTGAAGTTTAGACACCACATAAGTGAAGCCCTTATAAAACTCCATAATTATTATCTCATGTGTACTTTAACTAAAGAAATCAAGTAAAGGGGAGAGATACATTTCCATTAATAAATCCTCCACACGCATGACTGCTTCATGAGTGTGTGAATGTGTCTCTCCAAAGGCGTGGGTGAGCGTATCCATTTTGTCAGCATGTGTGAGATAATATATTTGTGACAAACATGTGTGCATTAGTGTATCACATTTCATTCCGTTGCTCATTTATTCATACGAAAAAAGATGCTCACTTACTCTTTCTTGAGAGGGTATATGCTTTTATAAACAAACCTCAGGTTTTTTTCCTCTGGGAAACCCTGACTAATACACATTGAACTCCGATCCAGGCTAGACCCTCACATTTATCCTCACAAAAACTCTGGAGCTAAGTCTATTGTGCCTATTGCCCAAATGCAAAAACCAGATCAGCTTGAGATCATAGAGTAAGAAAGAGACAGGCAGGCCTTGAACTCCAGCTCCAGCCCACAGCGCTACTTGCAGGGAATGCTTGGTGGAGAGAGTGGAAACCATCCAGGCTTATCCTGTTACCTTCACCCCTCCATGGCATATTATGGAGAAACTGTGTGCTATATTCTTTCTCCATCTCATTTCTTTTTGGGCCTTGGCCCCTGAATTTTTTGGAATCTAAGCTATTAACATTGTTGGATGTAGGATTAAAATCTTAGAATGTTGTTTCTGGACATAATTTAGCCTGTCCTTTTTGCTGAATAGGTGAGAAAGCTGAAGGCTAGAGAAGGGAAGCTGTGAGAGGCAGACCTGGACCTAGAAGCTAGGTGTGAGAATCCTCCAGCCACACAGACCATTCCTGAAACTCTGTAGCTGTCAGGGCCTCTAATCTGTTGTTCATCAGGCCTCTCTACCAGGTCTAGATTCAGAAAGGAGCCTGGATGTGATGAGACTGACTGTCATGGTTCAGAGAATGCCACTTACCTCTTCTTTAGGGCAGCTATGGTCCCCAGAATAGAGGGAACTAGCTCCTGCTCCAAGGGGTAGTCCTTTTCCACAGGTTAGTTACCCTTAGGAGCTTGGAGCAGACCTCAGCCTCTATCCCTTCTGGTGACCTCTTCTGGCCCCTTGCAAGGGCAGGCTACTGGATGCTGAGATGACGGGCAGAAAATCATTTCTATTTGTGAAGGTATTTTTGTTTCATTAACTGTTTTGCTAGCCCCAGGAGTGATGTAAACTTTGTTTTTCTGTTCCCTGTAGAGCTCAAAGTTGAATGATATGTGGGGTTAATAAAACTAGTTCTGGCTCTAAGCCAGCTCTGGCTGGACTCATGAAGGGAAAAGCTTGTCTCCCGGAAAATGAAGGGACATTTCACTTGTTTGGCAAAGTAACTCAGATTTTGATGGGATGTTTCAGCTGACTGAAGCAGAATTAAATGAAGTTATTTTCTCCAAGTTTGAGTGGCACTTTTGTCCACATTCTGAAATGTTCCTAATTGCATATGCTGTCTTCAGTGATCCCCTCTGTCATTACTATTTAATTCAGTGCAGTTGTTGACAATGCAGTTTGTCACCATTTGTCAAGCCATCCTCTGACCCTGGTGGCATTTTACCAGGAAGGGCCCCTGTGCTCCAAGTCCCACGTTAAAACATGCCAACCCCCAGCAATTAGTGTCATGGAAAGGATCTTTCAAAGGACTGGAGATGGTCCTACACACTATAATCAATAGATGAAAATTTCATTTACCATCTTGAGTTTTATTGTATGCAATGCTGGTGGAAGAGGGCAGATAGATAGATGGAGCTCAAGAACACCCAGTCCCTTCATATGCTGCAGGTGAATTAAGTGAGTTGGACTGCCCATACTGGGGGTCATGACTTCCATTCTGCCCTCACTTGAGACTATTGGGTATGTGTCCCTCTGGATTGGGCGGGAACTTTTGTCAGTACTCTCCAGACTGCCTCCTATTTACTGCATCTTGATTTTCTGTTCTATTGAACCCTTGGAATTGATGCATCATTTAGACTGTGAATTAAATGGCCAAGGCTCTGCACAGTGGCTTTCTTGCCTCCTAAATGCCTCATTCAGCTCATAGGCATATTCTTCTGGCCTCCAGCATTGGCACATGCTGAAGCCTAAGCTATCATAGGACCCCACTGTTAGGTGTAAGGGATTGATTTACCAGGCAGGTAGTCCTGATAGAGCCACTCAGAACCCTTTTTGGGCACTGAGATTTAGACACGGGGAGGAAAAGAGTCTCTGCTTTTTGCAGAAATTTCTACAATAAGAGTTGAGCAATGCCTTGTTTCCTGCTTATGAAAAAGTTCTGTACAGATAATGAGGCCAACACAAAAACAAAGGCAGAGATAAGCGGAAAGCGGTGGGGAAAGACAGAGAGAGAGAGAAAGAAAGAGAGAGAGAGAGAACATGCAAAGATGTGCACAAGTCACTGAAGCTCCTTTGAACTCCCTACAGGGAAGCCTGCCATGGCAGCTCTTCATAGCCCAGCTTGTGTAAGAAGACAGCAAAGAACAGGCTCTAGGAATGGGATTAGATGATTTTGTTTTGTTTTGGTTTTAAATCCAACTTACTCATTCTTTGTAAGATTCTGACTTTCCTGGGCATCAGTCTCTCCAGGTATAAAATGTGAATAATGAGAGTATCTTAGATTGTTATGAGGATTAACTGGGGCACTGCATGTTGATTCGTACCTAGTCAATACTCAGAAAATTCTAGCTATTAATATTCTCATAGTTAGTGTCATTCTTTCTTTGGCTGTCTTTGTCACAAACCAAGGACTGTGTGAGGCACACCAGGCTGGGATTGTGATCTGCACTCTTAGAAAGACTTAGGGTGAAGAAAGCCAGAATGAAGTGGATGTAGGGTTTTTGTTTTAATTGAAATGAAAGTTGAAAGGACATTGCAAAGGATCCTGGAGTCCAGGAGGATTAGAATTGGAAGTGATCTCGGGGACATGGGAACAGCTTGCTCAAGTTCTCAAAGCAAGTTGGGGCCACAAGACCAGGAGAAGACCCCAAAGGCACTGACCCTAGGCCTGGTTTCCTTCTTATCTCAGGTTTACTCTTGGATTTTATTTGAGGCTCCCAGTGGATTAGACGGTTTCAATGTTTCTATTTTATAGATAAGGAGATGGAGGCCTGGGTTGTTGGCAGGGCTGACTCAGGAAGCTAGGCTTTTTGACTTTGGTGCTTTCTCCTTTCCAAGAGATCCCACCGCCTCTGTCATGATCATTGATTTCCATCTCATGTTGATTGGGAAACCCTCCGCTATTGGCTGATGGTATCATCAGAGGCAAATTGATGTTGACAGTCAACAGCCTTGATTGCCACAATAGCTCAGGTGTATTTCACTCTGCTCCTCCTATTACCAGCCCTAGACAGAGCTGGTGGCAATTGCAGGCTCCAGTTGTTTGATTTATGCTGCTTATTTACTTTTCCTCAGAAAGAAACTTAAGGAGAGAAACTGTACCACTAGGCCTGTCGGCTCCTGAGTGGCAATGGAAGAAGCTAAATAAAACATTGTTTAACTAAAAAACTGGCACAACAAAATTGAGCATGATCAAGAGAGAGACTGAGCAGATCCAGCGTGGGACCATGGAAAAAGTGCAGACTCTGGATCTGCAGAGAGAGCTGTTCTCCTATCTCTGCCCAGCTATTGACCTCTGCATAATGCCAGTAGGCCAGTCCACTCTATCTTGGAAAGGAATATAACGCACTGGCTAAGAATAAGTTAGCTGTAGCATCAAGCTGCCTGGATTCACATACTTGAAATACCACCTAGCAGTGAGATTTTGGACAATTTCCCTTAGCTGCTTTGTGCCTCAATTTCTCATCTTTAAAATGGGCATAATGATTCTCCCTACATTATGGGGTTGATGGAAGTATTAAATAACATACATAGTCAACATCCAGTGTTAGAATGGTACCTAACACAGAGCAAACTCTCAAGTCATGAGAACTAGTCTTTAAGAATAATCATCTCAGGGTATATATACTACAAGTAGAGCATCACTCATGGTTCTCCCGGTAGGTAATAAAAAAGGGGACACCTTTTCCCAGCGAACTTCCAGATCAGAGCAGAGAGCAGTCAAGGTCATAGAAGAAATAGTGCCACACAAGGTAGAGGGTGAAGATAACTTGTGATAACCAAGCTCTTACCACCGGCCAGGTGCTGCATCTACAGTGTCTTGATTCTTGCTACATCCCTATGCTTGTTGAGCTGGTTCCATCTTCAAGATGTAAGAACTAAGGCTCAGGAGGGCTGTACAGCTAGAAAGGATGGTGCTTACATTAAAACTGATGATGTTCTAACCCCAAGTTTATGTATTTTCCACAGTGCTAAGATGGCAGAGGGTTATAAACAGTTAGATTAAGGTATTTGTGAAGGCTTCAAGGAGGAGGTAGCCTTTGAACTTTTCTGGAAGGGAGGGAAAAGCTAATCAATGTAGAGGCTCTGGATGGGCATTTTGAGGCAGAAAGGACAGGATTCATATGGCCTGTGAGGGGAATAGAACTGGCATCCAAGACGTGCACAAGGTCAGGTCTTGAGCCATTCCAAAATTGTCAAAATGTAGATTTCCTGCTCCCCACCCAAGAAGCTGTGGCCCAATAGATCAGAAGTGTGACCCCAGGAGGGTGCATTTTAACAAGCTCTCCTGAAGGCAGTCAAATACAAGTGGTCTCAGAACCACATTTGGAGAAATTCTGGTGCAGGGATTAGAGAATGATGAAACTGCAAATGTGGGTTGGGGCAGATATTGTGGTAGAGTCGGTGGGTTTGCAGGGGGTATTCCTATAAATTTTACAGATAAATCAATGAAAGAAGCAATAGAAAATAGGAGGCATTCATCTGGTTCAGCAGCCTGAGCCACCCCACCCTTCCTGAATATAGATGGTGGTGCAGAAGGTGCTCTCTGCTCCACGCTCAGGCAGATCTCCAGGCATTCAGAGAGCATCTGCTCACCTGAAGCAGCAGCCTCAGTCATCCCACCCCTCCTATCCAGAAATCTTGGTACAGTGGCGGGGTGGGTGGCTCTCCACTACATGCCCAGGTACATCTCCAGGCATCTGGAACACCCACTCTCCTGGACTTAGAGCTTAGGCCACTCCCAGTCCCCATGCAGAGAACTTGGGGCCAAGAAGGTTTCCAAGCTCCATGCCTAGGCAAGCTTTTGGGTGCTTGGTGGCCTTCCGCTGGATTTTCCCTAGCCACTGGTGCTTGTACTTGCCACTGGGGGACCTGTAGGTGGGCCTGCCTGGTCTGGTTCTCCCCTTCATGGCCCCCACTCTCCTGAGGCTGAGCAGGAAGCTCAGACCAATTGGCATTCCATGAATTAACCCATTGCCTGAAGCAACCGAGGGCTCCTCTCCATAAACAAAGTATATACTCAGCCATGTTGCCCACAGTTGGCTCTCACCTATATGTGCCATCTATAGTCTCTCAGATTGAACTGCACATCCCAATATAAAATCTGCTGAAAGAATTGCAGAGATATAGAAGCAAAGCCAAAAGACCCTACCGAACATTCTCTACAGTCACACAACCTAGGAAAGGGGGAAAGAGAAAGAAAAATAATTAAAAATATTATAGAGCAAGAAAGAAAAAGGAAAAATTCTACCTGCACAAAAATAATTACAAAAATCTGAAGTGTCAGCATCTCCACATGAGAGGGTACCAGTGTAAGAATTCTGGCACCATAAAAAATCTGAATGTAGTGATACCACCAAAAGATTGCTCTAGCTCTCCAGAAATAGTCCCTAACCCAAATGAAAACTCAGAAATGACACATAAAGAATTCGAAGCATGGATTGCAAGGAAGTTCAATGAGATCCAAGACAAGGTGGAAAATCAACACAAAGAAACTCATAAAGCAATTGAAAAACTCACCTAAGGATTTAAAAAATACAATTGAAAGATTTCCCAATAGACTGGACAAAGCAGAGAAAGAATTCAGAGCCTGAAGACTGGTCTTTCTAACTAACCCAGTCAGATGAAAATAAAGAAAAAATAATTTTAAAAAATGAGCAAAGTCTTCAAGAAATATGGAATTGTGTGAAGTAATGAAACCTATGAATTATTGATGAATTATTGGCGTTCCTGAGAGAGACTGAGAAAAAGAAAACAATTTGGAAAGCATACTTGAGGGAATATATTCAAGAAAACTTTCTTATTCTTGCTAGAGATAGACATCCAGATACAAGAAATCCAGAGAGCACCTGCAAGATACTATACAACATGGACATCATCAAGGGATGTAGTTGCCAGACTGTCAAAAGTCAATGCTAAAAAAAAAGTCCTAAAGGCAGCTAGAGAAAAAAGTCAGATCACATACAAAGGAAACCCCATCAGGTTAACAGTGGGTTTCTCAGCAGAAACTTTACAAGCCAGGAGAGACTGGGGCCTTATTTTCAGCATTCTTAAAGAAAAGAAAATCCAACCAAGAATTTCATATGCCACCAAACTAAGCTTCATAAGGAAAGGAGAGAAAAAAATCATTTCCAGACAAGCAAGTGCAAAGGGAATTCATTACTACTAGACAACCCTGACAAGAGACCCTTAAGAGAGTACTAAATATAAAACTGACGGAGCAGCCAGAAACAGCTCCAGTCTGCAGGTCCCAGTGAGACCAACGCAGAAGGCAGGGATTTCTGCATTTCCAACTGAGGTACCCAGTTGATCTCACTGGGCCTGGTTAGGCAGTGGGTGCAGCTCGAGAAGGGCTAGAAGAAGCAGGGTGGGGCATTGCCTCACCTGGGAAGTGCAAGGAGCCAGGGGACCTCCCTCTCCCAGCCAAGGGAAGCCATGAGGGACTGAGCTACTGGATACTATGTTTTTCCCATGGTTTTTGCAATCCACAGATAAGGAGATTCCCTCATGTGCCCAAACCACCAGGGACCTGGGTTTCAAGCACAAAACTGGGCAGCTGTTTGGGCAGACACTGAGCTAGCTGCAGGAGTTTTTTGCTTACCCCAGTGGCATCTGGAACCCCAGAGAGACGGAACCATTCACTCCCCTGGAAAGGGGGCTGAAGCCAGGGAGCCAAGTGGTCTCGCTCAGCGGGTACCACTCCCATGGAGCGCAGCAAGCTAAGAACCACTGGCTTGAAACTCTCAACTGCCAGCACAGCAGTATGAAGTCGACCTGGGACAATCAAGCTTGGTTAGGGGAGGGGTATATGCCATTACTGAGGCTTTAGTAGGTGGTTTTCCCCTGACAGTGCTAAGGAGGCTGGGAGGTTTGGACTGGGCGGAATTCACCAGAGCACAGCAAAGTGGCTATGGCCAGACTGCTTCTCTAGATTCCTCCTCACTGGGCAGGGCACCTCTGAAGGAAATGCAGCAGCTTCAGTCAAGGGCTTACAGATAAAACTACCATACCACTGGGACAGAGCACTTGGGGGAAGGGGCGGCTGTGGGGGCAGCTTCAGTGGATTTAATCTTTTCTGCTTGCTGGCTCTGAAGAGAGAAGCTGATCCTGACATGAAGAATTCTCCCAGCACAGTGCACCAGCTCTGCTAAGGGAAAGACTACCTCTTCAAGTGGGTCCCTGACCCCCATGCCTCCTGACTAGGAGAGACCTCCCAACAGGGGTCAACAGGCACCTCATACAGGAGAGCTCCAGCTTACATCAGGCCAGTGCCCCTCTGAGACGAAGCTTCTAGAGGAAGGAACAGGCAGCAATTTTTGCTGTTCTGCAGGCTTCACAGGTGATAACAAGGTGAACAGGGTCTGGAGTGGACCTCCAGCGAACTCCAGCAGACATGCAGAAGAGGGACATGACTGTTAAAAGAAAAACTAAAAAACAGAAAGCAACAATACCAACATCAACAAAAAGGACCCCCACACAAAAACCCAATCCAAAGGTCATGAGGCTCAAAGACTAAGGTAGGTAAATCCACAAAGATGATGCAAAAATGCTGAAAAGTCCTAAAACCAAAGTGCCTCTTCTCCTCCAAATGATCGCAACTCCTCTCCAACAAAGACACAAAACTAGACAGAATGAGACTGATGAATCGACAGAAGTAGGCTTAAGAAGGTGGGTAATAAAAAACACCTCTGAGCTGAAGGAGCATGTTCTAACCCAATGCAAGGAAGCTAAGAACTTGATAAAAGGTTACAGGAACTGGTAACTAGAATAATCAGTTTAGAGAGGAATATAAAAGACCTGACGCAGCTGAAAAACACAGAATGAAAATGTTGTGAAGCATATACAAGTATGAATAGCCAAATCAATCAAGTGGAAGAAAGAATATCAGAGATTGAAGATGAACTTACTGAAATAAGGCATGAAGACAAGATTTGAGAAAAAAGAATGAAAAGGAATGAACAAAGCTCCCAAGAAATATGGGACTATGTGAAAAGACCAAACCTATGATTGGTTGATGTACCTGAAAGTGACAAGGAGAATGGAAGCAAGTGACAAGGAGAATGGAAGCAAGTGACAAGGAGAATGGAAGCAAGTTTGAGATATTATTTAGGAGAACTTCCCCAAACTAGCAAGACAGGCCAACATTCAAATTCAGGAAATACACCACAAAGATACTCCTCGAGAAGACCAACCCCAAGACACATAATTGTCAGATTCTCCAAGGTTGAAATGAAGGCAAAAATGTTAAGGGCAGCTGGAAAGAAAGGTCAGGTTACCTACAAATGGAAGCCCATCAGACTAACAGTGAATCATTCTGCAGAAACCCTACAAGCTAGAAGAGAGTGTGGGGCCAATATTAAACATTCTTAAAGAAGAAAATTTTCAACCCAGAATTTCATATCCAGCCAAATTAAGCTTCATAAGCAAAAGAGAAATAAAATCCATTCCAGACAGGCAAATGCTGAGGGATATTGTTACCACCAGGCTGGCTTATGGAAAGGAAAAACTGGTACCAGCCACTGCAAAAACAAACCAAAATATAAACACCAAAGACACCATGAAGAAACTGCATTGGGCGGTTCCAAGATGGCCAAATAGTAACAACTCCAGTCTACATCTCCCAGCATCAGTGACTCAGAAGACAGGTGATTTCTGCATTCCCAACCGAGGTATTGGGTTCATCTAACTGGGGCTTGTTGGACAGTGGGTGTAGGACAGTAGGTGCAGCGCACCAAGTATGAGCCGAAGCAGGGCAAGGCATCACCTCACCCGGGAAGTGCAAGGGGTCAGGGAATTCCCTTTCCTAGCCAAGCAAAGCTGTGACAGACGGCACCTGGAAAATCGGGTCACTCCCACCGTAATACTGTGCTTTTCCAATGGTCTTAGCAAACGGCATACCAGGAGATTATATCCCGTGCCTGGCTTGGAGGGTCCCATGCCCACGGAGCCTCACTCATTGCTAGCACAGCAGTCAGAGATTGAACTGCACGGTGGCAGCAAGGCTGGGGGAGGGGCGCCCACCATTGCTGAGGCTTGAGTAGGCAAACAAAGCGGCCAGGAAGCTTGAACTGGGTGGAGCCCACCACAGCTCAAGGAGGCCTGCCTGCCTCTGTAGACTCCACCTCTGGGGGCAGGGCATAGCCAAACAAAAGGCAGCAGAAACCTCTGCAGACTTAAAAGTCCCTGTCTGACAGCTTTGAAGAGACTGGTGGTTCTCCCAGCACGGAGTTTGAGATCTGAGAACGGACAGACTGCTTCCTCAAGTGGGTCCCTGACCCCGGAGTAGCCTAACTGGAAGGCACCCCCCAGTAGGGGCAGACTGACACCTCACACGGCCGGGTACCCCTCTGAGATGAAACTTCCAGAGGAACGATCAGGCAGCAACATTTGCTGTTCACCAATATCTGCTGTTCTGCAGCCTCCACTGCTGATACCCAGGCAAACAGGGTCTGGAGTGGACCTCCAGCAAACTCCAACAGACCTGCAGCTGAGGGTCCTGTCTGTTAGAAGGAAAACCAACAAACAGAAAGGACATCCACACCAAAACCCCATCTGTATGTCACCATCATCAAAGACCAAAGGTAGATAAAACCACAAAGATGTGGAAAAAACAGAGCAGAAAAACCGGAAACTCTAAAAATCAGAGAGCCTCTCCTCCTAAGGAACGCAGCTCATCACCAGCAACAGAAGAAAGCTGGACGGAGAATGACTTTGACAAGTTGAGAGAAGAAGGCTTCAGACGATTAAACTTCTCCGAGCTACAGGAGGAAGTTTGAACCCATCGCAAAGAAGCTAATAACCTTGAAAAAAGATTACATGAATGGCTAACTGGAATAACCAATGCAGAGAAGTCCTTAAAGGACCTGATGAAGCTGAAAACCATGGCACGAGAACTACATGATGAATGCACAAGCTTCAGTAGCCGATTCGATCAACTGGAAGAAAGGGTATCACTGATGGAAGACAAAATGAATGAAATGAAGCGAGAAAAGAAGTTTAGAGAAAAAAGAATAAAAAGAAACAAACAAAGCCTCCAAGAAATATAGGACTATGTGAAAAGACCAAATCTACGTCTGATTGGTGTACCTGAAAGTGACGGCAACAATGGAACCAAGTTGGAAAACACTCTGCAGGATATTATCCAGGAGAACTTCCCCAACCTACCAAGGCAGGCCAACATTCAATTTCAGGAAATACAGACAACGCCACAAAGATACTCCTTGAGAAGAGCAACTCCAAGACACATAATTGTCAGATTCACCAAAGTTGAAATGAAGGAAAAAAGGTAGCCAGAGAGAAAGGTCGGGTTACTTACAAAGGGAAACCCATCAGATTAACAGTGGATCTCTCAGCAGAAACTCTACAAGCCAGAAGAGAGTGGGGGCCAATATTCAACATTCTTAAAGAAAAGAATTTTCAACCCGGAATTTCATATCCAGCCAAACTAAGCTTCATAAGTGAAAGAGAAATAAAATCCTTTGCAGACAAGCAAATGCTGAGAGATTTTGTCACCACCAGGCCTGCCCTACAAGAGCTCCTGAAGGAAGCACTAAATATGGAAAGGAAAAACTGATACCAGCCACTGCAAAAACATGCCAAATTGTAAAGACCATCGATGCTAGGAAGAAATTGCAGCAACTAACAAGCAAAATAACCAGCTAACATCATAATGACAGGATCAAACTCACATATAACAATATGAACCTTAAATGTAAATGGGCTAAATGCTCCAATTAAAAGACACAGACTGGCAAATTGGATAAAGAGTCAAGACCCATCAGTGTGCTATATTCAGGAGACCCATCTGACAGGCGGAGACACACATAGGCTCAAAATAAAGGGATGGAGGAAGATCTACCAAGCAAATGGAAAACAAAAAAAAGGCAGGGATTGCAATCCTAGTCTGTGATACAGCAGACTTTAAACCAACAAAGATCAAAAGAGACAAAGAAGGCCATTACATAATGGTAAAGGGATCAATTCAACAAGAAGAACTAACTATCCTAAATATATATGCACCCAATACAGGAGCACCCAGATTCATAAAGCAAGTCCTTAGTGACTTACAAAGAGACTTAGACTCCCACACAATAATAATGGGAGACTTTAACACCACACTGTCAACATTAGACAGATCAATGAGACAGAAAGTTAACAAGGATATCCAGGAATTGAATTCAGCTCTGCACCAAGTGGACCTAACAGACATCTACAGAACTCTCCACCCCAAATCAACAGAATATACATTCTTCTCAGCACCACGTCGCACTTATTCCAAAATTGACCACATAATTGGAAGTAAAGAACTCCTCAGCAAATGTAAAAGAACAGAAATTATAACAAACTATCTCTCAGACCACAGTGCAATCAAACTAGAACTCAGGATTAAGAATCTCACTCAAAACCGCTCAACTACATGGAAACTGAACAACCTGCTCCTGAATGACTACTCGGTACATAACTGAATGAAGGCAGAAATAAAGATGTTCTTTGAAACCAAAAAGAAAAAAGGCACAACATGCCAGAATCTCTGGGACACATTCAAAGCAGTGTGTAGAGGGAAATTTATAGCACTAAATGCCCACAAGGGACAGCAGGAAAGATCCAAACTTGACACCCTAACATCACAATTAAAAGAACTAGAGAAGTAAGAGCAAACACATTCAAAAACCAGCAGAAGGCAAGAAATTACTAAGATCAGAGCAGAACTGAAGGAGACAGAGACACAAAACACCCTTCAAAAAATCAATGAATCCAGGAGCTGCTTTTTTGAAAAGATCAACAAAATTGATAGACCGCTAGCAAGACCAATACAGAAAAAAAGAGAGAAGAATCAAATAGACGTAATAAAAAATGATAAAGGGAATATCACCACCGATCCCACAGAAATACAAACTACCATCAGAGAATACTATAAACACCTCTATGCGAATAAACTAGAAAATCTAGAAGAAATGGATAAATTCCTCGACATATACACCCTCCCAAGACTAAACCAGGAAGAAGCTGAATCTCTGAATAGACCAATAACAGGCTCTGAAATTGAGGCAATAATTAATACGTTACCAACCAGAAAAAGTCCAAGGCCAGACGGATTCACAGCCAAATTCTACCAGAGGTACCAGGACGAGCTGGTACCATTCCTTCTGAAAGTATTCCAATCAATAGAAAAAGAGGGAATCCTCCCTAACTCAATTTATGAGGCCAGCATCATCCTGATACCAAAGCCTGGCAGAGACACAACCAAAAAAGAGAATTTTAGACCAATATCCCTGATGAACATCAATGCAAAAATCCTCAATAAAATACTGACAAACCGAATCCAGCAGCACATCAAAAAGCTTATCCACCATGATCAAGTGGGCTTCATCCCTGGGATGCAAGGCTGGTTCAACATATGCAAATCAATAAATGTAATCCCGCATATAAACAGAACCAAAGTCAAAAACCACATGATTATCTCAACAGATGCAGAAAAGGCCTTTGACAAAATTCAACAGCCCTTCATGCTAAAAACTCTCAATGAATTAGGTATTGATGGGACGTATCTCAAAATAGTAAGAGCTATCATGACAAACCCACAGCCAATATCATACTGAAAGGGCAAAAACTGGAAGCATTCCCTTTGAAAACTGGCACAAGACAGGGATGCCCTCTCTCACCACTCCTATTCAACATAGTGTTGGAAGTTCTGGCCAGGGTAATCAGGCAGGAGAAAGAAATAAAGGGTATTCAATTAGGAAAAGAGGAAGTCAAATTGTCCCTGTTTGCAGATGACATGATTGTATATTTAGAAAACCCCATTGTCTCAGCTCAGAATCTTCTTAAGCTGATAAGCAACTTCAGCAAAGTCTCAGGATACAAAAATCAATGTGCAAAAATCACAAGCATTCTTATACACCAATAACAGACAAACAGAGAGCCAAATCATGAGTGAACTCCCATTCACAATTGCTTCAAGGAGAATAAAATACCTAGGAATCCAACTTACAAGGGATGTGAAGGACCTCTTCAAGGAGAAGTACAAACCACTGCTCAATGAAATAAAAGAGGACACAAACAAATGGAAGAACATTCCATGCTCATGGATAGGAAGAATGAATATCATGAAAATGGCTGTACTGCCCAAGGTAATTTATCGATTCAATGCCATCCCCATCAAGCTACCAGTGACTTTCTTCACAGAATTGAAGAAAATTACCTCAAAGTATGGAACCAAAAAAGAGCCCGCATTGCCAATTCAATCCTAAGCCAAAAGAACAAAGATGGAGGCATCATGCTACCTGACTTGAAACTATACTACAAGGCTACAGTAACCAAAACAGCACGGTACTGGTACCAAAACAGAGATATAGATCAATGGAACAGAACAGAGCCCTCAGAAATAATACCACACATCTACAACCATCTGATCTTTGACAAACCTGACAAAAACAAGAAATGGGGAAAGGATTCCCTATTTAATAAATGGTGCTGGGAAAACTGGCTAGCCATATGTAGAAAGCTGAAACTGGATCCCTTCCTTACACCTTATACAAAAATTAATTCAAGCTGGATTAAACACTTAAATTGTAGACCTAAAACCATAAAAACCCTAGAAACAAACCTAGGCAATACCATTCAGGCCATAGGCATAGGCAAGGACTTCATGACTAAAACACCAAAAGCAATGGCAACAAAAGCCAAAATTGACAAATGGGATCTAATTAAACTAAAGAGCTTCTGCACAGCAAAAGAAACTACCATCAGAGTGAACAAGCAACCTACAGAATGGGAGAAAATTTTTGCAATCTACTTATCTGACAAAGGGCTAATATCCAGAATCTACAAAGAACTGAAACAAATTTACAAGAAACAAACAAACAACCCCATCAACAAGTGGGCGAAGGATATTAACAGACACCTCTCAAAAGAAGACATTTATGCAGCCAACAGACATGAAAAAATGCTCATCATCACTGGCCATCAGAGAAATGCAAATCAAAACCACAATGAGATACCATCTCACACCAGTTAGAATGGCAATCATTAAAAAGTCAGGAAACAACAGGTGCTGGAGAGGACGTGGAGAAATAGGAACACTTTTACACTGTTGGTGGGACTGGAAACTAGTTCAACCACTGTGGAAGACAGTGTGGCGATTCCTCAGGGATCTAGAATTAGAAATACTATTTGACCCAGCCATCCCATTACTGGGTATATACCCAAAGGATTATAAATCATGCTGCTATAAAGACACATGCACATGTATGTTTATAGCAGCACTATTCTCAACAGCAAAGACTTGGAACCAACCCAAATGTCCATCAATGATAGACTGGATTAAGAAAATATGGCACATATACACCATGGAATACTATGCAGCCATAAAAAAGGATGAGTTCATGTCATTTTTAGGGACATGGATGAAGCTGGAAACCATCATTCTCAGCAAACTATTGCAAGGACAAACAACCAAACACTGCATGTTCTCACTCACAGTTGGGAATTGAACAATGAGAACATTTGGACACAGGAAGGAGAACATCACACACCGGGGCTTGTTGTGGGTTGAGGGAAGGGGAGAGGGATAGCATTAGGAGACATACCTAATGTACATGACAAGTTAATTGGTGCAGCACACCAACATGGCACATGTATACCTATGTAACAAACCTGCATGTTGTGCACATGTACCCTAGAACTTAAAGTATAATAATAATAAAAAAAGAAAACCAAAAAGAAAGAAACTGCATCGACTAATGTGCAAAATAACCAGCTAGCATCATGATGACAGGATCAAATTCACACACAACAATATTAACCTTAAATGTAAATGGGCTAAATGTCCCAATTAAAAGGCACAGCCTGGCAAATTGGATAAAGAGTCAAGACTTATCTCTGTGCTGTACTCAGGAGACTCATCTCATGTGCAAAGACACACATGGCCTCAAAATAAAGGAATGGAGGAATATCCATCAAACAAATGGAAAGCAAAAAAAAAAAGCAGGGGTTGCAATGCTAGTCTCTGATAAAAGAGACTTTAAACCAACAAAGATCAAAAAAAGACAAAGGAGGGCATTACATAATGGTAAAGGGATCAATGCAACAAGAGCTAACTATCCTAAATATATATGCACCGAATACAGGAGCACCCAGATTCATAAAACAAGTTCTTATAGACCTACAAGGAGACTTAGACTCCCAAACAATAATAGTTGGAGACTTTAACACCCCACTGTCAATATTAGACAGATCAATGAGAAAGAAAATTAACAACAATATTCAGGACTTGAACTCAGCTCTGGATCAAGCTGACCTAATAGACATCTACTGAAATGTCCACCTAAATCGATAGAATATACATTCTTCTCAGCACCACATAGCACTTATTCTAAAATCGACCATATAACTGGAAGTAAAACATGCCTCAGCAAATGCAAAATAACGGAAATCGTAACAAACAGTTTGTCAGACCACAGCGCAATCAAATTACAACTCAGGATTAAGAAACTCCCTCAAAACTGCACAACGACATGGAAAGTGAAAAACCTGCTCCTGAATTACTACTGTGTAAATAATGAAATCAAAGCGGAAATAACGAAGTTCTTTCAAACCAATGAGAACAAAGGGAAAACATATCAGAATCCCTGGGACACAGCTAAAGCAGTGTTAAGAGAGAAATTTATAGCACTAAATGCCCACAAGGGACAGCAGGAAAGATCTAAAATTGACACCCTAACATTGTAATTAAAAGAACTCGGGAAGCAAGAGCAGACAAATTCAAAAGCTAGCAGAAGACAAGAAATAACTAAGATCAGAGCAGAACTGAAGGAGACAGAGACACGAAAAACCCTTCAAAAAGTCAGTGAATCCAGGAGCTGGTTTTTTTGAAATGATTAACAAAATAGATAGACCGCTAGCAAGACTAATAAAGAAGAAAAGAGAGAATAATCAAATAGACACAATAAAAAATGATAAGAGATATCACCACCGATCCCACAAAAATACAAACTAGCATCAGAGAATATTATAAACACCTCTATGAAAATAAACTACAAAATCTAGAAGAAATGGATAAATTTTTGGACACATACATCCTCCCAAGACTAAACCAGGAAGAAGTTGAATCCCTGAATAGACCAATAACAAGTTCTGAAATTGAGGCAGTAATTAATAGCCTACCAACCAAAAAAGCCCAGGACCAGACGGATTCACCGCCGAATTCTACAAAGAGGAGCTGGTACCATTCCGAAACTATTACAAACAATAGAAAAAGAGGGACTACTCCCTAACTCATTTTATGAGTCCAACATTATCCTGATACCAAAACCTAGCAGAGACATAGCAAAAAAAGAAAATTTCAGGCCAATATCCCTGATGAACATCAATGCAAAAATCCTCAATAAAATACTGGCAAACCGAATCCACCAGCACATCAAGAAGCTTATCCAACACGATCAAGTCCCCTTCATCCCCGGGATGCAAGGCTGGTTCAACATACACAAATCAATAAACATAATCCATCACATAAATAGAACCAATGACAACAACCACATGATTATCTCAATAGATGCATAAAAGGCCTACAATAAAATTCAACATCCCTTCATGCTAAAAACTCTCAATAAACTAGGTATTGATGGAACATATCTCAAAATAATAAGAGCTATTTATTTCAAACCCATAGCCAATATCATAGTGAATGGCAAAAGCTGGAAGCATTCCCTTTGAAAACCAGCCTAAGGATGCCCTCTCTCACCACTCCTATTCAACTTAGTATTGGGAGTTCTGGCTAGGGCAATCAGGCAAGAAAATGAGTATTCAAATAGGAAGGGAGGAAATCAAATTGTCTCTTGCTGCAGATGACATGACTGTATATTTAGAAAACCCCATCATCTCAGCCCCAAAACTCCTTAAGCTGATAAGCAACTTCAGCAAAGTCTCAGGATACAACATCCATGTGTATAAATCACAAGCAGTGCTATCCACCAATAAAAGACAAGCAGAGAGCCAAATCATGAGTGAACTCCCATTCACAATTGCTACAAAGAGAATAAAATACCTAGGAATACAACTTACAAGGGCATGAAGGACCTCTTAAAGGAGAACTACAAACCACTGCTCAAGGAAATAAGAGAGGACACAACCAAATGGAAAAACACTCAATGCTAATGGATAGAAAGAATTAATATGAAAATGGCCACACTGCCCAACGTAATTTATAGATTCAGTGCTGTTCCCATCAAGCTACCATTGGCTTTCCTCACAGAACCAGAATAAAAAACTATTTTAAATTTCATATAGAACCAAAAAAGAGCTCGTAGAGCCAAGACAATCCAAGGCAAAAAGAACAAAGCTGGAGGCATCACACTACCTGACTTGAAACTATACTACAAAGCTGCAGAAACGAAAACAGCATGGCCCTAGCACCAAAACAGATATATAGACCAATGGAACAGAACAGAGGCCTCAGAAATAACACCACACATCTACAATCATCTGATCTTTGACAAACCTGACAAAAACAAGCAATGAGGAAAGGATTCCCTATTTAATAAATGGTGTTGAGAAAACTGTCTAGCCATATGCAGAAAACAAACTGGACCCCTCCCTTACACCTTATTCAAAAATTAACTCAAGATGGATTAAAGACTTAGACGTAAAACCAAAAATCATAAAAACCCTAGAAGAAAACCTAAGCAATACCATTCAGGACATAGGCATGGGCAAAGACTTCATGACTAAAATAACAAAAGCAATGGCAACAAAAGCCAAAATTGACAAATGGGATCTAACTAAAGAGCTTCTGCACAGCAAAAGAAACTATCATCAGAGTGAACACACAAATTACAGAATGGGAGAAAATTTTTGCAATGTATCCATCTAACAAAGGTCTAATATTCAGAATCTAAAACGAACATAAACAAATTTACAAGAAAAAACAAACAACCCCAGCAAAAAGTGGGTGAAGGATATGAACACACACTTCTCAAAAGAAGACATTTATGTGGCCAACAAACATATGAAAAAAAGCTCATCATCACTGGTCATTAGAGAAATGTAAATCAAAACCACAATGAGATACCATTTCTTGCCAGTTAAAACAGCAATCATTAAAAAGTCAGGAAACAACAAATGCGGGAGAGGATGTGGAGAAATAGGAACACTTTTACACTGTTGGTGGGAGTGTAAATTAGTTCAACCATTGTGGAAGACAGTGTGGCAATTCCTCAAGGAAGTAGAACCAGAAATACCATTTGATCCAGCAATCCCATTACTGGGTATATACCTAAAGGAGTATAAATCATCTACTATAAAGACACATGCACACATATGTTTAATGCAGCACTATTTACAATAACAAAGACTTGGAACCAACCCAAATGCCCATCAATGATAGACTGGATAAAGAAAATGTGGCACATATGCACCATGGAATACTATGCAGCCATAAAAAAGAATGAGTTCATGTCCTTTGCAGGAACATGGATGAAGCTGGAAACCATCATTCTCAGCAAACTAACACAGGAACAGAAAAACAAACACCACATGTTCTCTCTCATAAGTGGGAGCTGAACAAGGAGAAAACATGGAGACAGGGAGGGGAACATCATACACCCATGCCTGTCAGGAGGTGGGGGGCAAGGGGAGGGAGAGCATTAGGACAAATACCTAATGCATGTGGGGCTTAAAACCTAGATGACAGGTTGATACGTGCAGCAAATCACCATGGCACACGTATTCTTATATAACAAACCTGCACGTTCTGCACATTTATCCCAGAACTTAAAGTAAAATTTAAAAAAAGAAAAAAAAATCTAAAAAAAATCATATGGAATCAAAAAAGAGCCTGAATAGCCAAGGCAATCCTAAGTAAAATGAACGAAGCCAGAGGCATCATATTACCTCATCTTAAATTACACTATGAGGCTACAATAAGCAAAACCACGTGCTACTGATGCCAAAACAGACACATAGACCAATGAAATAGAATACACAGTCCAGAAATAATGCTGCACACTTCACACCTATTATCATCTGATCTTCAACAAAGTTGACAAAAACAAGCAATGTAGAAAGGACTCCCTATTCAACAAATGGTGCTGGGATAACTGGCTAGCTATATGCAAAAGATTGAAACTGGACCACTTTTTACACAAAAATTAATTAAAGATGGATTAAGAACTTAAACGTAAAACCCAAAACTATAAAAATCCTGGAAGACGACCTAGGCAATATCATTCTGGACATAGGAAAGGACAAAGATTTCATACCGAAGATGCCAAAATCAATTGCAATAAAAGCAAAAATTGACAAATGGGATCTAATAAAACTAAAGAGCTTCTGCACAGCAAAGAAACCATCCAGAGAGTGAACACAACACACAGAATGGAAGAAAATTATGGCAAACTGTGCATCTGTTTAAAGTCTAGTATCCAGCCTCTATAAGGAACTTAAACAAATTTACAAATAAACAAACAAACAAACAAAAACGACAGGCCAGGCTCAGTGGTTCACGCCTGTAATCCCAGCACTTTGGAAGGCCAAGGCAGGCAGATTACTTGAGGCCAGGAGTTCGAGACCAGCCTGGCCAACGTGGCAGAACCCCATCTCTACCAAAAATACAAAAATCAGATGGGCGTGGTGGTGCACACCTGTAATCCCAGCTACTAGGGGAGGGCTGAGGCAGTAGGATCGCTTGAACATGGAAGGCAGAGGTTGCAGTGAGTGGAGATCGCACCACTGCACTCCAACCTGGGCAAGAGTCTGAGATTCTGTCTCAAAAAACAAACAAAACAAAAAAAAAATACCTTTAAAAACTGGGCCAAGGATATGAACACTTTCAAAAGAAGACATGCATGCAGCCAACAAGCATATGAAATAAAACTCAACATCACTGATCATTAGAGAAATGCAATTCAAACCACAATGAGATATCATCTCACACGAGTCAGAAAGGCTATCATTAAAAAATAAAAAAAAAATAATAACAGATGCTGGTGATGTTATGGAGAAAAAGAAACACTTACTCACTGTTGGTGGAAGTGGAAATTAGTTCAACCATGGTGGGAAACAGTGTGGTGATTCCCCAAAGACCTAAAAACAGAACTACCATTCCATCCAGCAATCCCATTACTGGGTATATAGCCAAATGAATATAAATTGTTCTATCATAAAGACACATGCACACACGTGTTCACTGCAGCACTATTAACAATACCAAAAACATGGAATCAACCTAAAAGCTTATCAATGGTAGACTGGATAAAAAGAAATGTAGCACACATATACCATTGAACAGTATGCAGCCATAAAAATGAATGACATTATATCCATTGATGGAACATGGATGGAGCTAGAGGTCATTATACTTAGCAAAGTAATGCAGGAACAGAAGACTAAATATTGCATGTTCTCACTTATAAGTGGGAGCTAAAAATGAGAAAAAACGGACACATAGAGGAGAACAACAGGCACTGGGGCCTACCAAAGAGTGGAGGATGGGAGGAGGGAGAGGATCAGGAAAAATAGCTCATGAGTACCAGGCTTAATACCTAGGTGACAAAATAATCTGTACAACAAACACCCATGACACAAGTTCACCTGTATAACAAACCTGCACCACATGTATGCCCGAACTTAATATAAAAGATAAAAAAGAATAAAGAGGCCGGGCGCGGTGGCTCACGCCTGTAATCCCAGCACTTTGGGAGGCCGAGGCGGGCGGATCACGAGGTCAGGAGATCGAGACCATCCCGGCTAAAACGGTGAAACCCCGTCTCTACTAAAAATACAAAAAAATTAGCCGGGCGTAGTGGCGGGCGCCTGTAGTCCCAGCTACTTGGGAGGCTGAGGCAGGAGAATGGCGTGAACCCGGGAGGCGGAGCTTGCAGTGAGCCGAGATCCCGCCACTGCACTCCAGCCTGGGCGACAGAGCGAGACTCTGTCTCAAAAAAAAAAAAAAATAAATAAAAAAAAATAAAAAAAGAATAAAGAAAAAAATAGATTTCAAAACGAAAACATTGAAAGGAGGCAAAAAGGTCACTATATATAATAATAAAGGGGTCAACTCATCAAAAGCATGTAACGATTTTAAATATATATGCACCCAACACTGGAGCACCCACTTATATAAAACAAATACTATTAGAGCTAAAGAGAGAGATAGGCTGCAATACAATAATAGATAGAGACTTCAGCACCCCACATTCAGCACTGGACAGATCTTCCAGACAGAAACTCAACAACGACAACAAAAAACCAGACTTAATCTGCACTATAGACCGCATGGATCTAATAGATATTTACAGAACTTCATCCAACAGCTACAGAATACACATTCTTTCCCTCAGCACATGGATCATTCTCAGGGATAGACCATATGTTAGGTCACAATACATTAAAAAAATTGAAATAATATCAAGCTTCTTGTCAGACCACAATGGAATAAACCTAGAAATGAATAACAAGAGGAATTTTGGAAACTATACAAATACATGAAAACTCAACAATCCACTCCTGAATGATTAATGGGTCAATGAAGAAGCTAAGAAGGAAATTTAAAAATTTCTTGAAACAAATGATAATGGAAACACAACATACCAAAACCTATGGGATATACAGCAAAAGCAGTACTCAGAAAGAGGTTTATAGCTATAAGTGCTCACATCAAAAAAGGTAAAAACTTCAAATAATCTAATTATGCATCTTAAAGAGCTGCAAAGAAAGAGAAAAACCAAACCAAAAATTAGAAGAAAAGAATAAAGATCAGAGCAGAAATAAAAGAAACTGAAATGAAAAAAAAACTAGAAAAGAGCAATAAAACAAAAGTTGTTTTTTAATAAGTCAACCAAAATTGACAAACCATTAGCCAGACTAAGAAAAAAAGAGAAAATCCAACTAAATCAAATCAGAAATAAAAAAAAACTATTTGGGAGGCTGAGGCAGGCAGATCATTTGAGGCCAGGAGCTCAAGACCAGCATGGCCAACATGGCAAAACCCCATCTCTACCAAAAATACAAAAATTAGCCAGGCGTGGTGGCAGGTGCCTGTAAGCCCAGCTACTAGGGTGGCTGAGGCAAGAAAATTGCTTGATCCCAGGAAATGGAAGTTCTAGTGAGCTAAGACTGCACCACTGCACTCCAGCCTGGCTGACAGGGCGCGATTCTGCCAAAAAAAAAAAAGAAAGAAAGAAAGAAAGAAAAGAAATGAAAAAGGAGACACTACAACTGAGGCTGCGGAAAGTCAAAGGATCATTACTGGCTCCTATGAGCAAATATATGCCTATAAATTGGAAAATCTAGACCAAATGGACCAATTCTTAGATACCTACAACCTCTCAAGATTGAACCAAGAAGAAAACCATAACCTGAACAGACCAATAACAAGTAACAAGATCAAAGCCATAATAAAAGTCTTCTAGTAAAGAAAAGCCTGGGACTTTTCTTCACTGCTGAGTTCACTGGCTTCACTGCTGAATTCTACCCAACATTAAAAGAAAAACCAATACCAATCCTACTCGAACTATTTTGAAAAATAGAGGAGGATGGAATATTTTCAAACTAATTCTATGAGGCCAGTATTGCCCTCATACCAAAACCAGACAAAGACACATCAAAAAAAGAAAACTACAGGGCAAAACCGCTGATGAATATTGATGCAGAAATCCTCAACAAAATACCAGCAAATCAAATTCAACAATATATTAGAAAGAATATTCATCATGACCAAGTGAGATTTATCCCTGGGATACAAGGATGGGTCAACATACACAAATTAATTTATGTGATAAATCATATCAACGGAATGAAGGATAAAAAACATATAATCATTTCAATTGATGCTAAAAAAGCATTTAATAAAACTCAACATTGTCATCATGATACAAACCCTCAAAACACTGGGAATAGAAAGAACATACTTAACTGTAATAAAAGCCATATACAACACATCCACAGCTAGCATTGAAATGGCCTTGTGGTCTGGGGTAACTCCAAGAGTTCTTGGTCTCACAGCCAAGGAAATCAACGACACAGACACACCAAGAATGAGGTTTAGAGCAGAAATTTAATAGGAGAAAGAAAGAAAACAACTCTCTGCTACAGAGAGGGGTCCCGAAAAAAGGGTTGCCATCCTGCAGTGAAATGCAGGGGTTTTTATAGATGAGCTAGTGGGGAGGCAGTATCTGATCTACATAGGGTACAAACAACCAGATATGACCAGGTGTACCATCTGCATAGGGCATGAATCTCTGGCAGCCCCTACCCTAAACTTTTATTACACAGGCAGGTCCTCAGCCTGAGCTACTCCATGTTGCTCATTACTTTCTTACTGTGCATGTGCTAAAAAAAGGGAGATGCAACCCCCATGGTGGACATACCTGGCCCCATGTGGCCTTTTCTATCTGTGCAGCTGCTGGCATCCCCCTATGAAAGCTTCCAGCTTCCTATCTATCTATGATAGAAAATCAATGTATCAACATTTTATCTTTATATACCATCTCAAACACAGGATTTAAACTTTCATAAAAGATACAGTTCTCGGGAGTATTAAAAATTCAGAAATAAATTTAACAAAAATATGAAAGAATTATTTGCAGAAAACTGTAAAACTTTATTAAGAGAATGTTAGCAGTCAAATTTCCAGCATAAGAACAACATTCTTGGTTTCAGTCTTCATTTGTCTTGGTTTAAACCTATGGTTGCCCATTACCTATAATATAAATATAAAATTAGAACATGTTACTCAGCAAATTTTTATTTAGATGACACCAGAGGTATACAAATAACCGTAAAATCAGAACCCTAAGGGTGACCCTTTAGCTTACATCCAGTTAGCCTCTGAATAAACTCTGAAGGTAGTTAACAACATTTTTAACTCATACCACATTTTCTAGCACAAAAAGGGAACAAAAAGACTGTTCAAGTTCAGAATGAATTAAACCAAGTGAATCTATTTTATATGTATAAGAGGAAAGCAGGCCAGGCTCGGCGGCTCACGCCTGTAATCCCAGCACTCTGGGAGGCCGAGGCAGGCGGATCACAAGGTCAGGAGATCGAGACCATCCTGGCTAACACGGTGAAACCCCGTCTCTACTAAAAATATAAAAAATTATCTGGGCGTGGTGGCAGGCACCTGTAGTCCCAACTACTAGGGAGGCTGAAGCAGGAGAATGGTGTGAACCCAGGAGGCGGAGGGTGCAATGAGCCAAGATCATGCCACTGCACTCCAGCCTGGGCGACAGAGCGAGACTCCGTCTCAAAAAAAAAAAAAAAGAGGAAACCAAAAAAAAATGCATATACTTTCAGTAAAAATTCAACCAAACGAAAACACAGAGACTGGCACATTGGATAAAAAGTCAAGACCCATCGGTGTGATAGATACAGAAGACTCATCTCACATACAAAGGACATGGAGGCTCAAAATAAAGGAATGGAGGAATACTGAGCAAGCAAATGGAAAGAAAAAAAAAGTAGGGGTTGCAATCCTCATCTTTGATAAAACGGGCTTTAAACCAACAAAATACAAAATTAGCTTGGTATGGTGGTGCATGCCTGTAATCCCAGGTACTAGGGTGGCTGAGGCAGGAGAATCACTTCAAACTGGGAGGCAGAGGTTGCAGTGAGTGGAGACTGTGCTACTGCACTCCAGCCTGGGCAACAGACTGAGACATCGTCTCAGAAAACAAAACAAAACAAAAAATAATACCATTAAAAAGTGGCCCAAGAACATGAACAAACACTATCAAAAGGAGACATGTATGTGGCCAACAAGCATATGAAATAAAGCTCAAAGCCACTGATCATTGGAGAAGTGCAATTCAAACCACAATGAGATATCATCTCACACCAGTCAGAATGGCTATTATTAAAAAGTAAAATAAAATAAAATAACTGGTAAAATAAAATGATGCTGGTGACTTTGTGGAGAAAAGGAAACACTTATTCACTGTTGGTGGAAGTGGAAATTAGTTCAACCATTGTGGGAAACAGTGTGCTGATCCCCCAGAGACCTAAAAACAGAACTACCATTCGATACAGCAATCCCATTACTGGGTATACAGCCAAAGGGATATAAACTGTTCTATCATAAAGACACATGCACACATATGTTCACTGCAGCACTATTCACAATATCAAATACATGGAATCAACCAAAAAGCCCATCAACGGTAGACTGGATAAAGAAAATGGAGTACATATATACCATGGAATAGGATGCAGCCATAAAAACGAATGACATTATCTCCGTGGCCAGAACATGGACGGAGCTGGAGGTCATTATACTTAGCAAAGTAATGCATGAACAGAAAACTAAATACTGCATGTTCTCACTTATAAGTGGAAGCTATAAATGGGAAAAAATAAACACACAGAGGAGAACAACAGACACTGGGGCCCACCAAAGAGTGGAGGATGGGAGGAGGGAGAGGATCAGGAAAAAATAGCTCATAAGTACCAGGCTTAATACCTGGGTGACAAAATAATCGTACAACAAACCCCCATGACATAAGTTCACCTGTATAACAAACCTGCACCTCATGTATGCCTGAACTTAAAAGATACCAAAAGAATAAGAAAAAAATAGATTTCAAAACAAAAACTTTGAGAAGAGACTAAAAGGTCACTATATAATAATAAAGGGGTCAATTCATCCAAAGGATATTAACAATTTTAAATAAATACGCATTCAACATTTTAGCACCCAGATGTATAAAACAAATGCTATTAGAGCTAAAGAGAGAGATAGGCCCCAATAAAATAATAGATGGCGACTTCAGCACCCCACATTCAGTATTGGACAGATCTGCCAGACAGAAACTCAACAACAACAACAAAAACAAAAACAGAGTTAATCTGCACTGCAGACACATGGATCTAATAGATATTTACAGAACATTTCATCCAACAGCTACAGAATACACATTCTTTTCCTCAGCACATGGATCATTCTCAAGGACAAGACCATATATGTTAGATCTCAAAACATTAAAAAAAAAACCTGAAATAATATCATGGATCTTGTCAGACCACAATGCCATAAAACTAGAAATTAATAACGAGGAATTTTGGAAACTATATAAATACATGAAAACTGAATAATCTGCTCCTGAATGAATAATGGGTCAATGAAGAAGCTAAGAAGGAAATTTAAAAAGTTATTGAAACAAATGATAATGGAGACACAACACATCAAAACCGATGGGATACAGCAAAAACAGTACTCAGAAAGAGGTTTATAGCTATAAGTGCCTAAAACAAAAAAGGTAAAAACTTCAAATAAACAATCTAATGATGCATCTTAAAGAGCTGCAAAGAAAGAGCAAACCAAACCAAAAATTAGAAGAAAAGAAATAATAAAGATCCCAGCAGAAATAAATGAAATTGAAATGAAAAAACCCTATAAAAGAGCAATAACACAAAAAGTTTTTTTAATAAGTTAACCAAAATTGACAAACCATTAGCCAAAGTAATAAAAAAAGAGGGAAACCAAATAAATAAATCAGAAATGAAAAACGATTTGGGAGGCTGAGGCAGGTGGATCACCTGAGGCCAGGACTTCAAGACCAACCTGGCCAGCATGGCAAAACTCCATCTCTACTAAAAATACAAAAATTAACGAGGCATGGTGGTAGGTGCCTGTAATCCCAGCTACTACGGTGGCTGAAGCAAGAGAATTGCTTGAACCCTGGAGGTGGAGGTTCTAGTGAGCTGAGACTGTGCCACTGCGCTCCAGCCTGGTGACAAAAGGAGACTGTCTCCAGAAAAAATAAATAAATAAATGAAAAAGAAAGAAATGAAAAAGGAGACATTATAAAATTGATGCTGCAAAACTTCAAAGGATCATAACTGGCTCCTATGAGAAACTCCATGCCTATAAATTGGAAAATCTAGAAAAAAAATGGACTAATTCCTAGATACATACAGCCTCCCAAGAATGAACCATGAAGAAATTCATAACCTGAACAGACCAGTAACAAGCAACAAGATCAAGGCCATAATAAAAGTCTTCCAGTAAAGAAACACCCGGAACTGATGGCTTCACTACTGAATTCTACCCAACATTTAAAGAAGGACTAATACCAGTCCTACTCAAACTATTTCGAAAAATAGAGGAGGAAGGAATACTTCCAAACTCATTCTATGAGGCCAGTATTATCCTGATACCAAAACCAGACAAAGACACATCAAAAAAAGAAAACTACAGGGCAAAACTGCTGATGAATATTGATGCAGAAATCCTCAACAGAATACTAGCAAATCAAATTCAACAATACATTAGAAAGAACAATCATCATGACCAAGTGAGATTTATCCCTGGGATGGAACGATGGTTCAACATATGCAAATTAATTTATGTGATAAATCATATGAATGGAATGAAGGATATAATCCATATAATCATTTCAATTGATGCTGAAAAGCATTTAATAAAACTCAATATGTCATCATGATACAAACCCTCAAACACCGGGGAAAGAAGGAACATACTCCAATGTAATAAAAGCCATATACCACAGACCCACAGCTACTATTGAAGTGGCCTCATTGTCTGGGGTAACACCCATAGTTCTTGGTCTCACAGCCAAGGAAATCAAGGACATGGGCACACCAAGAGTGAGGTTTACAGCAGAAAGTTAGTAGGAGAAACAAAGAGAACAGCTTTCTGCTACAGAGAGGGGTCCCAGAAGAAATGGTTGCCATCCTGCAGTGAAATGCAGGGGTTTTTATAGATGAACTAGTGGGGAGGCAGTATCTGATCACCTACATAGGGTACAAACAACTGGTTAGGACCAGGTGTACCATCTACATAGGGCGTGAATCTCTGGCAGCCCCCACACTAATCTTTTATTATGCAGGCGGGTTCTCAGCCTGAGCTACTCCATGTTGCTCATTTCATTCTTACTGTGCATGTGCTAAAAACGAGGAGGTGGAAAGCCCATGGTGGACATGCCTGGCCCCAGGTGGCCTTTTCCATCTGTGCAGCTGTTGGCATCCCCCTATGAAAGCTTCCAGCTTCCTATCTATGATAGAAAATCAATGTACCAACATTTCATCTCTATGTACCATCTCAAACACAGGATTTAAACTTTCAAAAAAGATACAATTCTCAAGAGTATTAAAGATCCAGAGATAAATTTAACAAAAGTGTGCAAGGATTCTTTGCAGAAAACTGTAAAACTTTGTTAGGAGAATGTTATCAGTCAAATTTCCAGATTAAGAATAAGATTCTTGGTTTCAGTCCTCATTTGTCTTGGTTTAAACCTACGTTTTCACATCACCTATAAAATAAATATATAATTATGGCCCGTTACTCAGCAGATTTTTATTCATGTGACACTAGAGGTATACAACTACCGTGTTGATGAACTAATATCAGAACCCTGAGGGTGACCCTTTAGTTTACGTCCAGTTAGCCTCTGAATAAACTCTGAAGGTAGACTTCCAGGCATATTAACAATATTTTTAATTCATGCCACTTTTTCTAGTAGGATAAGGAAACAAAGAGACTGTTCAATTTCAGAATGAATTAAATCAAGTGAATCTATTTTGTATGTATAAGTGGAAAGCAAAAAAAATGCATATACTTTCAATGAAAATTCAAAGAAACAAAATCCTAAGGGAAAAGATATTTTAAAGTATCATTTAAATATTTTGATATGAAATAACACTCTGAATATAGAATATGCTTAGAACAGCCTTAGTGAAGGAAATAGAAAAGTCAGTATTACATTTGTTTTGTGTCTCTTGTGAAAAAGTGTAAAAACGTTACTTTGGACTAGTTTAGCCATTATGTAGTTGCTTTAAGTAGGGCGAACATTTGCACTATTTTCACGGGTACTCCTGTCTCTTTACATGCCTAAAAGCAGTTCAGTTTGTACAGCAAACTGAATACCCACGCTAGCTTTAAGCCATTACCATCACAGTTAACATTGCAATATAAACTGATGCTTATTATCAACATGTTATGTATTTGTTAAAAACAGGCCTCTATAAAACTATCTGAAAGTTATTGGCTGTTGGTTAAATGACTTACTTTCAAAAGTCAGAACATGTTTTCATATCTTTCTTTTAAAAATCACACATAAAATAATATATATTTATGATGTATAACATGATGCTTTAAAATATATATACACATTGTGAAATGGCTACATCAACCTAATTAACATATGCATTACTTCACATAGCTGTGAAGACACTCAAAATCTACTCCCTTATCATGTTTCATATCTTTCATATCATAATCCAATTAGCTTTGACCCAATTTTTCTCCATCTCTAGAAGTCCTGGCCTCAAGTGATCCTTCTGCCTCGGCCTCCCAAAGTGCTGGAATTAACAGCATGAGCCACCACACCTGGCCCTCTATCTCTGATAGTGTGTAAGGCAGCCATTTGGGGTCTGAACTACCTTCAAAGAATCTTTAGATGTGAAGTATGATATTGAAGTAGCAGTAATTTTACCTCTGTGTCACATAAAATATAATATTGTGAAAATAGAAACCCTATAGTTTCCATCTTATTGAGTAACATACCTGCTTCCAGCACTTTAGTGGGATCGAAAGTGGGCAGAGTCCCCTCCCTGACATCAGGACCATCTCCAGGTGCATCCTCTATCTTAAGCAGAGCCAGTTCCTGTTGAAAAGCTTCCACATCAGGTCCTTAAAAGATAAAAAGGTCATCAATTTACAAATTAAAAACTGAACTACGAACGAGGAAATGATAATATTTATTCCCTCATCATTATGAAATAAAAACCTATAGGCTAATTATTTCAGGAGTCTCTTGCCAGGAAAACAGGAAAGCAGAGATGTTCAAACATTGCGCTTTCCTTTCCCAAGGCTGGCCCTAGACAACTTACTTGTTCCTTTTGTACTCATTTGTTCTTATTCTTATCACATTAAATCAGTGATTTGTTTGAGTCAGTCTGACTAGACTATGAGCTTTAGGCAAAAATTTGGCACTGACATCTCCAGCACTTAGTATATTACACAGCATGAGGAAGCATTAATAAATGTGTGTTAAAAAGTTTCTTAAAAATACATGAGATGTCCGTAGATGGCAGACTCGGAAGCTGCAAGCTGCCATTCTTCCACAGAAACATAAAACAAAACAAAACAAAACAAAAACAGAAAATGACTGAACAAACCATACAGGAACTCTGGAAAACACTCAAAGGTTTACGGCAACCATGCAAATACCCAATCAATAAAAAGCCTCTGTCAAAACGGCAGGAAAGTTTTGTGGCTTTTTATGTGTCCTTGTCCCACCTCTCCGCACAGCAGCAGTAAGAAATGTTTAAGATTCCTTCCTAATGTTTTCTGTCCTCCTGTTACTGGTATGTCATAAAATATAATGCATAAATATACCTCCACCACCCATAAGCATTATTCTCCACTCTTCCTTCACCTTGAAGGGCAGGTGCCGCTTCATTTTCGATCTCCCCAGTAGGTGCAATACCCTGATTTTCAGTTGGTGGCTCCTCTTCTTGACGTTTTTCCTCAGTGGGCTGCTGGACCTAAGGGTGTTAAGTGTGTGTGCGAATAAAAAGTCAATAATATAAATACACAAATGCATATGTGCATCGAATCATAAATCTAAAGACATTTTTCCAACAGATATATATACACACACACACACATGTATGTGTGTATATATATATATATATATATATATATATATATATATATATAGAGAGAGAGAGAGAGAGAGAGAGAGAGAGAGAGAGAGAAATATCCATATCCATACAGGGTAACACCAGAATATAATATTCCTGAACCAAAGTTTCCTTCATGAGATGCCATCATCATTTTTTAACAGCATGGAACACCTGTATCAGTGCATGTACACTAGCCCAAAAATATTTTTTAAAATAAATTGTGCTAATAGAAAACATCAAATGTTAAAGGACTCACAATCACAGATACAACTGGCTGGGAAGACTCTTAGTCATTTCCTCTTTCTGAGGATTGGGATCTTGTTCTTACATGCTCACTCATATTTCCCACTGAAAACAGAATATTGTTATTTGGAAAAAGTGTGTAAGAACTTAGCTATATATATGAACATTCCATGGCAAAATGGTGATTTGTACTTTTTTAATTTTGAAAATATTTTCAAAATAATTCACAGAGCAATGATAAGTACGCATGCTTTCCAATCAAACTAAGGACAGATTTGTTTGTATCACGGTCGAAGAGGCATAGAAATCACCTTAACGCCACAGCAAAAGACAAGAGGACTTTTTTTTTTTTTTTTTTTTTTTTTGAGACGGAGTCTCGCTCTGTCGCCCAGGCTGGAGTGCAGTGGCGCGATCTCGGCTCACTGCAAGCTCCGCCTCCCGGGTTCACGCCATTCTCCTGCCTCAGCCTCCCGAGTAGCTGGGACTACAGGCGCCCGCTACCACGCCCGGCTAATTTTTTGTATTTTTAGTAGAGACGGGGTTTCACCTTGTTAGCCAGGATGGTCTCGATCTCCTGACCTCGTGATCCGCCCGCCTCGGCCTCCCAAAGTGCTGGGATTACAGGCGTGAGCCACCGCGCCCGGCCAAGAGGACTTTTTTGAGTTTTGGTTTTACAATTAGACTCTCCGTCATGAAGGCATTTAGGAAAAAACGGGCAGAGAATTGAAATAACTACTGCTTTCGTCCCACTTTAATTTACTAGGCCCATTTCCCCCCTACACCCCTCCCACCAAAATCAAGTTTTGCTGGAACGCACAGCCTCGCCCATTCCTTCCCATGACGTCCATGGCGGAGGTGAGAAGTTGCGACACAGAGGGAAGTTTATGTTCCTCACGGGACACCTCTGCCAGGCACTCTACAGACCTCAGGGCCGCAGTCACCAGCCCACAGCGTTCCTAGTTCCCAGGCCCCTTCCTTGCCGACCTCACCATCCCTTCCCGCGTCCCTACTGAGGAGTCTGGAAACTGTCCTCTCTCAGAGGGTTCCAGTTTTCGGGACTCAGATACCTCTAACAGCACCTCCAGCACTCGCCCCATCTTCACGTGATCCCTCCCCTCTGCGGCCCACTTTCCTCCCTAGTTCCAGCCTAGCCACTACGTCAAGGCCCATAGCAGCATTGCGACCTGGGAGGAGCCGGACGACGACTGCGAGGCCCCTTTCCCTCAGAAGCCAAAGACTGTGCCGCAGGACCTGTCCAAAGCCCGCTGGCTCCTCCTCACATTCACTCACAACTAAATTCCCAGGAAGACCGCTCTGCGGACCTACCGGCTGAGCCTCAGTCAGAGAGAAAGAATCAAGATGGTGGAAAGAATGAAGATACTACCTCTTCTCACAAAGCTCTGCATGGACAGAAGGTAGGCAACAAGGCGCATGCGTAACAGACATGCGTAGCAACAGAAATCTGCAGTAACAGATCTGTGCAGCATGCGCACTGAGTGGGGCATTCACCACGTGACTGAAGTTTTCCTGCCTCTGTGGAGAACCTAGACCACAAGCTCTCCTGACACCAAAAATGAACTTACAAAACACTTTACTTTTTCCCCCGCCCACCCTTTCTTTCACTTCCAATGGCTTTGGAGAATATGAGCCCCAGGTTACTCTAAGGGAAGAATGTGTTTCAGAAAAACTCACCATCATAGAAATAAATATTAAATATTTTAATACCTGTTTTATATCTGCTTTCATGTATCATTTTCTTGCCTCCTTCACGAGTTTGCTGTCGTGCTTGCAATGAACTTACCCACTCCAATACAATAAGACATTCATAGTTTTTAGTTGCATTATTGTACATTCAAAATCATTGATCCATCTGGACAAAATTAAAGTGATAGGGACTCAACATTAGTTGTTGAATCCCTGTTTCACTCAGTGTTTTGAAATGGCTCTTTTATCATCACCTACATCCCCACTCAATTTTGTATGTAACTCTCTACTTTTAATTTTCTTCTATTGAGTTGTTTATAACCATACCACTACCGCACTTTTTTAATTGCTGTAGCTTGATTCCATTTGAAATGTGAAATAATGCTTGCCCTCCCTCATTCCTTTCTCTTTTTCTGTCTATTCTGACACGTTTGTCTTTCAGATGAACTTCAGAATCATTTGATCAGGTGCTAAAATATTCCTGTTGCGATACTAGTTATTATTTTTAAATTACATCTTAGGGACAATAACCATCTTTCTATTTTAGAATCTCTCTATCCAAGAAAAAGCCACTACTCAATTCCTCAAGTCTTTTTATGTATCCCTCTCAATGATTGTTATTTACTTCATATTAGTTCTTCACATTCAAATTAAATTTATTCTTGGGCATTTTTATTGTTCTATTCCATTGCTGACAGGTGTTTGCTTTCACTCCACTACATTTTTCATAGAAGTCAAACAATCTCTGTTTGCAAACAATATGGTTCTATACCTAGACAATCCCAGACTCTCTGCCCGAAAGCTCCTTGATCTGATAAACAACTTCAAGAAAGTTTCAGGATACAAAATTAATGTACAAAAACCAGGAGCATTTCTATACACCAACAACCTTCCAAGCTCAAAGCCAAATCAGAAACACAATCCCATTCACAATTGCCAAAAAAAGAATAAAATACCTAGGAATACAGCTAGCTAGGGAGGAGAAAAATCTCTTCTATGAGAACTACAAAAACACTGCTCGAATAAATTAGAGATGACACAAACAAATGGAAAAACATTCCATGTTCATGATAGGAAAAGCAATATTGTCAAAATGGCCAAACTGACCAAAGCAATTTATAGATTCAATGATATTCCTATTAAACCACCAATGACATTCTTCACAGATTTAGAAAAAAAACTATTTTCAAATTTATATGGGATGGTTGGCGGGGATCTGGCAAGATGGCCAAATAAGAACAGCTGCAGTCTGCAGCTCCCAGTGAGACTAACGCAGAAGGCAGGGGACTTCTGCATTTCCATCTGAGGTACCCAGTTCATCTCATTGAGACCGGTTAGGCAGTGGGTGCAGCCCTTGGAGGGTGAGCAGAAGCAGGGTGGGGCATCGCCTCACCCAGAAAGTGCAAGGAGCTGGGGTTCTTCCTCCCCCAGCCAAGGGAAGCCATGAGGGACTGTGCTATATGGTCCAGATACTATGCTTCTCCCACAGTTTTTGCAATCCACAGACCAGGAGATTCCCTCATGTGCCAACACCAGCAGGGCCCTGGGTTTCAAGCACAAAACTGAGTGGCTGTTTGGGCAGACACTGAGCTAGCTGCAGGAGTTTTATTTATTTATTTATTTATTTTAATTTCATACCCCAGTGGCACCTGGAACCCGTGTGACAGAACCCTTCACTACCCTGGAAAGGGGTCTGAAGCCAGGGAGCCAAGTAGTGTCACTGTCACTCAGCGGGTCCCACACCCACGGAGCCCAGCAAGCTATGAAACACTGGCTTGAATTTGTCACTGCTAGCACAGCAGTCTGAAGTCAATCTGGGATGATGGAGCTTGGTGGGGCAAGGGGCGTCCACTGACAGTGTTAAGGAGGCTGGGAAGTTCGGACTGGGTGTAACTCACCACAGGGCAGCAAAGCAGCTGTGGCCAGACTGCCTCTCTAGATTCTTCCTCACTGGGCAGGGCATCTGTGAAAGAAAGTCAACAGCCTCAGTCAGGGTCTTATAGATAAAACTCTCATCTCCCTGGGACAGAGCACCTGGGGGAAGGGGCGGCTGTGGGCACAGCTTCAGCGGACTTAAATGTTCTTGCCTGCTGGCTCTGAAGAGAGCAGTGCATCCTGAAAAGGTTTTTCCAGTGCAGCGCTCGAGCTCTGCTAAGGGACAGACTGCCTCCTCAAGTGGGTCCCTGAACCCCCTGCCTCCTAACTGGCAGAGACCTCCCAGCAGGGGTGGACAGACATCTCATACAGGAGTGCTCTGGCTGGCATCAGGCCGCTGCCCCTCTGGGACAAAGCTTCCAGAGGAAGGAGCAGGCAGCAGTCTTTGCTGTTCTGCAGCCTCTGCTGGTGATACCCAGGTAAATAGGGTCTTGAGCGGACCTCCAGAAAACTGCAGCAGACCTGCAGAAGAGGGGCCTGACTGTTAGAAGAAAAGCTAACAAACAGAAGGCAATAACATCAACACCAACAAAAAGGACCCCCGCACAAAAACCTCATCCAAGGGGAGGGAGAGCATTAGGACAAATACTTAATGCATGCGGAACCTAAAGCCGAGATGATGGGTTGATAGGTGCAGCAAACTACCATGGCATATGTATACCTATGTAACAAATCTGCACATTTTGCACATGTATGCCAGAACTTAAAGTAAAATAAAAAAGAAAAACAAAAAAGAACAGTGCCCAGTACATCACATTACAAGAAATGTTAAGAGACATCCTTCTTATAGAAGGAAAATAAAAACAGGTGGAAATTTTGATCTAAACAAAGGAATTAAGAGCACCAGAAATGGTAATAATGTTAAATATGTAAGATTATTTTCTTCTAATTAATGGTTGTACTCATGCATGTATGTTTCTGCACTTGTGTTTGTTTGTTTTTTTCAAAGTGAAAGCAAGTTTATTAACAAAGTAAAGGAATAAAAGAATGGCTACTCCATAGACAGCGCAGCCTCAAGGGCTGCTGTTGCCCATTTTTATGGTTATTTCTTGTTGATATGCTAAACAAGGGGTGGATTATTCATGCCTCCCCTTTTTAGACCATATAGGGTAACTTCCTGACATTGCCATGGCATTTGTAAACTATCATGGTGCCAATGGGAATGTAGCAGTGAGGACGACCAGATGTCACTCTCATTGCCATTTTGGTTTTGGTGGGTTTTGGCTGACTCCTTAACTGCAACCTGTTTTATCAGCAAGGTATTTATGACCTGTATTTTGTGCTGACTTCCTATCTCATCCTGTGACTTAGAATGCCTTAACTGTCTGGGAATGCAGCCTAGTAAGTTTCAGCCTCATTTCACCCAGCTCCTATTTAAAATGCAGTTGCTCTGGTTCACACACTGCTGATGGAGATTCATCTTCTGTAACTTCAGGATGAATAGGGGCTATGATATTCCTACCTAACTATGAGCGTTTCTTGCATTCAAGGTAGAGAGGAGCTCAGTCAGAAAGCTTCAGTATGGTAAGATCCATTCATAACTCTTGAGTTTTGACAAAAGGTAATATTTGGAAGATTAATAGGTGTTTAAGAAAACATTCAGTAAGCTTGTCCTGTATTCCTACACAAAGAATATACCAGCAATATATTCCACAGGAGTAAAGCAAAATAAGTAAAGTTATTCCAAGTACACTAAATTAGAAGGCTTTTCATGAACTGGGCAACTGTTGGAACTAAGCTGGTATGGGGTTGTTAGCTGATTGCAATGTACCCAGAATTAGAATACTGATCCAGATTTTTACATTACCCATCCCTCTTGTTTCTGCTGAGCAACAGTCAGAGATCACTGGTTGGTTCACAGGAATAAGTAGGGTTACCCTAAATTGCAGAAATAAACTTAATAACAACTGATGAGACTAGAATCTAATAAGTATAACATAGCTTTTGAAACATAATATTTCTCTCTCCAGTTTCTCATTTTTACTAAAGACAAATCATGGTAAGACAGATTTGCTTTATTATACTTGGCATGATTATTTGTATAAAGTGCAACAAGAATAATTATTTTTCACATAAGCTCTTTTTAAATTGGCATTGATGGAACTCTGTTCCATAGGAATTTCAGATAAGACTTTTTTAAAGCCGAGCCCAACCATGGGTTTCTACCCTTAAATACCTATGAGTTGGGTAATTTTTTCCTCCTGAGGTCCCAAGATAACTTTGGGCTTCTGGACCTGTCAGAAAGTGACATTCTTTACTCACCACCAGTCAGAAACCCTGCACAGGGACTGTTGTAGGCAAGGTATGAGGCCAGTTCCCCATGGGGCTTTTATTGGCTCTATAAGTCAAGTTTAATTCTCCAAAGGAAAACACACCATTCCAGTGAAAGCCTTGATAAAATAATCAATTTCTCCAACTGTGTCCTGTTACAAAAGAAAACAGATTCTTACTGTACTTATGCAAATAACTATACTGCCATAAGTTAAGAATACTCACAACTAGTTTCCAAATTCTGGCAAAATCAGGTAGAGAGAAACAAATATGCCCCAAATTTTGTTCGCAGGAGTATATTTTACTCAACTTCTAAAAGCTGTAAGTAGCTCAAAAGAAAAGTTTCCTTGACTCTGAAAAACAAAACAAAGGATCAGCAGCATTTTAAGCAAAGTTAAAATATTACTTCAGCTTTTTATTGGTTCAGTGAATTTAGTTAACTCCTGTTTTGGTTTTGCTTGATATTCATGAACATTTTAGCTCTTCATGAGAATTCTGAAAGTTGTTTCCTGTATTTTAATGTTACAATTTCCGAAGTTATCAGAAAGCTGCATTTAAGAACACCTGCTAGAGTTCTATAGTGGATTATAAACCACCTTCTAAAGAAAATTAAAACAAGACAACAATTTTCTGTGGCTAATAAAAAGTTTTAGGACAGCCACTAGTAAAGCCACAATTGATAAGGGAATTTGTTACCTCTGTGGCATACAGTGATTTTATGTAACAACTGTAATTATTAATAACATACACTAAGTCATATTAGAATTATAGGGGTTTCCCATAACTTTGGAACATATACCAATAACACATTTATACAAATTTAGTCCAAAGAAAGCAAAACACTATTTCACATTTGATAATGCTTCATGTATGAATATAAAATAAAAACATTTGTATAAAATATAAAATAAAAACATCCCTCCTTTTAAACAACCAGTCATTTTACTTTAGGACAAGAATTTACCATACAAGATCCTTTCTCATATAAAATAACTTTCTTTATAATCTTCTTTGTATAGCTAGAGGGCATGGCTAATTCCACATGTCCCGAGACCTTATCTAGAATCTAATGGCTTTGAGGTGGGTAAATTGATATATACCAAATAAGCCAAATTTCACCTTTACGTTAATGTACTAGTAACGTTAAATTCAATTTTTAATAAAACCTTATAGACATATTTTCCCAATTTCAATGTTTAACCATAAGGTAAGATTCTTATAAACCTTTTTATAACCCTTTACATTTTTTTGTGAAAGAGCAGATCAGTACTCTAAGAAAAACCTGTTGTACTTTTATTGCAATGTTTAATTTACAGAAAAACTGAATAATACCCCTTTAACTTTAGCCAATATATTCACACACAGAATCCCTTAAAATTAATTTTTATAAACCTTCCACAACTTGTTTAAATCTTTAGACTTTTTTCTTACTTAAAACAATCCTTTAACACTTTAGGCAGAAAAAATTCCACATTCCCATGACTTCTTACAATCTTTCACCAAAATCACATTTTACTTTCTTTACACACCTTGCATGTAAAATTGTTTCTTCAGTAGTCTCAACTATATGTTACAATGTTAACTCTTAGCAACTTCTATTTTTGGTAAAAACCTTGGTCAATTTGACATTTTAATTATGTACTAGGTGTGGAGCCTAGCCTAGGACACACCAGGCAGAAGAGCAGATAAAAGCTGGGTCTCCAGCATAGCTAGGGGATGTGGCTAAATCCACATGTCCCCAGGCCTTACCCTACTTAAGCTGGCAAGTCCTAGAGTAAGAGTCTGCCTGGTGCAGTGGCTCACAGCTGTAATCTCAGCACTTTGGGAGGCTGAGGCAGGCTGATCACCTGAGGTCAGGAGCTCAAGATCAGCCTGGCCAACATGCTGAAACCCCGTCTCTACTAAAAATACAAAAATTAGCCTGGTGTGGTGGCCAGTGCCTGTAATCCCAGCTACTTGGGAGGCTGAGGTAGGAGAATCGCCCAAACCCAGGAGGCGGAGGCCACAGTGAGCCTTTAATCCTAGCTACTTGGGAGGCTGAGGCAGGAGAATTGCCTGAACTCGGGAGGTGGAGGCCACAGTCAGCCAAGATCATGCCATTGCATTCTAGCCTGGGTGACGAGAGCAAAACTCCCTCTCAAAAAAAAAGGAGCCACAGTGGCATTTTTTGAAGCATTTACGAGGCCTAACAACCTTTGAATTTTACATTTCTGCATAAATTCCCTTTCACAAATCCTTTCACGACTTACATAGACCATCTGAGACATTTTCGGACATTCTGACTTGCTCCAAACATCCCTCCTTTTAAACAACCAGTCATTTTACTTTAGGACAAGAATTTACCATACAAGATCTTTTCTCACATAAAATAACTTTCTTTATAATCTTCTTTGTATAGCTAGAGGGCATGGCTAATTCCACATGCCCCGAGGCCTTATCTAGAATCTAATGGCTTTCAGGTAGGTAAGTTGAACAATTATTAAAAGTTAAAGAAGCAGTTTAGGACCTTAAAGCATTTAACGAACTTAATATCTGACATGCATAATTTACATTAAAGGTTTTTATTTTACCAATAATTTTTAAAGCTGCTTTTATTTCCCGAAGATTACTAAAGTTACATAAACTAAAAGGCATTACACTTTTTTTATTATACTTTAAGTTTTAGAGTACATGTGCACAATGTGCAGGTTAGTTACATATGTATACATGTGCCATGCTGCTGTGCTGCACCCATTAACTCGTCATTTAACATTAGGTATATCTCCTAATGCTATCCCTCCCCCTTCCCCCCACCCCACAACAGGCCCCAGTCTGTGATGTTCCCCTCCCTGTGTCCATGTGTCCTCATTGTTCAATTCCCACATATGAGTGAGAACATGCGGTGTTTGGTTTTTTGTCCTTGCGATAGTTTGCTGAGAATGATGATTTCCAGCTTCATCCATGTCCCTACAAAGGACATGAACTCATCACTTTTTATGGCTGCATGGTATTCCATGGTGTATATGTGCCACATTTTCTTAATCCAGTCTATCATTGTTGGACATTTGGGTTGGTTCCAAGTCTTTGCTATTGTGAATAGTACCGCAATAAACATACGTGTGCATGTGTCTTTATAGCAGCATGTTTTATAATCCTTTGGGTATATACCCAGTAATGGGATGGCTCGGTCAAATGGTATTTCTAGTTCTAGATCCCTGAGGAATCACCACACTGACTTCCACAATGGTTGCACTAGTTTCCAGTCCCACCAACAGTGTAAAAGTGTTCCTATTTCTCCACATCCTCTCCAGCACCTGTTGTTTCCTGACTTTTTAATGATTGCCATTCTAACTGGTGTGAGATGGTATCTCATTGTGGTTTTGATTTGCATTTCTCTGATGGCCATTTTTTCATGTGTCTTCTGGCTGCATAAATGTCTTCTTTTGAGAAGTGTCTGTTCATATCCCTCACCCACTTTTTGATGAGGTCGTTTTTTTCTTATAAATTTGTTTGAGTTTATTGTAGATTCTGGATATTAGCCCTTTGTCAGATGAGTAGATTGCAAAAATTTTCTCCCATTCTGTAGGTTGCCTGTTCACTCTGATGGTAGTTTCTTTTGCTGCGCAGAAGCTCCTGAGTTTAATTAGATCCCATTTGTCAATTTTGGCTTTTGTTGCCATTGCTTTTGGTGTTTTAGTCATGAAGTCCTTGCCCATGCCTATGTCCTGAATGGTATTGCCTAGGTTTTCTTCTAGGGTTTTTATGGTTTTAGGTCTAACATTTAAGTCTTTAATCCATCTTGAATTAATTTTTGTATAAGGTGTAAGGAAGGGATCCAGTTTCAGCTTTCTACATATGGCTAGCCAGTTTTCCCAGCACCATTTATTAAATAGGGAATCCTTTCCCCATTGCTTGTTTTTCTCAGGTTTGTCAAAGATCAGATAGTTGCAGATATGCAGAATTATTTCTGAGGGCTCTGTTCTGTTCCATTGGTCCATATCTCTGTTTTGGTACCAGTACCATGCTGTTTTGGTTACTGTAGCCTTGTAGTATAGCTTGAAGTCAAGTAGCATGATGCCTCCAGCTTTGTTCTTTTGGCTTAGGATTGACTTGGCAATGTGGGCTCTTTTTTGGTTCCATATGAACTTTAAAGTAGTTTTTTCCAATTCTGTGAAGAAAGTCATTGGTAGCTTGATGGGGATGGTATTGAATCTAAAAATTACCTTGGGCAGTATGGCCATTTTCATGATATTGATTCTTCCTACCTGTCAGCATGGAATGTTCCTCCATTTGTTTGTAGCCTCTTTTATTTCATTGAGCAGTGGTTTGTAGTTCTCCTTGAAGAGGTCCTTCACATCCCTTGTAAGTTGGATTCCTAGGTATTTTATTCTCTTTGAAGCAATGATGAATGGGAGTTCACTCATGATTTGGCTCTCTGTTTGTCTGTTATTGGTGTACAGGAGTGCTTCTGATTTTTGCACATTGATTTTGTATCCTGAGACTTTGCTGAAGTTGCCTATCAGCTTAAGGAGATTTTGGGCTGAGATGATGGGGTTTTCTAGATATACAATCATGTCATCTGCAAACAGGGACATGATTTCCTAATTGAATACCCTTTATTTCCTTCTCCTGCCTGATTGCCCTGGCCAGAATTTCCAACACTATGTTGAATAGGAGTGGTGAGAGAGGGCATCCCTGTCTTGTGCCAGTTTTCAAAGGGAATGCTTCCAGTTTTTGCCCTTTCAGTATGATATTGGCTGTAGGTTTGTCATAGATAGCTCTTATTATTTTGAGATATGTCACATCACTACCTAATTCATTGAGAGTTTTTAGCATGAAGTGTTGTTGAATTTTGTCAAAGGCCTTTTCTGCATCTATTGAGATAATCATATGGTTTTTGTCCTTGGTTCTGTTTATAGGCTGGATTACATTTATTGATTTGCATATGTTGAACCAGCCTTGCATCCCAGGGATGAAGCCCACTTGATCATGGTAGATAAGCTTTTTGATGTGCTGCTGGATTCGGTTTGCCAGTATTTTATTGAGGATTTTTGCATCAATGCTACACTTCTCTTCTCACTTCATTTCACTCATTTGATCTTCCATCGCTGATACCCTTTCTTCCAGTTGATTGACTCGGCTACTGAGGCTTGTGCATTCATCACATAGTTCTTGTGCCGTGGTTTTCAGCTCCATCAGGTCCTTTAAGTACTTCTCTGCATTGGTTATTCTAGTTAGCCATTTGTCTAATTTTTTTTCAAGGTTTTTAACTTCTTTGCCATGGGTTCAAACTTCCTCCTTTAGCTCAGAGTAGTTTGATCTTCTGAAGCCTTCTTCTCTCAACTCATCAAAGTCATTCTCCATCCAGCTTTGTTCCGTTGCTGGTGAGGAGCTGCCTTCCTTTGGAGGAGGAGAGGCGCTCTGATTTTTAGAGTTTCCGGTTTTTCTGCTCTGTTTTTTTCCCCACCTTTGTGGTTTTATCTACCTTTGGTCTTTGATGATGGTGACATACAGATGGGGTCTTGGTGTGGATGTCCTTTCTGTTTGTTAGTTTTCCTTCAAACAGTCAGGACCCTCAGCTGCAGGTCTGTTGGAGTTTGCTGGAGGTCCACTCCAGACCCTGTTTGCCTAGGTATCAGCAGCGGAGGCTGCAGAACAGCAGATATTGGTGAACAGCAAATGTTGCTGCCTGTTCGTTCCTCTGGAAGTTTAGTCTCAGAGGAGTACCCAGCCATGTGAGGTGTCCGTCTGCCCCTACTCTACGGTGCCTCCCAGTTAGGCTACGCGGGGGTCAGGGACCCACTTGAGGAGGCAGTCTGTCCATTCTGAGATCTCCAGCTGCATGCTGGGAGAACCAGTACTCTCTTCAAAGCTGTCAGACAGGGACATTTAAGTCTGTAGAGGTTTCTGCTGCCTTTTGTTTAGCTATGCCCTGGCCCCAGAGGTGGAGTCTACAGAGGCAGGCAGACCTCCTTGAGGTCCTGTGGGCTCCACCCAGTTCGAGCTTCCCGGCAGCTTTATTTACCTACTCAAGCCTTGGCAATGGCTGGTGCCCCTCCCCCAGCCTCACTGCCACCTTGCAGTTTGATCTCAGATTGCTGTGCTAGCAATGAGCGAGGCTCCGTGGGGGTAGGACCCTCCAAGCCATGCACGGGATATAATCTCCTGGTGTGCCATTTGCTAAGACTATTGGAAAAGTGCAGTATTAGGGTGGAAGTGACCCGATTTTCCAGGTGCTGTCTGTCTCCCCTTTCTTTGACTAGGAAAGGGAATTACCTGACCCCTTGTACTTTCCGGGTGAGGCAATGCCTCACCCTGCTTCAGCTCACGCTCAGTGCACTGCACCCACTGTCCTGCACCCACTGTCCGACACTCCCCAGTGAGATGAACCCGGTACCTCAGTTGGAAATGCAGAAATCACCTGTCTTCTGTGTCGCTCACGCTGGGAGCTGTAGACTGGAGCTGTTCCTATTCGGCCATCTTGGTTCCTCCCCGTGGCATTACACTTTCTATTTTGCTTTTAAAATATTTTATTTAAGTGCTTATTTTTGTTTAAGTCAATTAGTTAGAGCTCTTTTATATAAACATTACACACAACACTTATATAGCTACACAGAAAGACAGAAGACGATTACTACAGTAGTTGTAAGGTTTTTCATTTGCCAGTTTTTAAGTTTCTTAATTGGATTACTGGCTTTAGCGTGTAGCCCTTGGAAGAACAGGGCCAGGAAAGGGGTCTCTGGTGCCTCCTGTTTTTCCCAAGGAGTCTTGGCTGTTAGAGCTTGAACATCTGCTTTTAGCACGTTTTGATAAAGTCCTTTTAGTATTTCTTATGCCAAACCGCCAATATTTCTGGTTTTTGAATTTCTCCCAGGTGCTTAGAGAAAGGAAAATTTAAGACAGTCCATGGAGGAGAACATAATTGACAAACTTACACAACATTAAACCAGAAACGACTTACTTCCTAGGTGAGGAATACGAACTCGGACCACCACTGCGAAAGTCCCATACCTTAGCTAGTGAGCTACAGCTCACAGTAGTCTTCAGCTTCTTTCCCAGAAGGAGTCTAGAGCAGTTAATTTTGAGCTTGCAAAGGCTTTTAACTATTCAATATGGTTTTTAGAGCTAACTATGACATGAACCTAAAATTCCTGGTCCCTGAATGTGGAGACCAAACAAAAGTATGGCCACGTGGTTAAAAGGTCAAGCTCCCAAGGACATAAAACAACGTGAATACTTAATCTGGGTTTTTTGTTTGTTTGTTTCAGGGACCCGCAGCCAAGGTAGTTACTGACCAGCTTTCTGGATCATCTTGAAAAACAGGTTTACAGGTGTTCTAAGCCCATGTTTTATCCTGAAGTATCCCTCGACACAGAAAAACGAATTCATAGCACAAAACACACCAGCTTAAGACTAGTCTTAGAATTCTTTTTCACATTAATCAAAACTTTACAGAGGAGATAAACACTAGCTTGTTTCTTTAATTCATTCAACCATTTACACAGAGAAAGAGAAGCCAGAAATCTGACTGGTAAGAAATTCTTACCCTTTTGTCGGCATGCCAGGCTTCTGGGTTCCCTTTCCCTGAGCGGCCCTAGTGATCCGGCTTGTGGCACCATCGCCCTGGGGGCCAAGCTGCATCATAAAGGAAAATTATTTTTTTTCATTCTGGCTGGAGCAAACTACATGTGATAGAACATAGACATTAGCCACTCTGCTTAGCACCCAATATCAAACTGGCAAGGCTTAAATTTGCCCCCAGATGGGCTCCATCATCTTTAATCCAACCTCTGACTTGGAGTTTCAACACGTGGTCTCTGGGCAAGATGGTCACCCTGAATAATAGAAAAGATAAGAAAGGGGGCCGGGTGCAGTGGCTCATGCCAGTAATCCCAGCACTTTGGGAGGCCGAGGTGGGCAGATCACAAGGTCAAGAGATGGAGACCATCCTGGCCAACATGGTGAAAGCCCCGTCTCTACTAAAAAAAAAAAAAAAAAACTTAGCTGGGCATGGTGGCACGCACCTGTAGTCCCAGCTACTAGGGAGGCTGAGGCAGAAGAATCACTTGAACCCGGGAGGCAGAGGTTGCAATGAGCCAAGATCATGCCACTGCACTCCAGCCTAGCGACAGAGTGAGACTCCGTCAAATAAATAAATAAATAATAAGAAAGGGAAAGGGAAAGGAAAAGTAGAGAAGGAAAGTATTGCCTGTGGTAGGGTGGGGAAGGCAAAATGATCAGGGAGGCCAGAGAAAGACCCACCCATTGCAGCGACATTGAAAAGTTCAGGCGGCTACTGTCAGTCAGGCAGGGATCTTTTTCAAGCAGTCCCATCAGCTCTCAAGTTTCCCCTTTTGGAGGAGGAAAAAGCTCCCCATGTCCCTTAATCCTGCACATGCCTAATCCTGTCATCTACAGCCATCAGCAAAGAGTGCAAGGCAGATTAATCCAAAGAGAATAGCAGTTAACATCCTATAGTGCCGAACCTGTTCTTAGCTGAGAGGGACTTTACCAAGAGGGGCCTCTAACTCCCTAAATCTTAGAAGGGACTCTAACCCTCCTAAGTTGGGCCTGTAACCCAAGGTCAGTCAAGTGTCCTTGCCTTTTATTAAGAGGGGCCTCTAATCCACTCTGTCTTAGGAGAGACTATAACTCCCCTAAGTTGGGCCTCTAACCCAATCCCATCCTTTAGCCTGCTCCCCTGCCACTTACCCAAAGTCATCCAATCAGTGCTGCAGTCTATTTCCTTTGGATTGGGGAGGTTTCTTCAGTATTGTCCTTTTTGTGGTTCACGAGAAAGATGTTACCGGACCCCACCACTTACCCAAAGTTAGCCTTTGGGTTGGGGGTTTCCGCAGTATAATCACTTCGGTGGTCACCAGAGAGATGTTACAGGACCCCAACACTTACCCAAAGGTAGCCATTGGGTCAGGGTTTCTTCACTATAGTCCCTTCTGTGGTGGCCAGAAATATGTCCCAGGAAAGGGGACCCGACCCCATGTCCCAAGAGAGGGTTCTTGGATCTCACACAAGAAAGAATTTCAGGGCGAGTCCGCAGTGCAAAGTGAAAGCAAGTTTACTAAGAAAGTAAAGGAATAAAATAATGGCTACACCATAGACAGAGCAGCTGCACTTGTCTGATTAGTGGTTGTACTCATGTATATATGTTTCTGCACTTGTCTGATTCTGCCTAAAAACTTTCTCTTTACTTTAGAAGATCAGTTTATCAATTTCTCCAAAAAGAACACCCTCTGGGATTTTGATTGGAATTGCTTTGAATCTATAGCTCAATTTGGGGAAACTGTATCTTAAGCATATTGACTCTTTTGATTCATGAACAAGATATATCTCTTAATTTTATTTGGGTCTGAAATTTTCACTCAGCCATCTTTTGTACTTTTCAATATGTTATAGGTCTTGAATTTCCTTATTCAGATTCATCCCTTAGCAGTTAATATTCTTCGATACTATAATGCATACTATTAAAAATGCCAATCCAAGTTTGTATTGCTGATGCACAAAAATACAATTAAATTTTGTATATCGATTTTTAATTCTGCAACTCACTTGTTTCTAGTAACTGTTTTATAGATTCTATCAGATTTTCTACACGAAAGATTATGTTATCTATGAGTCATACAGTTTTACTTCTTCCTTTTCAATCTGGATGCCTTTTATTTCATTTCTTGTCTCATTGCACTAACTAGATTCACCAGGACAGTGCTGAAGAGAAGTGAGTAGGGCTGATATCCTGGCCCTTTTCCTTATCTGTGTGTGTGTGTGTGTGTGTGTGTGTGTGTATTATATATATATATAACATTGTGTGAAAAATTGATTCACACAATTATGAAGACTGGGTCCCACAGTCTGCCATTTACAAGCTAGCAGGAGACCAGAAACCAGTGATGTACTTCAATTCAGATCCGAAGGCCTGAGAACTAGGGAAGCAGATGGTGTAAATCCCAGCTTGAGGGCAGGAGATGTGGACTGAACATAAATATATGTGTGTAAACATGTATGTTTGTACGTGTGTGTGTGTAGGCTATGTGTATATCCTAAATGCAGTTCTGATGATTTCTATTTTATTTTATTGTGTTTCTTTAAAATGCTGTTCGTTGCTCATTACATTAAAGATGCAAATTACATTTCATCAACAACTATGTATTTTGTGGTAACCCTAGTGGCCCATATCAAATATGTCCTTTTTGTCTAAAAACAATGCATCTTTAAAGGTTCACATTAAACTTCAGATAACAGTGTTTGTTTTTCAAAAGGCAAGAGTTAGTTAATACAAACTAGACCTCAGGAAAAAGGATCAACAGGTACAGGTGCCCTCTTGTTCACTTGCCATCCTGTGTAAGGCTGTCCTTGGGCTGGGCCTGGGGTGCAGTTAAATGTCATGTATTTATGATCCCTCTTCCCTCTATTTATGAGGGAAGTGTGAGAGTTGTATTGGGCATGATAGTTAATTTGACCTCGAGCCTCAGGGACCCTTACTTTAGATGTCAAAAAGTTTAGGAAGGAAAAGTAAAAGAGCTGTGCAAGCCCCTTTCAATACTCAAGAAACCTTGTGGCTCCTAGTCAACAGAGGCAAGAAAACCTCAGCCTACGTAACACAAGCTGCATCCCTATGCATGTCCGTTGCTGGGCATGTCCATTATTGCGCATGTGCCTTGCTGTCTGCTGTCTGCTGTCTGCTGTCTGCGCTCAGAGCTCTGCCCTGAGAGGTGGTCCTCCTGTCCTCTTCATTCTTTCTCACTGACTGGGACTCAGCTGGTAGGTCCGCAGATCAGTCCTCCTGGGAATTTAGTTGTGAGTGAATGTGAAGGGGAGCCAGCGGGCTTTGGACAGGTCCTGCGGCACAGAAACCACAGTCCGTGGCTTCTGAGAGAAAAGGGCCTCGCCGTCGACGTCCGGCTCCTCCCAGGTCGCGACGCCCCATGGGCCTTTGTCGTCGTTTCTGGGCCAGGACGACGGAGGAAGGTGGACCGTAGAGGGGAGGAATCACGTGAAGATGGGGCGAGTGCTGGGCGTGCTGTTGGAGGTATCTGAGTGCCGAAAGGCCTGGAACCCTGAGAGGGAGGACAGATTCCCCAGTTCTTAACCGGGCAGTGGCAGGGCGAGGTGGGCAGTAAGGAAGGGGCCTGGAAACTAGGAACACTGCGGGCTGATAACCGCTGCCCCGAGGTCTGTAGAGCGCTCCACGGTGGCAGAGAGTGAGGAGCATGCCCTTCACTCGGCTTTGCAACTTCACACCTCCGCCACTGACATCTCGGGCAGGAATGGGAGAGGCTGTGCGTTCCAATAAAACTTGATTTTAGGGGGTAAATGGGCTGAGTAAATGAGAGTGGGGCAAAAGCAGTAGTCACTCCGGTTCCAATTCTCTACCTATATTTTCCTAGATATCTTCATGATGGAGAGTCTAATTGTGAAACCAAAACTCACAGAGAAGTCCTCTATCTTGCCATGAGCCTTGCCTGCTACCATAGCCATAACATTAATGACTTTGCAAGCAGCCATATTTGGCTAAATTAGATGATACCTAAAAATTTTTGAAAACATCTTAAAATTAAGTCCCAGGGTAATCGTGAGCTTGCATGCTTTCCAATTTAGCCATGGAAAAGGTCAAATGATACACTCTTATGTACATTTTCTGAATCACAGTATGCCACTTTCAGAGTGAAACATGAGTGGACATCAAAGAACAAGATCCAGATCTAGAGAAAGAAGAGATGATCAAGACTCTAATCATCCAGTAGGGGCTGTGGTTGTGAGTATTTTAACATTTGATATTTTCTATTAGAAACTTATTTTTGTGAAAATGTTGTTGAACTAATATTGATATATTAATAAGGTTTTCCATGCTTGTAAATGGTAATAATTGAATCTCGTGAAGTAAACATAGATTTGGATGTTTGCATTCTAATGTTGCCTGGATGGCTATGTTTTTATATTCCCCAGAAATATTCTCTATGGCTTCCTTCTCCTGCTTATTCATAACACATTGTATACATCAATTCCAGCCTGGATTCAAATAGCTTCCCAAGTTTTTAAGGGTAACTTTCTCTTGTAGTAACTATTAAGAATAAGTATATGTAGAATTGTGTAGGAAAAAAATGTCTTTAGACTTATTTATGGTAAGATATATTTGTATATTGAGTATATGTATATTATTGACATGCATTATTAATAACAGACCTTTTTATTTGCACACGCACTCATATTCCTAGGCCCAGGAGCTGCCCAGTAATGACCAGCTTCAACAAGAGGAACCACCAATTGAAAGTCAGGATTATACACCTGGTCAAGAGAGAGACGAGGGAGCACTGGACTTCCAAGGTGAAGCGTGGGAGAGGAAGAATGCCTATGAATGGAGGGGGTGTATGTATATATCATGTATTATGATATGGAAGTAAAAGGAGGAAAAAAGCAATAGAAAGAGATCTCAAACATTTCCTGAAAATTGGCTGGAAAAGTGAAGAAGGCATAGTTTACAGCCAAGGGCAGTCCCTTAGTATAATGCATTCGACCTTCAAGACTTACTTGTTATGCTTGCCAGAGCATTTCATTAGCAAATCCAGGGAAACTATGTTTAATTTTACTCCAAATTGTATACTATTTCACTAGTTAAACTTGATCTTAGAATATTGTCTGTCCTTCTTAGTAATTATATTAAAAGTTTAAGCAACTTTTAATAGCATGCGTAGAGTGCTAAGGCATTATACATATATTATAGATCACATATATATATTATATATATGTATATATATCTCATATCCACACTAATTCACACTTTGGATTAAACTAGCTTGCATCGAGATATAAATCTATATATGGTATGTGATATATATATTACATATATATATATATATATATATATATATATCATATGTAACACCTTGGATTAAATGAGCTTGCATAGAAATATAAATCCCACTTGATAAGTAAGAAAACTGAGACTCAGAGATTGTGTCTTACCAAAGGGCACTTCACTGGTGGAGAAATAATTTGTATATTATTCCAAAGTATGTATTCTTCTTACCATCTAGATTGCTGTAAGAAAAAGTGAATGATTTTGCTTAAACTGTTTAATACTAAAATGTCTATACTGTGAGATAGCTCAGTACTGGCATTGGAATAGACCCAATTCAGTGGAACAGAATGTGATTCCAGAGAATGACTCAATGAATGATAGCCACTGTTTACTTTGATTGAAATTTGTGTATGGAAAGTTTAGTTAATAGCTGAACAATTCAGGATATTGGCATATAGGTAGCTGGTTCAGTATAATTTTTAAGTGGTTTTAAAAGGTGGTTAAATCCTCTTATGGCTAGAAACATCAAAAGGTTATGTACCTACGATTATCATGAAACAATTAGTTCTTCCAGGTATGGCATTTTGGAGCAAAATATTTACATAGCTCAAGCCATAGATTATTTTAGCAATTCACTATTGAAAGAGTCCCAGAATTATGATGACAATAATACCCATTAAATTCTTTCCATTCCACTTCCCATTATTCTTGCTGGAAGTCAACGATTTTGCTGTATTCACAAATAATTTTGCTGTTGTTTTTACAACTTCATTATATATGGAATTCATTTATGGAAAGTAACATATAAGACCTTTGGACCTAAAAGTAACTTTATTTTAACAAAATAAGTTTCTTGTTACCCCAATAGGTTATGGGTGTCATGACTATAAGATATGTCATACGCTTACAAATCCATTCAGCTAATTCTTCATAAAATTATATTTTAAATGTAATTTAAATCTTATCCATGGTGTAAAGTTCTGATTTCCTGGATGGCTGATGTTTATTCCCCTTACAGCACTATGGTAAAATATAAGGACGGCACATGTTTTGTGGTTTGTCCTTATAATGTCATTTAAAATGGAGGTTTTTGTAATGCAGGAAAACAAATACATGAAGTCCAATCCATCTACAGCCATACCACCCTGAATGCACCCAGTCTTGTCTGAAGTCCAATCCTAGTTGCTGTTAATGTTGTCAAAAATAACTCTTGTCTTCCTGAACTCCAACATAGTTGTCATTTATTCTTTTTTATTTTTAATTTATGTTTTGTAAAAATATAAAATTTACAGAAAAGTTGCAAGATTATTATAATCAACTCATATGCTTTTCACCTAGATTAACTAATGTTTAGAGTTTTGCCACATTGATTTCATACCCACTATTCTATTATATAGCCATATTCTCTTGGATAACCCCTGTATGTTTATTAAATTTGGGGAATTCAACAATGAAAAATGCAGTTGTTTAATATATAGCTTATATTCAAATTTCCCCAGTTGTCCTAATAATTTCCCTTATAGTTTTTTTTCTGATTCCAGGATCATGCATTACATATAGTTGTCAATCCTATTTAATCTTTTTTAATCTGGACCAGTTCTTCACTCTTTCTTCGTCTTTCATGACACTGGTATTTTTTAAGAGAATGGACCAGTTGTTTTGCAGAGCGTTCATCAGTATAGGCTGTATTTTTAAATACTTTTTTTTCACTCAACACTTATTCACAGTGACTCATGCCATGCAATATGTAGGCTTTAGGGATGTAAATACTAATGAAAGAGATGATTTCAGCCTTGAGCTCACAATCTAGTTAGACAGACTCAAATGAATCACTAATTTGAAATGATAAGTACAATAACATATACCTACAGAGGGTTCAACTAATCTGTCTGGGGCAGTTGTGGGAAAAGAAAAGGGTGATAATATTTGGAAAATTTTGTTTTCTTTTTCTGGTAAGAGTCCTGAAATAATGTTCTTGAAATTCTTATGCATTGCGTGTATTACCACACTAGCCTATAGGCTTTTATTTCATAACATTGAGGGAGTGAATATTATCATTCTTTTATTTATATTTTATGTTTTACAACTTAAATTGGTAATGTTTTTTATTTTTAAGTGCTAGGCCTGGCAGCCTATCTCTGGGAACTGACTCGGTCAAAGACTGGGGGTGAACGTGGAGATGGTCCTAATGTCAAGGGAGAATTTCTGCCAAATCTGGAGCCTGTTAAAATACCAGAAGCAGGTAAGTTATTCATTAAAAATGCAAATTATGGGGTTTCTGTTTTCAAAAATACTATATATTTTATAATATAGAGGTACCACTACTGCTAATATAATTTAACAGAGTTCATATATAAAGATTCTTTGAAAGATAGTTCAGTCCCCAAAAGCCTGACTAATAAACAAGCACCATCATAGATCCTACCACATTGGGTCAAAGCCACATTCAATTATAAAATGTGAAGGTATTTTCTTACTTTTTAGTATCAGTTCCTAAACCAACAGCTAGTAATATCAGATACTTTTATAAAGGTCTGCTTTTAATAAATACCTAATGAATTTGTAACAGATATTCACTGTATGAAACATGCTGAGGCAATTAAGTAGGCTCTAATCCAAGCTCTAACAAAATTTCACTGACTTTGGGCAAATTCCTTATCTTCTAAACCCATATTTGCTCTTATAAAAATGGGTCAAAATCAAATATATTAAAATTTGAGTAATCAACTTAAGTACGTTTTACACATGTTTTTTCCAAACTTCTAGGCATTAGTTATATGAGCTTCTGAATTTAATATAAACACTTAGTGTTTAGGAAAGAAATTATCTTGCATTAGTCTACTGCTTTTGCTCTACATTCCTGATCCATTCCATTAGAATATTTAGATTAAAAATATTTTTCAGGCTATGTTCAGGAACCTATTCAACATATACTCATAGGAAGATCATTGCTTTAAATACATGTTATTAAAAAATAAAAATATAAAATTATATGAGCATTCAATATAAAAAATAAGAAAAAGGCACAAGATAAACATAAGGGAGAAGGAAAAATATACTTAATAAAAGACAGGTATAAGTCTTTATTTAAGGGAAATAATTCAACTAGTAAATAAAAGAGATTTTCAACATATCTATGAATAGAGGATCCCCTAGTTTACATAATGTTGAAGAAAATGGGCAAAGCTCAAGTATACACAATAAAAAATAGGAACAAGACAGGACAGATATTGAATGTGTAATATAATTAAAAGTGGATACATTCTTGAGCTCTAAACAATTTTCAAAATTTGATGCAATGTTTGATATGCTAGCAAAACATAAAATCATTTACTATACCACAGTAGTAAATGAATATTTAAACATCATAACATGGATGAACTTTTAAAACTTGCCAGAATTTTCCATCAAAAGTATTTATCATTTAGAAACAAAAAAAAAAGCTATTGTTTGTTTATTTGTATTTGGCTTTTCTAGATTCCTCAGTCTCTTCTCTTTCTCTCTCTCCTCCTCTCCCTCTCCTTCTGATCCCCGTTTTGCCAAATTGTGAGAATCATTACTATTTCTTTTTAACACTTCATCTATAATAATAATGGCTTGCAACCAGTGTGACGATATAATTTATTGGACAAACTGGAATATTTTTAACTGTGCAAAGAGGCATTATTGATAATTATACTAGAACCACAGGTGAAAACAGAGACAAATGGTTAACCTACTTAAAACAACCATATAAAGAGTAAACTAATCAAAAACATTTTAGCATTTTCCCATAACAGAAACAAAACAAATATAATACTAGCCTTTCTATTTATGCCACTTAAGCACTTTCAAATGTGTCATTACTGTTTGAGCTATCCTATATTCAAAACATTATTTCAAATTTCTTTTGTTTCCTAAGTTTTATGTTTGCTTATGTTTGGTTAGTTGGATTTTTTTTTTCTAAAATTACATGCAGTTTTTAGTTTCTAGTTAAAACTTTCTTTAAATAGGTTCATTTGATCAAATCATTTCGAACTCAAACTCTTTCTTATACACTAGAAAAATGAGTGGGATTTTAAAATATTGTTAATATACCTGAAAGCCTACCTTCAAAGTCTCTATAGCGGTTTAACTGGATATAAGCCAGAGGGTTACCTTGTTATAGTTCATTTCATAAAACCAAAACTATGCCTTTTTTCAACCCGTAGTGTCATCATAAAAAGTTCTGCTAAAAAATACTCTCAACTATTATGTTTATCTTATAGGTGAAGGGCAACCATCGGTTTAAATGAAGACAAGCTGAAACCATACATGCAGTCTTTATGTTGGAAACTTCACCAGTAAAATTCTCTCAATAAAGTTTCACAATTGTCTGCAAAGAAGTCTTGTGCAACTTATGTCAAACTAGGAATAATTAGGTGTTTCATGCTATTGAAAATTGTATCTTTTTTGAAAATTTATATTTTGTTTGAGCTGGTATATAGAGATATAATTTTATGTATTGATTTTTCTCTCCAGAAACCTTGCTAAATATGCTTATTAATTCCAAAAGTTTCTCTCTAGGTCCTTTTTGATTGTCAACATATACAATCATGCCATCTGTGAGTAATAATACTTTTCAGTCTGCCTTTTAAAGTATGTTACTCTTCATTTCCTTAATTCATTTTATGACATTGGACAGACTCATCCAGTACAATGTGGAATTGAACTGGTGATAGTGGACACCCTCATCTTATTCCTGATAAGAAATGGAAAATATTCAACATTTTACCATGATTTACTGTAGATTTTACTTGCAGATATGCTTTATCAGAAGTTCCTTCTATTTCTAGTTTCCTGAGAGTATTCTTCTTGGATATATGTTGACTTTCATCGACTGTGATTATCATAGGATTTGTTCCTCTATTTATTTATTACTGTGGTGAATACACTGAGTACATTTAACCAACATTGCATTTGTAGGGTAAACACAATTGGTTCTTGAAATGTTATCCTTTTTCAATAATCTATGTCCTAATATTTTATTTAGGGTATATGTATATATCTATATATATAATGAGTGAGATTAACTTACACTTTGATTTCATGTACTATCTTTGTTTGACTTTGGTATCAAGGTTATGCTAGCGTTTTAATGTGAATTGGAATGTAAAACTTTTTCCATTTGCTGGAAATAAAATCTCTACAAATTGTGAGTTGTGAAGGGCTAGGCTTTCCTATGCTCATCTGTTTCTGTATGGCTTCTGTCTCTTACAATTTTAAATTTTAGGACTTCAAAGGCAGTGACAGAAGGGGCAGCTCCAGGTTCCCATCCCTTCAAACCTTGTGAGGCACATCTTTTCTGAATGCTTAGATGCCTCTAATGATGCTGTCACTCTGAAAGCCACCTGCTCATGTTTTTATGCTGATACTTTTCTTAAAGTATATGCTTCTGAAAGTGTTGTGTAAGGAACTAACACAGTACATGATGACATTAGCCAGTAATAGGATACTTTCATAAAAATTTAATCAACATATTAATATAAAATTGTTTTACTTAAAAGTCCTTGTTCTTTCCTTGAAGGAAAGTTTCTCTTGTATCCCCTTCTGTTCTTTCTCAAAGTTAATTTAGAGATTGAGAAGGAGCAGTGTCAAATCTATTTTTTCCTCTGTAAAATTCTTTATTGGCCTGATATTCACCATATCTCACTAAGAAGCCTCCAAAGCTGCCTAATTCCAGCCTTGCACCCTTATTACTTTACACAATGACAGCAGGTTATAACTCTGAGCCCCATTCATATTCACACACATTTACAATTATACCAGAAAAGACCCTACCTAAAATCCACCTTGCTTAGGGAAAGACACAGGATTATAAATAGCAACTATTTCTGCTACTTGCAAGTTAAAAATATTTTCTTGATCCAAAAAGACTAAAAATCTATGGTTAAAATTTAAAAATGAGAAAAATGCAGGGTATATCAATTTTCACAAAATATGTGAGAGGTTCCTAGATGCTGGAGCTAACTGCAAAGATTAGAAGCTAGGTAGGAATGAAAGGGGTAGTAGCTGAGGCAAAATGTCTTGGTTCCTACCTACACTGTCCCTTTATAGGCTGTAGCATGAAATAGCCATGGTTTTTCATCCTGGCTCTGACGCAAACTGGCTGTGTGAAAGTGAGAAAGATACATCCTTTGGAACTGTTTTGCATTACTAAAATATAAATTACATTATTTACACTAAAGTATTACTATTATTAATAAGTGAGATAAAGCCAGGCATGGTGGCTCATGCCTATAACCTCAGCACTTTGGAAGGCCAAGGATTGCTTGAGCCCAGGAGTTTGAGACTAGCCTGGGCAACATAGCAAGACCTCATCGTTACTAAAAAAAAATAATAATAATAAATGAGTAAGATAACACATATGAAGTAGGCATTACAGTATAAATGGATTTGGTTCACTAGTTATAGTCCATTTTTTAATTAATTTTTTATTTCATTTACTTTTACAATTATATCTCTAGTAAGAGATACTGATTTTGAATTTCAGGTAATTATATTATATAACCGAAAGAATCTGAGCTCAGAAACTAGTTTGATTTAAGTAAACATTAAATAGCAGTGTAGTTGGTATCAGATATGGTATTGTATCTAAAGTTGGTTTGTAAATGACAGAGGCCTAGCAAAGGCCACCTTAGGTCATCGTATGTGCTGAAAACTGCTCCTTGCTGTATGTGATGCCAACGAAAATAAGTCAATATTCTGGTCATGCAATACCAGACAACTCAATATCAGTCTGTCTGTCAAGTGGTCAAGCAGTCCCTAAGCAGCCCTGTGGTGGTTAACTAGTGCCACAAGGATCACCACTGCAATTGTTAGGTTGGCTTCTCACACATTCATAGAGTCAGCTAGTAGGAAGACAATGAGTTCAAATAGATCCAAATAGTTTACTACTTACAGACAGCACAAGCAAGAAAAGCATTGTATCAGCTTTCTGCTTCCCTAGTCCCACAGTTTGACATCAAATCAGAGGCTCTCGGTAACAGTGCAGGTGGTGGGTCTCTCTGCCATTTAGAAGTCCATAACTACACTGTGGTAAGTCAGTAAGCAATTTTATACCCAGAACTGTACCCTAAGGTGGGGCAACAAGGAACATCTTGTGCTCAACTACTAGGGAGATGGATGAGTAATGATCTCATGTCAGCCACCAGCAAGATAGGAGGCAAGTGAGAAAATTCCTTGTGGCAGGGTCACCAAGGCACCAAGGCTGAGCCATTCCCCTGGTGTCTGGCATAAAACAAAAGACTATATGTATAGTGTTTATGAACATAACATTTCCAATACTGGTTCCACAATGGAGGGGATGCTTTCCCTGTCTGGGTCATTACAAAATATTAATTCAATAAATATGGCTTGATGCTTGCTATGTTTCAGGAAATTTCTGGAATGCTGGAAATGAAGAGACCAACAAAATGTGGTGCTTGTCATGGGTGACATCACATTCTTGTGGGACAGACATAAATAAACACAAAAGCAGTTGAAACACAAAGAATGAACAGGGGCAAGAAATCGAGCCAAAAATAAAAATAAAAATTTTAAAAGAGACTGGGGTTCCCTAAAAGCAGGAGAAAAGCACAAAAAGAAGACTCACTGTTAAAAGTGAAATGGATACACTGGACTTCCCATATCCACTGATCACTGGGTTCATATACTTGATTCTATTAATGTAAGGGTGAATGACAATTATAAACTAAAATTTGCCAGATGGGCAGTGTTGTTTTCATTTTAAAAAGTATTTCTTTTCATTTTAGCTACCAGTATAGGTGCTTAGTAGTAACATATTGCATTGATCTGCATTTCCCTAATAATTTATGATGCTGAGCATCTTTTTATGTGCCTATTAGCCATCCATGTCTTCTTTTGTGGTGTCTGTTCAAATCTTCAGCCAATTTTTTAATTGAGTTATTTTCATTTCTTATTGAGATTTGAGGGTACTTTTTATATTCTGGAAATGAGTACTTTATAAGAGATGTGTTTTGCAAATATTTTCTCCCCATATGTGATGTTTTGCAAACATCTTCTCCTGATATGTACCTTGTCTTTCTTTCTCCTAACCATGTATTTTGAAGAGCAGAAGATGTTTTTAGTTTTGAAGTACAAAGTACCTAGTTTTTCTTTAATGGATTTTTTTAATCCAAGAAATCTTTGCTTCACAGAAGGCCAAAAATATCTTCTGATATTTTTTTTTTTCCTAGAAGTTTTCCAGTTTTAGGTGTTATATTTAACTCTATGACACACACTAGGTTAACTATTGCATGTGGAATAAGGTTGGTTTTGTTTGTTTGCTTGTTTGTTTGTTTTTAGATGGAGTCTCCCTCTGTCGCCCAGGCTGGAGTGCCCTGGTGCAATCTGGGCTCACTGCAAGCTCCACCTGCCGGGTTCACACCATTCTCCTGCCTCAGCCTCCCGAGTAGCTGGGACTACAGGCGCCTGCCACCATGCCTGGCTAATTTTTTGTATTTTGTTTAGTAGATACGGGGTTTCACCATGTTAGCCAGGATGGTCTCGATCTCCTGACCTCGTGATCAGCCTGCCTCAGCCTCCCAAAGTGCTGGGATTACAGGAGTGAGCCACCGCGCCTGGCTGGAATAAGGTAGTTTTTTGTTTGTCCATTTTGTATTTTTTGTTTTATTGTTTTTGCTTCTAGACTCCTATTGTTAAAAAGATTCTCTCTCTCCATTGAATTGTTTTTGCACCTTTGTTGAAAGTCAGTTGATCATATATGCATGAGTCTATTTCTGGACTCTATTCTGGTCCATTTTTTTTTAACCAATACCACACTATTTTGATTACTGTAGTTTTACACTACGTCTTTAAATTAGGTAGCGTGAGTTCTTCAACATTATTCTTCAGAATCATTTTGGTTATTCTTGTTCTATTGTTTTTCCTATTTTCATTTTTCAAATAAAAATTGTATATATTTAAGGTGTACTAGATGTTTTGATATACATAGTGAAATGATTACTATAGTGAAGCAAATACCCACATCTATCTCCTCATATAGTTACCTTTTTGGGTTTTTCTGGTGTCAGCAAATTTTCATTGTACATAACAGTATTCATGCAATACATTATAGCTCTAGGCTTATTCATCCCACATAGCTGTGACTTCATACCATTTGAGCAACATCTCCATATTCCTCCCACCTCCCAGCCCCAGGTAATCATTGTTCTACTCTGCTTCCATGTATTCAACTTCTTTGGATTACACATATAATATGCAGTATTTTTCTTTCTGTGTCGGGCTTGTTTCACTTTACATAATACCCTTTAGGTTTATCCATATTGTCACAAATGGAAGAATATCCTTCTTCTCTAAGTCTGAATAACATTTCATTGTATATGCATTCCACAATTTCTTTATCCACTCAATGGATACTTCAATCTATTCCATATCTTGGATATTGTGAATAATGCTGCAATGAACATGTGAGTGCAGATATCCCTTCAAGGTACTGATTTCATTACCTTTGAGTATATAACCAGGAGAGCCATATAATCTGGAGCATATTTGGTAATTCTATATTTAATTGTTTAAAGATCTTTTATATTATTTTCCATAATGGCTTTACCAATTTACACTCCCAGTAACAGTGTACATGGGTTCGCTTTTCTCCACATCCTCAACAACACTTGTTATCTCTTGCCTTTTTGATAATAGCCATCCTAACAGATGTGAGGGAATATCACATTGTGGTTTTGATTTACATTTCCCTGATTAGTGCCACTGAGCAGTTTTTCCTATGTCTTCTTTGGGAAAATGTCTATTCAGGTCCATTGCCCATTTTTTAAAACAGGGTTACTTGTTTTCTTGCTATTGAGTAGCGTAATTTCCTTGTATATTTTGAATATTAACTTCTTATCAGACATATGGTTTACAGTATTTTATCCCATTCTGTAGGCTGCCTTTTCACTTTGTTGATTGTTTCCATTACTGTACAGAAGCTTTTTAGTTTGGTGTGGTCCCATTTAAATTTTTTTTCTTTTGTTGCCTATGTTTTTGGTAGCACATACAAAAATTACTGAAAAGGCCAGTGTCAAGGAGTTTATTCTCTTTGTTTTCTTCAAGGTGTTGTATTAAGTCTTAATGATTAAGTCTTTAATCCATTTTCATTTGATTTTTATGTATGGTATAAGGTAAGGACCCAATATTATTCTTTGGAATTTGGATATCCAGTTTTCTCAACCCCACTTATTAAAGAGAATATCCTTTCCTTATCATGTATTCTTGGTTTCCATATCAAAAATTAGTTTAACATATATGCCTAAATTTATTTCTGGGCTCTCTATTCTGTTTTATTGTCCTACGTGTGTTTTTATGCAAGTACCATACTGTCTTTACTAACATAGCATTGTACTGCAGTTTGAAATTGGGAAGTATAATGCCTTGAGCTTTGTTCTTTTTTCTCAAGAGTGCTTTGGTTATTTGGGGTCTTTTGTGGTTTCACATAAATGGCTATCAGTGGATTTCTCAGCTGAAATCTTGCAGGCCAGGTGAGAGTGGGATGATATATTCAAAGTGTTAACTGCCCCTCTCCACATGTAAACCAATAATACTTTATCTAGAAAAGTTGTTCTTCAGAAATGAGGGAGAAATATAGAATTTCCCAGGCAAACAAAAGCTGAAGGAGTCCATCGCCATTAGACCTGCCTTACAGGAAATGCTAAAGGGAGTTCTTCAAGCAGAAAGAAAATGATGCTAACTAGAAACATGAAAATATATAAAAGTATAAAACTTACTGGTAAAAGTAAGTACACAGTCAAATTCAGAATACTCTAACAATGTAATGGTGGTGTGTAAATCAATTATGTCTCTAGTATGGAGGTTAACATCAAAACTATTAAAAACAACTGTAACCACAAGAATTTGTTAAAAGATACACATTATAAAAAGAAGTAACTTGTGGCATGAAAGACACAAAATGGGCTGGGCACAGTGGCTCATGCCTGTAAACACAGCACTTTGGGAGGCCAAGGCAGGTGGATCACTTGAGATCAGGAGGTCAAGAGCAGCCTGGCCAATATGGCGAAACCCCGTCTCTACTAAAAATACAAAAATTAGCTGGGTGTGGTGGCACACCCCTGTAGTCTCAGCTACTCAAAAGGTTGAGGCATGAGAATCACCTGAACTTGTGAGGCAGAGGTTGCAGTGAGTTGAGTGAGCACCAGTGCTCCAGCCTGGGTGACAGAGCGAGACCCTGTCTCAAACAAACAAACAACACACACACACACACACACACACACACACACACACACACACACAATGGAGGAATGAGTAAAAGTGTAGAGTTTTTTAATGCCATCAAGATTAAGTTGTTATCAGCTTAAAACAGTCTTTTTTAAGTATTAGGTTGGTGCAAAAGCAATTGCTGTTTTTGCCATTTAATGGCAAACAAAAGCCTTAATGGCAAAACGTCATGGCAAAAACAGCAATCACTTTTGCACCAACCTAACATGTTTTATGTAAGCCTCATGGTAACCAAAAAGCGGAAGCCTGTAATAGGTATAAAAAATAGAGAAAGGAATCAAAGAATACTACAACAACAACAAAAAATCATCAAACCACAAAGGAAGGTAGCAAGAGAGAAAGAAAGGAAAAAAGAACCTACAAAACAATCAGAAAACAATCGACAAAATGGTAGTAGTAAGCTACATGTCTATGATTACTTTGACTGTGAATAGACTATATAAATCAAAAGAAATAGGGGCATAATGGATAAAAAGGAAGGCTCAACTACATGCTGTCTACAAGACACTTCAATTTTAAGGACACACATAGATTGAAAGTGAAGGGAATACTGTACAAAAATCAGTAGTTCTTCTATATGCTAACAGTAAACTATCCAAAACGAGAAATCAAGAGAATAATCTCATTTACAATAGCTGTAAAACAAAATTACTTAAGAATAAATTTAACCAAGGAGGTGAAATATCTCTACCCTGAAAACTATGAAACAATGATGAAACAAATAAACGAAGGCACAAATAAATTGAAAGATATTTCATGTTCGTGGATTGGAATAATTAAAAATATTAAAATATCAGGCCTGGTGCAGTGGCTCACGCCTGTAATCTCAGCACTTTGGGAGCCCGAGGCGGGCGGATCACGAGGTCAGGAGATCGAGACCATCCTGGCTAACATGGTGAAACCCCGTCTCTACTAAAAATACAAAAAATTAGCCAGGTGTGGTGGCATGTGCCTGTAGTTCCAGCTACTCGGGAGGCTGATGCAGGAGAATCGCTTGAACCCGTGAGGCGGAAGTTGCAGTGAGCAGAGATCACGCCACTGCATTCCAGCCTGGGTGACAGAGCAAGACTGTCTCAAAAAAAAAAAAAAAAAAAAAAAAAAAAATATATATATATATATATATATATATATATAAATGTCAGATTCAATGCAGTCCCTGTCAAAATTCCGGACTCTGTCTCAAAAAAAAAATTAAAATGTCAGATTCAGTGCAGTCCCTATCAAAATTCCAATGACAATTCTCACAGTAAAAGAAAAACTAACCACAAATTTGTATGAATCCACAAAAGACACCAAACATCCATAGAAATCTTGAGTGAATAGAAAAAAGCTAGAAGCATCACACTAACTGACTCTAAAATATCAATACATAATAAATCCATAGTAATCAAAACAGCGTGGTACTGGCATAGAAACAGTACCACATAGACCAATAGAACAGGATAGAAAACATAGAAATTACCTCATGCATTTATGGTTAATTTATCTCCTTTTATTAAATTTTGTTCTTTTTTAAATTTTTTAATTTCTAATTTTTGTGGGTACATAGTAGGTGTATATATAGGATACATGAGATGTTTTGACACAGACATGCAATGCATAATAATCACATCATGGAAAATGGAGTATCCATCCCCTCAAGCGTTCATTCTTTGTGTTATAAACAATCCAGTTATGCTCTTTTAGTTATTTTAAATGTACAATTAAATTATTATTGACTATAATCAACCTGTTGTGCTATCAATTACTAGATCTTATTCACTTTTTCCATTTTTTTGTACTCATTAACAATCCCCACCTTCCCCCTGACCTCTCCAATACTCTTCCCAGCCTGTGGTAACCATCATTCTGCTTTCTATCTCCATGAGTTTAAATTGTTTTGATTTTTAGATACCACAAATAAGTGATAGCGTGTGATGTTTGTCTTTCTGTGCCTGGTTTATTTCACCTAACATAATGACTGCTAGTTCCATCCATGTTGCTGCAAATCACTGGATCCCATTCTTTCTTATGCCTGAATAGTACTCAATTGTGTATAAATAACCACATTTTCTTTATCCATTCATCTGTTGATGAACACTTAGGTTGCTTCCAAATCTTGGCTATTGTGAACAGTGATGCAACAAACATAGGAGTGCAGATATTTGTTCAATATGTTTATTACCTTTCTGTGGGGTATATACCCAGCAGTGGGGTGGCTGGATTGTATGGTGTAGCTCTGTTTTAAATTTATTGAGGAACCTCCAAACTGTTCTCCATATGGTTGTACTAATTTATATTCCCACCAACAGTGTAAGAGGATTCCCTTTTCTCCACATCCCTGTCAGCACTTGTTATTGCCTGTCTTTTGGATAAAAGCCATTTTAACTGGGGTGAGATGACATCTCATTGTAGTTTTGATTTGCATTTCTCTGATGATCAATGATGTTAAGCACCTTTCCACATGCCTGTTTGCAATTTGTATGTCTTCTTTTGAGAAATGTCTATTCATAGCTCTTCACCATTTTTAATTAGATTATTAGATTTTTAGCTATAGAGTTGTTTTAGCTCTTTATATATTCTGGTTATTAATCCCATGTCATATGAGTAGCTTGCAACTATTTTCTCCCATTCTTTGTGTTGTCTCTTCCATTTGTTAGTTTTTTCCCTTGCTGTGCAGAAACGTTGTAATTTAATGTTATCCGTTTGTCCATGTTTGCTTTAGTTGCCTGTGCTTGTGGAATATTACTCAAGTTTTTGCCCAGACTAATGTCCTGGAGCGTTTCCCCAATGTATTCTTGTAGCATTTTCATAGTTTAACGTCTTAGATTTCAGACTTTAATCAATTTTGATTTGATTTTTGTATATAGCAAGAGATAGGGGTCTAGTCTGATTCTTCTGCATATGGATATCCAGTTTTCCCAGCACAATTTATTAAAGAGACTGTCATTTCCCCAGTGCATATTCTTGGAGTCTTTGTTGCAAATGAGTTAACTGTAGGTGTATGGATTTGTTTCTGGGGTCTCTATTCTGCTCCATTGATTTATATGTGTGTTTTTATGCCAGTACCATGCTGTTTTGGTTACTATAGCTCTGCAGTATAATTTGAAGTCAGGTAATGTGATTCCTCCAGTTTTGCTCTTTTTGCTTAGGATAGCTTTGGCTATTCTGGGTCCTTGTGGTTCCATATACATTTTAGAATTTTTTTTCTATTTCTGTGAAGAATGTCATTGGTATTTTGATAGGAATTGCATTGAATCTGTAGATTGCTTTGGATAGTAAGGACATTTTAGCAATATGGAGTGTTCTAAACCATGAACATGAAATACCTTTCCATTTTTCTATGTCCTCTTCAATTTCCTTCATTAGTATTTTATAGTTTTCATTATAGAGATATTTCACTTCTTTGGTTAAGTTAATTACTAGGTACTTTATTTTATTTGTGGCTATTGTAAATGGGATACCTTTCTTGATTTGTTTTACAGATTGCTCACTGTTGGCATACACAAGTGCTACTGATTATTCTATATTGACTTTATATCTTGCAACTTTACTGAATACTTTCATTAGTTCTAATAGTTTTTTGTGAGCCCTTAGGTTTTTCCAAATATAAGATCATATAATCTGCAAACAAGGATACTTTGACTCCTTCCTTTCCAATCTGGATGCCCTTGATTTCTTTCTCTTACCTGAATTGTTCTAGCTAGGATTTCCAGTGCTATGTTGAATAAAAATGGTGAAAGTGGGCATCCTTGTTGAAAGTGGGCATCCTTGTTATGTTCCATAAGGCTTTTAGTTTTTCCCTATTCACTGTGGTACTAGCTGTGAGTCTGTCACATATGGCTTTTATGATGTTGAGGTATATTTCTTCTATCCCTAGATTTATGAAGGTTTTTATTTATGAAGGAATGTTGAACCTTAAATGCTTTTTCAGCATCAATTGAAATGACTATATATATTTTTAAATTTTTATTCTAAGTTCTGGGGTACATGTGCAGGATGTGTAGGTTTGTTACTTAGGTAAACATGTGCCATGGTGGTTTGCTGCACCCATCAACCCATCACTTAGGTATTAAGGCCAGCATGCATCAGGTATTTTTTCTAATGCTCTCCCTCCCTCGATCCCACCCTGGGACAGGCCCAAGTGTGTGTTGTTCCCCTCCCTGTGTCCATGTGTTTTCATGTTCAGCTCCGACTTTTAAGTGAAAACATGCAGTGTTTGATTTTCTGTTCCTGAATTAGGTTGCTGAGGATAATGGCCTCCAGCTCCATCCATGTCCCTGCAAAGGACATGATCTCATTCCTTTCTATGGCTGCATAGTATTCTGTGGTGCATATGTACCACATTTTCTTTATCTAGTCTATCATTCATGGGCATTTGGGTTGATTCCATGTATTTGCTATTGTGAATAGTGCTGCAGTGTACATATGCATGCATGTATCTTTGTAATGGAATGATTTATATTCCTTTGGGTATATACTCAGTAATGGAATTGCTGGGTGAAATGGTATTTCTGGTTCTAGATCTTTGAGGAATTGCTACACCATCTTCCACAGTGGTTGAACTAATTTACACTCACACTAACAGTGTTAAAATGTTCCTATTTCTCTGCAACCTCGCTAGCATCTGTTGTTTCTTGACTTTTTAATAATCACCATTATGACTGGCATAAGATGGTATCTCACTGTGGTTTTGATTTGCATTTCTCTAATGATCAGTGATGTTGAGCTATTTTTCATGTTTGGCTGCATGAATGTCTTCTTTTGAGAAGTGTCTGTGTCCTTTGCCTACTTTTTAATGGGGTTGTTTTTTCTTGTAAATTTGTTTAAGTTACTTGTAGATTCTGAATATTAGACATTTGTCAGATGGGTAGATTGCAAAAAATTTCTCCCACTCTCTAGGTTGTCTGTTCACTCTGATGATAGTTTCTTTTGCTGTGCAAAAGCTCTTTAGTTTAATTAGATCCCATTTGTCAATTTTGGCTTTTGTTGCAGTTGCTTTTGGCAATTTCATCATGAAATCTTTGCCCATGCCTATGTCCTGAATGGTATTGCTGAGGTTTTCTTCTAAGGTTTTTATAATTTGGGATTTTACATTTAAGTCTTTAATCCATCTTGAATAATTTTCATATAAGGTGTAAGAAAGGGGACCAGTTTCAATTTTCTGCATATGGCTAGCCAGTTCTCTCAACACCATTTATTAAACAGGGAATCCTTTCCCCATTGTTTGTTTTTGTCAGGTTTGACAAAAATCAGTTTGTTGTAGATGTATAGTCCTATTTCTGAGTTCTCTATTCTGTTCCATCAGTCTATGTGTCTGTTTTTGTACCAATACCATGCTGTTTTGGTTACTATAGCCTTGTAGTATACTTTGAAGTCAGGTAGCATGACTGTCTTGGCTGTATGGGCTCTTATTTGGTTCCATATGAATTTTAAAGTAGTTTCTTCAAATTCTTCGAAGAATGTCAATGGTAGTTTAATGGGAACAGCATCGAATCTATAAATTACTTTGGGCAATATAGCCAGTTTCACAATGTTGATTCTTCCTATTCATGAGCATGGAATATTTTTCCATTTGTTTGTGTCCTCTCTAATTTCCTCGAGCAGTGGTTTGTAGTTCTCCTTGAGGAGGTCTTTCACTTCCCTTGTTAACTGTATTCCCAAGTATTTTATTCCTTTTCCAGCAATTTTGAATGGGGGTTCATTCATGATTTGGCTCTCTGCTTGCCTGTTGTTGGTGTATAGAAATCCTTGTGAATTTTGCATATTGATTTTGTATCCTCAGACTTTGCTGAAGTTGCTTATCAGCTGAAGAAGCTTTTGGGCTGAGATGATGGGGTTTTCTGTCATGTCATCTGCACACAAGACACAATTTGACTTTCTCTCTTCCTATTTGAATACTCTTTATTTCTTTCTCTTGCCTGAGTGCCCTAGTCAGAACGTTTAATATTATGTTGAATAGGAGTGGTGGGAGAGGTCATCCTTGTCTTGTGCCAGTTTTCAAGGGGAATGCTTCCAGCTTTGCCCATTCATTTTGATATTGGCTGTGGGTTTTTCATGTATCACTCTTATTATTTTGAGGCATGTTCCTTCATTACCTATTTTAATGAAAGCTTTTAACATGAAGGGATGTTGAATTTTATCAAGGCCTTTTCAGCCTCTATTGAGATAATCATGTGGTTCTTGTCTTTGGATCTGTTTATGTGATAAATTAGGTTTATTGATTTGGGTATGTTGAACCAGCCGCAATTGCATTCCAGGGATGAAGTCAATTTATTGGTGGCAGATAAGTTTTTGATGTGCTGGTAGATTCGTTTTGCCAGTATTTTATTAAGAATTTTTGCATCAATGTTCATTAGGGATATTGGCATGAAGTTTTCTATTTTTGTTGTATCTCTACCAAGTTTGTTATCAGGATGATGCTGGCCTCATAGAATGAATTAGGGAGGAGTGCGTCCATTTCAATTGTTTGGAATAATTTCAGAAGAAAAGGTATCAGCTCCTTTTTGTACTTCTGGTAGAATTCAGTTGTAAATCCACCTGGTCCTGGGCATTTTTTGGTTGCTAGGCAATTGACGACTGCCTCAATTTCAGAACTTGTTATTGGTCTATTCAGGGATTCAACTTCTATCTGGCTCAGTCTTGGGAGGGTGTATGTGTCCATGAATTTATCCATTTCTTCTAGATTTTCTAGTTTATTTGCATAGAGGTGTTTATAGTATTCTCTGAAGGTTGTTTGTATTTCTGTGGGGTCAGTGGTGATATCCCTTTATCACTTTTTATCGTGTCTATCTGATTCTTCTCTTTTTTCTTCTTCATTAGTCTAGGAGCAGTCTATATGTTTTATTAATTTTTTCAGGAAACTAGCTCCTGGATTCATCCATTTTTTTGAAGGGTTTTTCATGTCTTTTTCTCCTTCAGTTACACTCTGAGCTTGTTTATTTATTGTCTTCTGCTAGCTTTGGGGTTTGTTTGCTCTTGGTTTTCTAGTTCTTTTAGTTGTAATGGTAGGGTATCGATTTGAGATTTTTCTGGCTTTTCAATGTGGGCGTTCAGTGCTATAAATTTCCTTCTTACCACTACTTTAGCGGTGTCTCAGAGATTCTGGTACATTGTCTCTGTTCTCATTAATTTCAAAGAACTTCTTGTTTTCTGCCTTAATTTCATTATTTACCCAGAAGTCATTGAGGAGTATGTTGTTCAATTTCCATGTAGTTGTGTGGTCTTTGAGTTTCTTTTTTTTATTTTATTTTATTATTATTATACTTAAATTTTAGGGTACATGTGCACAATGTGCAGGTTTGTTACATACGTATACATGTGCCATGTTGGTGTGCTGCACCCATTAACTCGTCATTTAGCATTAGGTATATCTCCTAATGCTTCCCTCCCCCCTCCCCCCACCCCACAACAGTCCCCAGAGTGTGATGTTCCCCTTCCTGTGTCCATGTGTTCTCATTGTTCAATTCCCACCTATGAGTGAGAACATGCGGTGTTTGGTTTTTTGTCCTTGCGATAGGTTGCGGAGAATGATGGTTTCCAGTTTCATCCATGTCCCTACAAAGGACATGAACTCTTCATTTTTTATGGCTGCATAGTATTCCATGATGTATATGTGCCACATTTTCTCAATCCAGTCTATCGTTGTTGGACATTTGGGTTGGTTCCAAGTCTTTGCTATTGTGAATAGTGCCGCAATAAACATATGTGTGCATGTGTCTTTATAGCAGCATGACTTATAATCCTTTGGGTATATATCCAGTAATGGCATGGCTGGGTCAAATGGTATTTCTAGTTCTAGATCCTTGAGGAATCACCACACTGACTTCCACAATGGGTGAACTAGTTTCCAGTCCCACCAACAGTGTAAAAGTGTTCCTATTTCTCCACATCCTCTCCAGCACCTGTTGTTTCCTGACTTTTTAATGATTGCCATTCTAACTGGTGTGAGATAGTATCTCATTGTGGTTTTGATTTGCGTTTCTCTGATGGCCAGTGATGATGAGCATTTTTTCATGTGTCTTTTGGCTGCATAAATATCTTCTTTTGAGAAGTGTCTGCTCATATCCTTCGCCCACTTGTTGATGAGGTTGTTTGTTTTTTTCTTGTAAATTTGTTTGAGTTCATTGTAGATTCTGGATATTAGCCCTTTGTCAGATGAGTAGGTTGCGAAAATTTTCTCCCATTTTGTAGGTTGCCTGTTCACTCTGATGGTAGTTTCTTTTGCTGTGCAGAAGCTGTTTAGTTTAATTAGATCCCATTTGTCAATTTTGGCTTTTGTTGCCATTGCTTTTGGTGTTTTAGACATGAAGTCCTTGCCCATGCCTATGTCCTGAATGGTATTGCCTAGGTTTTCTTCTAGAGTTTTTATGGTTTTAGGTCTAACATTTAAGTCTTTAATCCATCTTGAATTAATTTTTGTATAAGGTGTAAGGAAGGGATTCAGTTTCAGCTTTCTACATATGGCTAGCCAGTTTTCCCAGCATCATTTATTAAATGGGGAAACCTTTCCCCATTGCTTGTTTTTCTCAGGTTTGTCAAAGATCAGATGGTTGTAGATATGCGGCATTATTTCTGAGGGCTCTGTTCTGTTCCATTGATCTATATCTCTGTTTTGATACCAGTACCATGCTGTTTTGGTTACTGTAGCCTTGTAGTATAGTTTGAAGTCAGGTAGTGTGATGCCTCCAGCTTTGTTCTTTTGGCTTAGGATTGACTTGGCGATGCGGGCTCTTTTTTGGTTCCATATGAACTTTAAAGTAGTTTTTTCCAATTCTGTGAAGAAAGTCGTTGATAGCTTGATGGGGATGGCATTGAATCTATAAATTACCTTGGGCAGTATGGCCATTTTCATGATATTGATTCTTCCTAGCCATGAGCATGGAATGTTCTTCCATTTGTTTGAATACTCTTTTATTTCATTGAGCAGTGGTTTATAGTTCTCCTTGAAGAGGTCCTTCATGTCCCTTGTAAGTTGGATTCCTAGGTACTTTATTCTCTTTGAAGCAATTGTGAATGGGAGTTCACTCAGGATTTGGCTCTCTGTTTGTCCGTTATTGGTGTATAGGAATGCTTGTGATTTTTGTACATTGATTTTGTATTCTGAGACTTTGCCGAAGTTGCTTATCAGCTTAAGGAGATTTTGGGCTGAGACAATGGGGTTTTCTAGATACACAATCATGTCGTCTGCAAACAGGGACAATTTGACTTCCTCTTTTCCTAATTGAATACCCTTTATTTCCTTCTCCTGCCTAATTACCCTGGCCAGAACTTCCAACACTATGTTGAACAGGAGTGGTGAGAGAGGGCATCCCTGTCTTGTGCCAGTTTTCAAAGGGAATGCTTCCAGTTTTTGCCCATTCAGTATGATATTGGCTGTGGGTTTGTCATAGATAGCTCTTATTATTTTGAGATACGTCTCATCAATACCTAATTTATTGAGAGTTTTTAGCATGAAGCGTTGTTGAATTTTGTCAAAGGCCTTTTCTGCATCTATTGAGATAATCATGTGTTTTTTGTCTCCGGTTCTGTTTATATGCTGTATTACATTTATTGATTTGCGTATGTTGAACCAGCCTTGCATCCCAGGGATGAAGCCCACTGGATCATGGTGGATAAGCTTTTTGATGTGCTGCTGGATTCGGTTTGCCAGTATTTTATTGAGGACTTTTGCATCAATGTTCATCAAGGATATTGGTCTAAAATTCTTTTTTTTGGTTGTGTCTCTGCCAGGCTTTGGTATCAGGATGATGCTGGCCTCATAAAATGAGTTAGGGAGGATTCCCTCTTTTTCTATTGATTGCAATAGCTTCAGAAGGAATGGTACCAGCTCCTCCTTGTACCTCTGGTAGAATTCGGCTGTGAATCCATCCGGTCCTGGACTTTTTTTGGTTGGTAAGCTATTGATTATTGCCACAATTTCAGAGCCTGTTATTGGTCTATTCAGAGAGTCAACTTCTTCCTGGTTTAGTTTTGGGAGGGTGTATGTATCGAGGAATTTCTCCATTTCTTCTAGATTTTCTAGTTTATTTGCATAGAGGTGTTTGTAGTATTCTCTGATGGTAGTTTGTGTTTCTGTGGAATTGGTGGTGATATCCCCTTTTATCATTTTTTATTGCGTCTATTTGATTCTTCTCTCTTTTCTTCCTTATTAGTCTTGGTAGCAGTCTATCGATTTTGTTGATCTTTTCAAAAAACCAGCTCCTGGATTCATCTTAGTGAAGCAAGTATGCTGTGCTTGGGGGAATCCCCCTTGTCCAGGCTGCCCTGACTCTTCAGAGTCAGCCAGCAGAAAAAATTAAGACCACTGATCCGTGATATTGCAGCCTTCCCTCCTCCTAAGGGTCCCTCTCAGGGATATCAGCTTTCTGTCCATAAACTCCTGGCTGGGATTGCTGGAATTCCCACAGGGAGGCCCTGCCCAATAAGAAGGAGTGGATCAGGGTCTCGCTTAAAGAAGCAGTCTGGCCACAAACTGACCCAACCACTGTGCTATGCTGTGGGGAATTGCCCCTGGTCCAAACTGCCCAGTCTCACCGGCCCTGGCAGCAGGGGAAAACGGCTGACTGGAGCCACAGTGATGGTGGCCCCCCTCCCCACTGGGAACTCAGTCTTCTTAGGCAGTTTCCAGCCTGCTGCACTGGTCGGTGGGAATTCCAAACCCGTGAGTTTTAGCTTGTGGAGTTCCATGGGAATTAGGCTGCTTGGCTTCCTCATAGGAATGGACTGATTTCCTGCCTCACTGGAGTTCCCAGAGCCAGAGTTTGCAAATACTTATGTACCTCAATGCTTGCTCGAGTGGCTGCCCACCCAACCACCACCTTGCATCTCCACAGCTCTGCACTTGGGCCCCAAGGCCCTGGTGGCATGTGCTCATGAGGGGACCTCCTGATCTGCGGGTTCCAAGGATCCATGGAAAAAGCATTGTTTTAAGGGACGGGTAGCACAATCCTTCACCACCACCGTTGGCCAGGGAAGGGAGATCACTTTGCTCTGTTCAGCTCCTAGATAGGCCCTTGCTCCACCCTGCTTTTCCTCACTCTTTGTAGACTGCAACAACCACCTAGGCAGTCCCATTGAGAGAACCTTGGTCCCTCAATTGAAGATGCAGAATTCACTCACCGTTTTTATTGTTCTTGGTGGGAGCCACAGAGCAGAGCTGATTCTCTTTGGCCATCTTTGCTGCTCCCCCTTCCAGATGATTTCTTATTGCTCATTAACATCTTTTTCTTTCTGATTGAAGTACTCTGTTTAGCATTTCTTGTAGGACATGTCTGGTGTTAATAAAAATCCCTCAGCTTTTGTTTGCCTGGGAAAGTATTTTTTCTTCATGTTTGAAGGATATTTTCACCAGATATACTATTCTAGGATAAAAGTTTTTCCTTTACCACTTTAAATACGTCATGTCACTCTCTCCTGGCCTGTAAGGTTTCCACTGAAAAGTCTGCTGCCAGACATATTGGAGCTCCATTGTATGTTATTTGTTTATTTTCTCTTCCTGCTTTTAGGATCCTTTCTTTGTCCTTGACCTTGGAGAGTTTGATTATTAAATGCCTTGAGGTAATATTCTTTGGGTAAATCTGCCTGGTGTTCTATAACCTTCTTGTATTTGGATATTGATACCTTTCTCTACTTTTGGGAAGTTCTTTGTTATTATCCCTTTCAATAAACTTTCTACCTCATCTCTTTCTCTACCTCTTCTTTAAGGCCAATAACTCTTAGGTTTGCCCTTTGAGGCTATTTTTAAAATCCTGTAGTTGTGCTTCATTCTTTTTTGTTCTTTTTTCTTGTCTCATCTAACTGTGTATTTTCCAATAGCCTGTCTTCAAGCTCACTAATTCTTCTGCTTGAGCCATTCTGCTATTAAAGGACTCTGATGCATTCTTCTGTATGTCAATTGCATTTTTCAGCTTGAGTATTTCTGCTTGATTCTTTTTAATTATTTCAATCTCTTTGTTAAATTTATCCGATAGAATTCTGAATTCCTTCTTTGTGTTTTCTTGAATTTCTTTTTTTCTCAACACAACTATTTCGAATTCTGTGTCTGAAAGGTCACATGTTTCTATTTCTCTAAAATTGGTCTTTGTTGCCTTATTTAGTTTATTTGGTGAGGTCATGTTTTCCTGGATGGCGTTGATGCTAGCAGATGTTCTTCTGTGTCTGGGCATTGAAGAGTTAGGTATTTATTGTAGCGTTCACTGTCTGGGCTTGTTTGCAACCATCCTTCTTGGGAAGGCTTTCCAGATATTCAAAAGTACTTGGGTGTTGTGATCAGCTAGCACCCTTTGAGGATGCCCTGCAGACCTGACTAGCACTTCCCAAAAGTGTTCCCTAGGATCTTCAGGCTTTTTATTCTTCCAGAATGTCATTGAACTTTTAAAAAGAACTTCCTTCTAAAAATTTATTTACTTACTTTTAATTAACACATAATAATTGCACATATTATGGGGTACATAGTGATGTTTTGACACATACAATATATAATAATCAGATGAACATCGTATACTCATCATAAATATTTATCATTTCTTTATGCTGGGAACATTCAATATCCTCTATCTATCTGAAAATATATAATATACCATTGTTATATTGAAGTCATCTTACAGTGCCATAAAACACTAGAACTAACTGAAATGTTATGTTCTTTAACAAATCTTTCTCTATCCCCACCTTTTTCCTACTCTTTCCAGCCTCTAATAACTTCTGTTCTGCTTTTTACTTCTATGAGAGGAACTTATTTTAGCCTCCACATGTGAGTGAGATCATGTGATCTCTGTACTCTGTGCCAGGCTCTTTGAATCAGACACATTTCTGGCCCTTAAGGAAAAATCAACAGAGTGAAAAGGCAACTTATGGAATGGGAAAAAATATTTGCAAATCATTTATCTGATAAAAGGTTAATATCTGAAGTGTATGAAGACTTCATACAACTCAATAGCAGAAAAACAATTTAGGAAAGGGCAAAGGACCTGAAAAGACATTTCTCAAAAGAAGACACACAAATGACAAATAAGTGTATGAGAAAATGCTCAACATCAGAAAAAATCTTCTAGACATTGGCTTAGGTAAAGAGTTCATGGCCAAGAACGAAAAAGCAAATGCAACAAAAACAAAAATAAATAGATAGGACCTAATTAAACTAAAATGCTTCTGCACAGCAAAAGAAATAATCAGCAGAGTAAACAGACAACCCACAGAATGGAAGAAAATGGTCACAAACTAAACATCTGACAAAGGACTAATATCTAGAATCTACAAGGAACTCAAATCAGCAAATAACAAACACTTGCATCAAAAAGTGGGCAAAGGACATGAATAGAAAATTCTCAAAAGAAGATATACAAATAGTTATAAAACACACATAAAAATGCTCAGCATCACTAATTATCATGGAAATACAAATTAAAACCATGAGATACCACCTTACTCCTGCAAGAATGGCCATAATTAAAAAACAAAAACATAATAGATTTTGGCATGGGTGTGGTGAAAAGGGAACAATTTTACACTGCTGGTGGGAATGTAAACTAGTACAACCACTATGGAAAACACTATGGAGAATCCTTAAGAACAAAAAATAGAACTACCATTTGGTACAGTAATCCCACTACTCAATATTTACCCAAAGGAAAATAAGTCTTTATGAAAAAGACAGTTGCACATGCATGTTTATAGTAGTACAATTCACAATTGCAAAAGTATGGAACCAGCCTAAATGCCCATCAACCAATGTGTAGATAAAGAAAAATGTGGTATATCTATACCATGGAATACTACTCAGCTATAAAATGGAATGAAATAATGAAATTCACAGCAACTTCGATGGAGTTAGAGAACTTTATTCTAAGTGAAGTAACTCAGTAATGGAAAACCAAATATCTTATGTTCTCACTTATAAGTGGGAGCTACACTATGAAGACACAAAGGCATAAGAATGATATAATGGACTCTGGGGGCTCGGAGGGTGAAAGGTAGGAGGGGGTAAGGGATAAAAGACTACACATTGGGCACAGTGTACACTGCCCAGGCGATTGGTACACCAACATCTCAGAAATCACCACTAAGGGGAAACCCCTGTAACCAAAAACCACCTGTTCCTGAAAAGCTATTGACCTATATTTAAAAAAAATATACAGCAGACCAACAGCTAGTATCATACTGAATGGGGAAAAACTGAAACCTGAAGTCGTTTCATCTAATATCTAGAACATGATGAGAATGCCCACTGTCACCATTGTTATTCAACATAGTACTGGAAGTACTAGCTAGAGCAATCTGACAGAAGAAGCATACAAAGGATATGCAAATTGAAAAGGAAGAAGTCAAATTATCTTTGTTTGCTGATAATATGAACTTATATTTGGAAAAACCTAAAGACTCCACAAGGAAACTATTAGAACTGATAAACAAATTCAGTAAAGTTGCATGATACAAAATAAACATACAAAAATCAGTAGCATTACTATATGCCAACAGTGAACAATGTGAAAAAGAAATTTTAAAAAGTATTTCCACTTACAGTAGCCACACGTAAAATTAAATACTAGGAATTAACCAAAAAAGTGAAAGATCTCTATAGTGAAAATTATAAAACACTGTTGAAGGAAATTGAAGAGGATATCAAAAAATGAAAAAAATATATTTTATGTACATGTATGAGGAGAATCAATATTGTTAAAAATGTCCATACTAACCAAAGCAATCTACAGATTCAATGCAATCCCTAGCAAAATACCAATGACATTCTTCAAAGAAATAGAAAAAACAATTCTAAAATTTATATACAACTACAAAAGACCCAGAATAGCCAAAGCTATCCTAAGAAAAAGAACAAAACTGGAGGAATCACATTACCTGACTTCAAATTATACCACAGAGCTATAGTAACCAAAACAGCATGGTACTGGCATAAAAACACACACATAGACCAATGGAACAGAATAGGGAATCCAGAAGCAAATCCACACATCTACAGTGGAGTCATTTTCAACAAAGTTCCCAAGAACATGCACTGGGAAAAAGACAGTCTCTTCAATAAGTTGTGCTGGGAAAACTGGATATCCATATGCAGAAAAAAATATGAAACTTATACCCCTATCTTTTGCCATATATAAAAATCGAATCAAAATGGATTAAAGACTTACAACTAAGACCTTAAAGTATGAAACTATTACAGGAAAACATAAGGAAATATCTCTAGGATATTGGTCTGGACAAAGATTTATTGAGCAATATCCCACAAGCACAGTAACCAAAGCAAACATGGACAAATGGGATCCCATCAAGTTAAAAAAATTTCTGCACAGTAAAGGATACAATCAATAAAGTGAGAAGACAACCCACAGAATGGGAGAAAACTAAATATTAGCAAACAACCCATCTGACAAGGGATTAATAACCATAATATACGAGGAACTCAAACAACTTTATGGGAAAACATCTAATAATCCAACCAAAAATGATTTGACTAGATATTTTTTAAAAGAAGACATACAAATGGCAAATAGGCACATGAAAAGGTGCTCGACATCATTGATCATCAGAGAAATGCAAATAAAAGGTACAATGAGTTATCATCTCACCCCACTTAAAATGGCTAATATCCAAAAGACAGGCAATAACAAATACTGGCAAGAATGTGAAGAAAAGGGAACCCTTATACACTGTTAGTGGGAATATACACTGGTACAAGTACTATGGAGAAGAGTTTGGAGGTTCCTCAAAAAAGTAAAAATAAGCCAGGTGCAGTGACTCACACCTGTAATCCCAGCACTTCGGGATGCTGAGGCAGGTGGATCACAAGGTCAGGAGTTCAAGATCAGCCTGGCCAAGATGGTGAAACCCTGTCTCTACTAAAAATACAAAAAAATTAGCTGGGCGTGGTGGTGGGCACCTGAAATCCCAGCTACTCAGGAAGCTGAGGCAGAGAATTGCTTAAACCCAGGAGGCGGAGGATGCAGTGAGCCAAGATCATGCCACTGCACTCCAGCCTAGGAGACAGAGTGAAACTCCATCAAAAAACAAACAAACAACAGCAACAAAAAAAACACTAAAAATGGAGCTACCATATGATCTAGCAATCCCACTGCTGGAAATATACCCAAAAGAAAGGAAACCAGTACATGGAAGGGATAGCTATACTTCCATGTTTGTTGCAGCATTGTTCACAATAGCTAAGATTTGGAAGTAATCTGTGTCCATCAACAGATAAATGGATTAAAAAATGTGGCCATCCAGGCAAGATGACTAAATAGGAATAGCTCTGGTCTGCAGCTCCCAGCAAGATCAATGGACCAACGCACAAGACGGGTGATTTCTGCATTTCCTACTGAGGTACCCAGCTCATCTCATTGGGACTGGTTAGACAATGGGTGCAGCCCAGCCCATGGAGGGCAAGCAGAATCAGGGTGGGGCATTGCCTCACCTGGGAAGCACAAGGGGTCAGGGAACTCCCTCCCCTAGCCAAGGGAAGCCACGAGGGACTGTGCTGTGAGGGACAGAGCTATCCGGCCCAGATACTATGCTTTTCCCACTGTCTTCACAACCCACAGACCAGGAGATTCCCTCGGGTGCCTACACCACCAGGGCCCTGGGTTTCAAGCACAAAGCTGGGCAGCCATTTGGGCAGACACCGAGCTAGCTGCAGGAGTTTTTTTTTGTACCCCAGTGGTGCCTGGAACACCAGCGAGACAGAACCGTTCACTCGCCTAGAAAGGGGGCTGAAGCTAGGGAGCTGAGTGGTCTTGCGCACTGGATCCCACCCCCTACAAAGACCAACAAGCTAAGATCCACTGGCTTGAAATTCTCGCTGCCAGCACAGCAGTCTGAAGTCGACCTGGGACACTTGAGCTTGGTTGGGAGAAGGGCGTCCATCATTACTGAGGCTTCAGTAGGCGGTTTTCCCATTACAGTGTAAACAAAGCCACCAGGAAGTTCGGACTGGGAAAAGCCCACCACAGTGGGGTGCAAAGCCCCTGTAGCCAGGCTGCCTCTCTAGATTCCTCCTGTCTGGGCAGGGCATCTCTGAAAGAAAGGCAGCAGCCCCAGTCGGGGGTTTATAGATAAAACTCCCATCTCCCTGGGACAGAGCACCTGAGGGAAGGGGTGGCTGTGGGCACAGCTTCAGCAGACTTAAACGTTCCTGTCTGCCTGCTCTGAAGAGAGCAGCAGATCTCCCAGCACAGCGCTGGAGCTCTGCTGAGGGACAGATGGCCTCCTCAAGTGGGTCCCTGACCCCCATGCCTCCTGACTGGGAGAGACCTCCCAGCAGGGGTCAAGAGACACCTCAAACAGGAGAGCAAACTAACACAGGAACAGAAAACCAAACACCACATGTTCTCACTCATAAGTGGGAGTTGAACAATGAGAACACATGGACACAGGGAGGGAAACATCACACACTGGGGCCTGTCGTGGGGTGGGGGACAAGGAGAGGGAGAGCATTAGGACAAATACCTAAGGCATGTGGGGCTTAAAACCTAGATGACGGGTTGATGGGTGCAACAAACCGCCATGGCACATGTATACCCATGTAACAAACCTGCACATTCTGCACATGTATCCCAGAACGTAAAGTATAATAAAAAAAAAAAAAAAAACAAGAAAGAAAATCAATTAAGCTAAAAGCTATTCCTTGGAAAGATTAATAAAATTAATAAAACTCCAGCTAGAGTAATTTCCTCAAAGAAACAAAAATCCTAGGGGTAATAAATTATCAATATCATAAATGTAATAGGGAAAGCATCTCAATAGACTTGACAGATATTGAACTATAATAAAGGGATAACACAAACACCTTTATGCCTATAAATTCAACAACTTCAATAAAATTTTAAAAATTCCTTAAAAGACACAGTATTATCAAGGCTCATAAGAAAAAATAACCTCAGAATACCCAGATCTATTAAATTATTTGAATCCATTTTTTTTAATTTCAAGTTTTATTTTAGATGCAACAGGTACATGTGCAGATTTGTTGCATGGGAATATTTCATGATGCTCAGATTTGGAGTATGGATTCTGTCACCTGGTAGTAAGCATAGTACCCAATACATACTTTTTTACATCCCACCCCACCCTTTTGTAGTCCACAGTGTCTATTGTTCCCATATTTATGACCATGTGAGTTCAATGCTTAGCTACCACTTATAAATAAGAACATGCAGTATTTGGTTTTCTGTTCTTGTGCTAATTTGCTTAGGATTATGGCCTCCAGATGCATCCATGTTGCTGTAAAGGTGGTATTTCATTCTTTTTACAGCTGCATAGTATTCCATGGTGTATATGTACCACATTTTCTTTATCCAATCTATCATTGAGGAGAACCTGGGTTGATTTCATGTCTTTGCTATTGTAAATAGTGCAGTGATGAATATATGAGTGCATGTGTTTTTTCAATATGATGATTTATTTTCTATAGGGTATATATCAAGTAATGGAATTCCTGGGTCAAATGGTAGTTCTGCTTTAAGTTCTTTGAGAAATCTTCAGACTGCTTTCCACAATGGATGGTCTAATTTACAGTCATACCAACATTGTATAAGCATTCTTTTTCTTTCAAAGCCTCACCAGCATCTGTTTGTTTTCAATTTTTTAAAAATAGCCATTCCAACTGGTGGAGATGGTATATCATTGTGGTTTTGATTTGCATTTCTTTGATGATTAGTAATGCTGAGCATTTTTTCATGTTTGTTGGTCACTTGTGTGTCTTCTTTTGATAAGTATCTGTTCATGTCCTTTGCCCATTTTTAATGGGATTGTTTGGTTTTTGTTTGTTGATTTCTTTAAGTTCCCTATAGATTCTGGATATTGGGCCCTTGTCAGATGCATAGTTTATAAATATCTTCTCTCATTCTGTAAGTTGACTATTTGCTCTGTTGATGTTTATTTTACTGTGCAAAAGATATTTAATTAGGTCCCACTCATCTATTTTTGTTTTTTGTTGCAATTGTTTTTGGAGGCTCAGCCAAAAATTCTTTGCAAAAACCAGTGTTGAGTATTTCCTAAGTTGTCTTCCAGGATTTTTATAGTTTCAGGTCTTACATTTAAATATTTAGTCCATTTTGAGTTAATTTTTGTATATGGTGAAAGATAGAAGTACAGCTTCAATATTCTGCATATGCCTAGTCAGTTATCCAAGCACTATTTATCAAATAAGGAGTCTTTTCCCCATTGCTTGTTTTTGTCGACTTTGTCAAAGATCAAATGGTTATAGGTGTGAGGCTATTTTACTGAGTTTTCTATTGTGTTCCATTAATGTATGTGTCTGTTTTTGTACAAGTACTATGCTGTTTTGGTTACTGTCACTTTATAGTATAGTTTGAAGTCAGTATAGTGTGATGTCTCTGGTTCTGTTCTTTTTGCTTAGAACTGTTTTGACTATTCAGGCTCTTTCTTGGTGCCACATGAATTTTAGAATGGTTTTTAAAAATTCTGTGAAGAATATCATTGATAGTTTGATAGCAGTAGCATTGAACCTGCAAATTGCTTTGGGAATTAAGGCCATTTTTACAATATTGATTCTTCCAATCCATGAGCATGGAATGTTTTTCCATTTATTTGTGGAAATTCATCTCTGATTTCTTTCAGCAGTGTTTTATAGTTTTCCTTGTTTAGTTGTATTCCTTGTATTAACTAACCTCCTTGGTTAGCTGTATTCCTAGGTATTTCATTTTCTTTGTGGCTATTGTTAGTGGGATTATGTTCTTGATTTCACTCTCAGCCTAGACGCTGGTGTATAGAAATGCTACTGATATTTTGTACATTGAATTTGTATCGTGAAACTTTACAAAAGTCACTTATGGATTCTAGGAGTGTTTTGGCAGAGTCTTTAGGATTTTCTTGGTATAGAATTATATTGTCACTGAAGATAACTAGTTTGACTTCTTTTTCTATTCAGATGCCTTTTCTTTCTCTTTCCTGATTGCTCTGGTTGGGACTTCCAGTATTTATGTTGAATAGGAGCAGAGAGAGTACGCATCCTTGTCTTGTTCCATTTCTCAAGGGGAACGTTTGAGCTTTTGCTCATTCAATATTATATTGGCTGTAGGGTTGTCATAGATTGCTCTTATTATTTTGAGATATGTTCCTTTGATGCCTAGTATATTGATAGAATTTTTATCATGAAGTGATATTGGATTTTATCAAACCTTTTTCTGCATCTATTGAGATGATCATATGGTTTTTGTTTTTAGTTCTGTTTGTGTAGTGAATCATATTTATTAATTTGCGTATGTTGAAACAGCCTTGCATTCCAGGAGTAAAGCCTACTTGATCATGGTATATTAACTTTTTGATGTGCTGCTGCATTTGATTTCCTAGTATTTTGTTGAGGATTTTTGCATCTATGCTCATGAGGGATAATGGTCTGAATTTCTCTTTTTTCATTGTGTCTCTGCAAAATTTTGGTATCAGGCTGATGCTGGCTTCATAGAATGAGTTATGGAGGAAACACTCCTCCTCCTCGATTTTTTTGGAATAGTTTCAGTAAGATTGGTATCAGTTCTTCTTTGTACATCTGGTAGAATGTAACTGTCCACGTGATCCAGAGCATTTTTTGGTTGGTAGGTTCTTTATTGCTGATTTCATTTCAAGAGTTGATATTTGTCTATTTAGGGTTTCAACCTCTTTCTGTGAATCCACATTTTTTGAAGTCCCAGCAAAATAATGCCAGGCATAAGTGGCTTCTGTTAAACCCCTAAAGAAGAAATATTGACAATTCATCCAAACTCTTCAAGAAAATGGAACAGACAAAAATATTTCCTGTGATGATTAATATAGAGTGTCAAATTGATTAGACTGAAGGATGCAAAGTATTGTTCTTGGGGGTGTCTGTGAGGGTATTGCCAAAGGACGTTAACATTTGAGTCAGTGGACTGAGAGAGGCAGACCCACCCTCAATCTGGGTGGGCACCATCTAATCAGCTGCCAGTGCAGCTAGAAAAAAAAAGCAGGCAGAAGAAGGTGGAAGGAGTGGACTTGCTGAGTCTCCCAGCCTTCATCTTTCTCCCGTGCTGAATGTTTCCTGCCCTTAAACATCAGACTTCAAGTTCTTCAGCTTTTATACTCAGATTTACACCAGTGGTTTGCCAGGGGCTCTTGGACCTTCAGCCACAGACTGAAGGCTGCACTGTTGGCTTTCCTACTTTTGAGGTTTTTGGACTCAGACTGGCTTCCTTGCTCCTCAGCTTGCAAATAGATGGCCTATTTTGGGGTTTTACCTTGTGACTGTGTGAGTCAATACTCTTTAATAAGCTTTCCTTCACATATACACCTATCCTGTTAGTTCTGTCCCTCTAGAAAACCCTAATATACTTCCCAACTAATTTTATGAATTCATCATTACTCTGATACAAAACAATATAAAGACATTACAAATAAATGAAACTACACACCAATATTTCTTATGAATACTCACACAAAAATTCTCAAAATATTGGCTAATTGAATTCAGTAATATATTAAAAATGCAAAAGTACAATGAGGAAATGAGGTTTATATTGAAAATTCAGGGTTCCTTCACATTTGCATGTTATATGATAATCTCAGTAAATGAGAAAAAAAGCATTTAATAAGATTCAACATCCATTAATATTAAAATCTCTCAACACCTAAAATGTGAAGAAAAATATATTTTTTTAAAACTGACAATACCAAGTACTACCTAGGATACAGTGCAACTAACACTCTTACACATTGCTTGTGGGAATGTAAAATGACAGAGACACTTTGGAAAACAGTTTGGCAATTTCTAATAAACTGTCTTAGTCCATTCAGGTTGCTATAACAAAATATCATAGAGTAGATGGCTTATAAACAACAGAAACTTACTTCTCACAGTTCTAGGGACTAGAAGTTTGAGATCAGGGTTCCAGGATATTAGAGTTCTGGTCAGAGCTTTCTTCTGAGTTTCAGACAGTTGACTTCTGACCATAAACTCAGATGGTGGAAAAAGGGTAACAGAGCTCTCTAGGGTCCCTTTTATATGGGCACTAATCCCATTCATGAGGGTCCCACCCTCAATACCTAATTACCTCCCAAATATCTCATCTTTTAATACCATCCCATTGAGATTTCAACATATGAATTCGGTGGGGACACATTCAATTCATTGCATAGACTTAAATATACATTGATTATATGATCTAGCAATCCCTCTCCTAGATATTTATTCAAAAAGGAGAAAAGTTATGTCTCCAAAAATCCCAGATAGATTGTGTTAGACCATTTTTGTTTTTGCCATAAATACTTGAGGCTGAGTTATTTATAATGAAAAGAGGTTTAATTAGCCCATAGTTCTGCAGGCTGCACAGGAAGCATGGTGCTCGCATCTGCTTCTGGGGAGGGCTCAGGAAGCTTATAATCATGTTGGAAGGCAAAGAAGGAACAGGCATATCACATGGCAAGAGGGAGCAAGAGAACAAAGTGGGGAGAACCTGGACTGTTAAATAACCAGATCTTGTGTGAACTAAATGAGTGAGAACTTGCTTATCACCAAGGGAATGGTGTTAAACCATTCATGAGGCATCTGCCCCAATGATCTAATCACCTCCCACCAGGGCCCACCTCCAACGCTGGGAATCACATTTCAACATGAGATTTAGAGGGGATAAACATCAAAACCATATCATTCCTCCTCTAGCCCCCCAAATTTCATGTCCTTCTCACATTTCAAAATATAATCATGCCTTCACAATAGTCTCCCAAAGTCTTCACTCATTCCAGCATTAGCTCAAAAGTCCCAAGTACCAAGTTTCATCTGGAGATGAGTTCCTTCCACCTATGAGCCTGTGAGATAAAAAACAATTTATTTACTCCCAAGATACAATGGTGGTACCAGGCATTGGGTATACATTCCCATACCAAAATGGGGAAATGGGACAAAAAAGGGGGCTACAGGCCCCAAGTAAGTCTGAAACCCAGCAGGGCAGTCATTAAATCTCAAAGCTCCAAAATAACCTTCTTCGACTCCATGTCCAGCATCCAGGACACACTGGTGCAAGTGGTGGGCTCCCAAAGACTAAGATAGCTCCACCCCTGTGGCTTGCAGGTTGCAGCCCCTGTGGCTATGTTAATGGGTTGGAGTTGAGTGCCTGCAGCTTTTTCAGGCTCAGCATGCAAACTGCTGGTAGCTCTACCATTCTGGGGTCTGGAGGGTGGCAGTCTCCTTTACAGAACTCCACTAGGCAGCTCCCTGGTGGGGACTCTGTGAGGGGAGGACTCTAACCCCGTATTTCTCCTCAGCACTACCCTAGTAGATTTCTGTGAGGGCTCTGTTTCTGTGGCAGGCTTCTGTCCAGGCAGCCAGACTTTCTTGTACATCCTCTGAAATTGAGAGGGAAGCTGTCAAGCTTCCTTCACTCTTGCATCCTGTGTACCCACAGACTTAACACCACATAGAAACCGCCAAGGCTTATGGCACTTTGTGCTCTTCAAAACAGTGGCCTGAGCAGTATCTGAGGCCCTTTTCACTGAGGCTGGAGCTGGAGCAGCCAGGATGCGGGAAGCAGTGTCCCGAAGCTGCACAGGGCAGCAGGACCCTGGGCCTGGCCGATAAATCATTCTTTCCTTCTAGGTCTCTGGGCCTGTGATGGCAGGAGCTGTCTCCAAGATCTCTGAAATGCCTTCAAGGCCTTTCACCACGGTCTTGGATATTAGCACTTGGCTCCCTTTTAGCTATGCTAACCTCTCTAGCAAGTGGCTGCTAGAGAGAACACTGGCTTGTGTTCTCTCCTGAAAAATGCTCTTTCCTCTTTTACCACAAGGCCAGGCTGTAAATTTTCCAAATTTTTATGCTCTATTTCCCTTTTAAGTATAAGTTCCAACTTTAAGCCATTTATTTGCTTTTGTATCTGATCATACATTGATAGAGGCAGCCAGGCCACATATTGAACACTTGGCTGCTTAGAAATTTCTTCCACCAGATACCCTAAGTCATCACTTTTAAGTTCAAACTTCCACAAATCCCTATAGCATAGACACAATGCAGCCAAGTTTTTTGCTAGGGTGTAACAAGGGTGGCCTTTGATCCACTTCCCAATAACGTCCTCATTTTCATCTGAGACGTTATCAGCCTGGCCTTCACTGTCCATATTTCTATCAGCATTTTGGTCACAACCACTTAACAAATCTCTAAGAAGTTCTGAATGTTCCCTTGTCCTCCTGTCTTCTTCTGAGACCTACAAACACTTCCAACCTCTGCCCATTACCCAGTTCCAAAGCCACTTCTACATTTTCAGTTATCTTTATAGCAATGCCCCACTCCTCCCCAATTTTCTGTGTTAGGCCATTTTTACATTGCTATAAAGAAATGCCTGAGGCTGGGTAATTTATAAAGGAAGGAGGTTTAATTCGCCCATGGTTCTGCAGGCTATACAGAAAGCCTGGCGCCCACATCTGCTTCTAGGGAGGTCTCGGGAAGCTTACAACCATGGCAGAAGGCAAAGAGGGAGCAGGCATAACACATGGTAAGCAGCATCAATAGAGTGAAAGGGACCTCCCAGACTTTTAAACAATCATATCTCATGTGAACTGAACAAGAACTCACTTATCACCAAGGGGATGGTGCTAAACAATTCAGGAGGGATCTGCCTCCATGATCCAATCACCTCCCATCATAGCCCATCTCCAACACTGGGAATCACATTTCAACATGAGATTTGGAGGAGACAAATATTCAAACCACCTTATAGATCTTTACAGTGGTTTTATCTCCAAGAAAGGAAAACAAATAAAATGTCCTTCAATTTGTCCTTTAATCAAACAGTGTTAAATCCATACAGAGAAATACTGTTTATCAATAAAGGGGAACAAAGTACCGATAGACAGCATGAATGAATCTCATGCTGGATAGTGAAAAGTAAAAGAAAGAAAAGTAAAAGAAGCCAGATGTGAAAAATTAAATACTCTATGATTTTATTTCTATGAAATTCTACAAAAGGCCAAACTATAGTGTTGGAGAACAGATCAGTGGTTGCCAGTGGATAGAGACAGAGAAAGAAGGTGACTAAAAAAGGGCAGAAGACAACATTTTGGAATGATAGAACTATCCTAGAGCTTGATCGTGATAGTACTTATATACTGCATGCATTTGTCAAAACTCAAACTGTAGAACTAAAGAGTGAATTTTTCTGTAATTGAATTATGCCTCAATACTAAAAATAATGTCATATAGTAAACTGAGGCACTACAAAGTAATTCAGATGTGACCCAGCTAATTGAACTATTGCACATCAAAGCATCTCATGCCAGCAAATCCAAGGTATGCTTGGAGCCACACAGTCTTTTTTCTGGAACAGCTAAGAGTGTTGGATGATATGTTCAGGAAGACAGCATACCTCAATTGGGTTACCTTGGAGGGACAGGCTTCAGTCTTCAAAGCTGAGGAGTCATTGGTAAAGGTTTGGCTTAAGAACTGTTGAATTAAGTGAAAAAAGCAGCGGTGGAAAATTAAGCAATGGCTGTTACCAGTACCACCAAAGCAGACTTTTTGTGAAGGAGGAGTCCCCCTTACACACAACTGCAGCAAACTCTCATCCTGTGAATCTTGGAATTTTAGGTGCCTATGACCCTGATCGATCTGAGCTGTCTGGTACCAAGCAACATGGAGGGGCTGCTGCCTCATCATTGGATTCTTAGCCTCATGTTGCCCCACAGACACATATGGTAATCTCTGGTCCTCCTGAGGTTTTGTTTCCCTATGTCATAGACTAATTTGTATAATCACATCCCTCACCCAGAGAAGATGATCCTAGCAGCTGAAATAAATATCTCTTAGACCTCAAGGATCCCTGGCTGACGGAGGTCGGGGGCTGGCATCCATCTTCAGTATGGCTTCTGACCCAGCCACACAGTTCCTCACAAAAGTCTATGATCCAAAGCTTGAGCAACAGAAAAACATTTTCAATCACCTTTAATGGGTAGACTTCAGAATAAATAGACCAGACTTTATGGGTTTATCTTTCTCTGTGGAGAAAACAATGATCTCTCCATCTTTACTCATTGCCCAAGTTTTCTGTCTTCGAGTGCCTCCACACCCAAATTTCTGAATCAAAGACAGTCATCAGATGACTTGGAGAGAATAGCAGAAATCAGTTTTCCCTGAGTTTCAGCATGCCCCAAATTGAACTTACTTAGTTCATTCAAAGCACTCCAACCAAAGTCAGTACAACTTAAGAATCCCTGCTCCCCATGGGCTTTTATCCTTCTCAAAAAAAAATTTAGGTTGTTGTCAAAGTTGGTGGCAGGGGGTGGCAGTGCTTGCAAGTCTATGGGCAACATACAAGTCCAGTGCTGTGTACATCCTTCCATAGAAGAGGGAAAAAATGAGTATCCAATATGTTTTAGGAAGTTGCCTTCACTTTGGTATCAACAGGAGAGCTCAATTGGTTAAGCTGTATACTTTTATTTCAGCTATCAATTAAGAAAAAGTCGTTTTAAAAGTCTCTTAGAAATTAGGTAGCAAATAAAAAAGCATTCAATGAAAGACAAAAGTGAAACAATTTTAAAAGTTTTAATAAAGGTGATATAGATGTAGATTAAGAAAATCTCTGGATACTGAGAACAGAGAAAGAGGCAAAAGAAATTATCATGGAAATAATGCAAAGAAGGCCGGGTGCGGTGGCTCACGCCTGTAATCCCAGCACTTTGGGAGGCCGAGGCGGGTGGATCATGAGGTCAGGAGTTCGAGACCAGCCTGGCCAAGATGGTGAAACCCCGTCTCTACTAAAAATACGGGCACAGTGGCGGGCACCTATAATCCCAGTTACTTGGGAGGCTGAGGCAGGAGAATCGCTTGAACCCGGGAGGCGGAGGTTGCAGTGAGCTGAGATCATGCCACTGCACTCCAGCCTGGGCGACAGAGTGAGACTCTGTCTCAAAAAAAAAAAAAAAATTCCTATGATCATCTGAATAGATGCACTACAAGTGTTTGATAAAATTCAACATATACTGAAGATAACTACTCTTAGCAAACCAGGAATAGAACTTCCTTACTCTGATAAACTGCACCTACAAGAAAAGTACAGTAAACATTAAGGTGAAATGTGGAAAATGATCTGTTTCTGATCAGAAACAAGACAAGAATGTCTACAACCACCAACTGTATTCAAATTATACTGGGAAATTCTGTCCACTACCATGAATGAGAAAAGTAAATAAAAGGAATAATGTTAAAAATGGCAAAGAAACCTGTTATTATTAAAAGATTATACAATTGTGTCTGTTAAAAATCCAAAAGGATATAGAGGTAAACTTTTGGAATTAATAAGCATAGTTAGAAAGGTTGCAGGATAGAAAATCAATGTACCAACATGTTCTCTCTATATACCATCTCAAACACAGGATTTAAATTTTCATAAAAGATACAATTCTCAAGAGTATTAAAAATCTAGAAATAAATTTAACAAAAAAGTGCAGAAGTCTTTGCAGAAAACTGTAAAACTTTATTAAGAGAATGTTAGCAGTCAAATTTCCAGCATAAGAACAATATTCTTGGTTTCAGTCTTCATTTGTCTTGGTTTAAACCTATAGTTGCCCTTCACCTATAATATAAATATAAAATTAGAGCACGTTATTCAGCAGATTTCTATTTAGATGACACTAGAAGTATACAACTACAGTGTTGATTAACTAAAATCAGAACCCTGAGGGTGTCCCTTTAGCTTACATCCAGTTAGCCTCTGAATAAACTCAGAAGGTAGACTTCCAGGCATATTAACAATATTTTTAATTCATGCCACTTTTTCTAGTAGAATAACAAAGACACTGTTCGAGTACAGAATGAATTAAATCAAGTGAATCTATTTTATATGTGTAAGTGGAAAGTAAAAATATGCCTATACTTTTAGTAAAAATTCAACCAAACAAAAACCTAAGGAAAAAAATATATTTTTAAAGTATCATTTAAATTTTTTGATATGAAATAACACTCTGAATATAGAATATGTTTAGAACTGCCTAAGTGCAGGAAATAGAAAAGTCAGTATTACTTTTGTGTATCTTGTGAAAAAGTGTTAAAATGTTACTTTGGACTAGTTTAGACATTATGTAGTTGCTTTAAGTAGTGAACATTTGTCACTATTTTCATTGGTACTCCTGCCTCTCAACATGCTTAAAAGCATTTCAGTTTATACAGTAAACTGAAAACCCCCACGCTAGCTTTAAGACATTACCAGCACAATTAACATTACAACATAAACTGATGCTTATCATAAACATGTTATGTATTTGTTAAAAAACAGTCCTCTGTAAAAATACCTGAAAATTATTGGCTGTTGGTTACATGACTTACATTTAAAAGTTAGAAAACCTTTTCTTATCTTTCTTTTAAAAATGACACATGAAATCATATATATTTATCATGTAAAACATGATGTTTTAAAATATACATACATTGTAAAACGGCTCAACCTAATTAATATATGCATTATTTCATATAGCTGTGAAGACACTCAAAATCTACTCTCTTAGCATGTTTCATATCTTTCATATCGTAACTCAATTAGCTTTGACCCAATTTATTCTATCTCTTGAAGTTCTGGCCTCAAGTGGTCTTTCTGCCTCGGCTTCCCAAAGTGCTGGAATTAACAGCATGAGCCACCACACCTGGCCTTCTATCTCTGATAGTGTGTAAGGCAGCCATTTGGGGTCTGAACTACCTTCAAAGAATCTTTAGATGTGAAGTATGATATTAAAGTAGCAGTAATTTTACCTCTGTGTCACACAAAATACAATATTGTGAAAATAGAAACCCTATAATTTGCATCTTATTGAATAACATACCTGCTTCCAGCACTTTAGTGGGATCAAAAGTGGGCAGAGTCCCCTCCCTGACATCAGGACCATCTCCAGGTGCATCCTCTATCTTAAGCAGAGCCAGTTCCTGTTGAAAAGCTTCCACATCAGTCCCTTAAAGATAAAAAGTCGTCAATTTACGAATTAAAATATGAACTATGAACGAGGTAATAATATTTATTCCCTCATCATTGTGAAATAAAAACCTGTAGGCTAATTATTTCAGAAGTCTGTTGCCAGAAAAGCAGGAAAGCAGAAATGTTCAAACATTGCCCTTTCCTTTCCCAAGGCTGGCCCTAGACAACTTACTTGTTCCTTTTGTACTCATTTGTTCTTATTCTTATCACATTAAATCAGTGATTTGTTTGAGTCAGTCTGACTAGACTATGAGCTTTAGGCAAAAATTTGGCACTGACATCTCCGGCGCTTAGTATATTACACAGCATGAGGAAGCATTAATAAATGTGTTAAAAAGTATCTTATAAAAATACATGAGAGATGTCCGCAGATGGCAGACTAGGAAGCTGCAAGCTGCCATTCTTCCACAGAAGCATAAAACAAAACAAAACAAAACAAAAAACAGAAAATAGCTGAACAAACCATACAGGAACTCTGGAAAACACTCAAAGGTTTACGGCAACCATGCAAATACCCAATCAATAAAAAGCCTCCGTCAAAATGGTAGGAAAGTTTGTGGCTTTTTATGTGTCCTTGTCCCACCCCTCCGCACAGCAGCAGTAAGAAATGTTTAAGATTCCTTCCTAATGTTTTCTGTCCTCCTGTTACTGGTATGTCACAAAATATAATGCATAAATAGACCTCCACCACCCATAAGCATTATTCTCCACTCTCCCTTCACCTTGAACAGCAGGTGCTCCTTCATTTTTGATCTCCCCACTAGGTGCAATACCCTGATTATCAGTTGGTGGTTCCTCTTCTTGACGTTTTTCCTCAGTGGGCTGCTGGACCTAAGGGTGTAAGTGTGTGTGCGAATAAAAAGTCAATAATATAAACACACAAATGCATATGTGCATCGAATCATAAATCTAAAGACATTTTCCAATAGATATATATATAGAGAGAGAGTAAAATATCCATATCCATAAGGCAACACCAGAATATAATATTCCTGAACCAAAGTTGCCTTCATGAGATGCCATCATCATTTTTTATTAGCATGGAACACCTGTATCAGTGCATGTACACTCGCTCAAAAATATTTTTTAAAATAAAATGTGTTAATAGAAAACATCAAATGCTAAAGGACTCACAATCACAGGTCCAACTGGCTGGGAAGACTCTTGGTCATTTCCTCTTTCTGAGGATTGGGATCTTGTTACATGCTCACTCATATCTCTCACTGAAAACAAAATATTGTTATTTGGAAAAAGTGTGTAAGAACTTAGCTATATATATGAACATTCCATGGCAAAATGGTGATTTGTACTTTTTTAATTTTGAAAATATTTTCAAACTAAGTCACAGAGCATTGATAAGTACGCATGCTTTCCAATCAAACTAAGGACAGATTTGTTTGTATCATAGTCGAAGAGGCACAGAAAACACCTTAACGCCATAGCAAAAGACAGAGGACTTTTCTGAGTTTTGGCTTCACAATTAGACTCTCCATCATTTACACATTTAGGAAAAAAACGGGCAGAAAATTGAAACTGAAGTGACTGCTGCTTTCCTCCCACTCTGATATACTAGGGCCACCACCACCTCCTCCCCACTCCCCGAAAAATCAAGTTTTGTTGGAATGCACAGCCTCAACCATTCCTTTCCATGAGGTCCATGGCTGAGATGAGAAGTTGCGACACAGAGTTAAGGTTATGTTCCTCACTGGACACCTCTGCCAGGCACTCTACAGACCTCGGGGCCGTAGTCACCAGCCCACAGCGTTCCCAGTTTCCTGGCCCCTTCCTTACCACCCACACCATCCCTTCTCGCATCCCTAACGAAGAGTCCAGAAACTGTCCTCCCTCAGAGAGTTCCAGGCGTTTTCGGGACTCAGACACCTCTAACAGCACCCACCCCCAGGACTCGCACCATCTTCAGGCGATCTACCCCCTCCACGGCCTACCTTCCTCCCTCGTTCCAGCCCAGCCACGATTACCGGCCCATGGCGCCTGCATCAGGACCTGGGGGAAGGCGGAGGACCACCGCGAGGCCCTTTTCCCTCAAAGCCACGGACTGTGCCACGGGACCTGTCCTAAGCCCGCTGGCTCCTCCACACATTCACTCACAACTAAATTACCAGGAAGACCACTCTGCAGACCTACCGGCTGAGTCTCGGTCAGTGAGAAAGAACGAAGATGTTGGAAAGAACGAAGATGGCGGAAAGAACGAAGACACAACCTCTCCTTGCAGAGCTCTGCCTAGACAGAAGGTGGGCAGAAAGGCGCATGCGCAGCAACAGATCTGTGCAGCATGCGCACTCAGTGGGGTATTTGCCACGTGACTGAAGGTTTCCTGCCTCTGTGGAGAACCTAAACCACAAGCTCTTCTGACAACGAAAATGAACTTACAAAGCACTTTTCTTTTTCCCCCGCCCAACCTTCCTTTCACTTCCAATGGCGTTGGAGAATATGAGGCCCAGGTTACTCTAAGAAAACAATGTGTTTCGGACAAATTCGCCATCATAGAAATAAATATTATATATGTTAATACCCATTTTATATCTGCTTTCATAAATCATTTTCTTGTGCCTTCGCGAGTCTGCTGTCATGCTTGCAATGATCTTACCCACTCCAATATGATAAGACATTCATAGTTTTTGTTGCATGATTGTACATTCAAAATCATTGATCCGGGCCAGGCGCAGTGGCTCACGCCTGTAATCCCAGCCCTTTGGGAGGCCCAAGCGGGCAGATCACGAGGTCAGTAGATCGAGATCATCCTGGCTAACATGGTGAAACCCCATCTCTACTAAAAATTCAAAAAATTAGCCGGGCATAGTGGCACGCGCCTGTAGTCTCAGCTACTCGGGAGGCTGAGGCTGGATAATTGCTTGAACCCGGGAGGTGGAAGTTGCAGTGAGCCGAGATCGTGCCACTGCACTCCAGCCTGGGCAACAAAGTGAGACCTCATCTCAAAAAAAAAAAAAAAACAAAACAAACAAACAAAAAAAAAATTGATCCATCTGAACAAAATTAAGTGGTAGGGACTCTACATCATTTGTTGAATCCCTGTTTCACCCACTGTTTTGAAGTGGCTCTTTTATCATCACCTACATCCCCACTCAATTTTGTATGTAACTCTCTTATTTTAATTTTCTTCCATTGAGTCGTTTGTACCTGTACCACTAGTATACTATTTTAATTGCTGTAGCTTAATTATATTTGTAATGCGAAATAATGCTTGCCCTCCCTCATTGCTTTTTCCTTTTCTGTCTACTCTGACACATTTGTCTTTCAGATGAACTTCAGAATCATTTGATCAGGTGCTAAAATATTCCAGGTGAGACACTAGGTATTATTTTTAAATTACATCTTAACTTAGGGACAATATCTATCTTTCTATTTTAGAATTTCTCTATCCAAGAAAAAGCCACTCCTCATTTCCTCAAGTCTTTTTATGTATCCCTCACAATGACTGTGTTATTTGCTTCATATTAGTTCTTCACATTCAAATTAAATTTATTATTGGGCATTTTTATTGTTCTATTCCCTTCTGGACAGATGTTTGCTTTCACTTCACTATGTTTTTCATAGAAGTCAAACAATCTCTGTTCGCAAACAATATGATTCTATACCTAGAAAATCCCAGATTCTCTGCCAAAAAGATCCTTGATCTCATAAACTACTTCAGGAAAGTTTCCGGATACAAAATTAATGTACAAAAACCCGGAGCATTTCTATACACCAGCAACCTTCAAGGTCAGAGCCAAATCAGAAACACAATCCCATTCACAATTGCCACAGAAACAATAAAATACCTAGGAATGCAGGTAACTAGGGAGGAGAAAAGTCTCTACTATGACAACTACAAAACACTGCTTAAAGAAATCAGAGATGACAAAAACAAATGGAAAAACATTCCATGCTCGTGAACAGGAAGAAGCAATGTTGTCAAAAGGCCAAACTGCAGTTTATAGATTCAATGATATTCCTATTAAACTACCAATGACACTCTTCGTGGAATTAGAAAAAAAAACTACTTTAAAATTCATATGGAACCAAAAAAGAGCCCGAATAGCCAAGGCAATCCTAAGCAAAAAGAATGAAGCCAGAGGCATCATATTACCTGACTTCAAACTATAATATGAGGCCATGGTAACCAAAAAAGCATTGTACTGGTACCAAAACAGTCACATGGACCAATGAAATAGAATACACCGTCCAGAAATAATGCTGCAAACCTCACACCTATTACCATCTGATCGTCAACAAACTCAACAAAAGCAAGCAATATAGAAAGTATTCCCTATTCAATAAATGGTCCCAGGATAACTGGCTAGCTTATGCAAAAGATTGAAACTGGATCACTTCTTATACAAAAATTAAGTAAAAATGGATTAAGAACTTAAGTATAAAACCTAAAACTATAAAAATCCTGGAAGACGACCTAGGCAATATCATTCTAGACATAGGAATGGGCAAAGATTTCATAACGAAGATGCCAAAAGCCATTCCAACAAAAGCGAAAATTGACAAATGGGATCTAATTAAACTATAGAACTTCTGCACAGCAAGGAAGCTATCCACAGAGTGAACACACAACACACAGAATAGGAGAATATTTTTGCAAACTATGCATCTAAGTTCTAGTTTCCAGCATCTGTAAGGAACTTAAACAAATTTACAAAAAAAAAAAAAAAAAAAAAGACACGCCAGGCACGGTGCCTCACAGCTGTAATCCCAGCACTTTGGGAGGCTGAGGCAGACAGATCGCTTCAGGCCAGGAGTTTGAGAACAGGCTGGCCGACATGGCAAAACCCCATATCTACCAAAAATACAAAAATTACCTGGGCGTGGTGGTGCATGCCTATAATCCCAGCTACTAGGGTGGCTGAGGCAGGAGAATTACTTGAACCCATGAGGCGGAGGTTACAGTGAGTGGAGATCATGCCACTGCACTCCAGCCTGGGCAACAGGCTGAGACTCCGTCTAAAACAAAACAAAACAAAAAAACAATACCATTAAAAAGTGGACCAAGGATATGAACAGACACTTTCAAAAGAAGACATCCATGTGGCCAACAAGCATATGAAATAAAACTCAACATCACTGATCATTAGAGAAATGCAATTCAAACCACAGGAGATATCATCTCACACGAGTCAGAATGGCTATTATTAAAAAGTGAAAAAAAAAAAGATGCTGGTGATGTTGTGGAGACAAAGAAACACTTAATCACTGTTGGTGGAAATGTAAATTAGTTCAACAATCATGAGAAACAGTGTGTTGATTCCCCAAAGACCCAAAACCAGAATTACCATTTGATCCAGCAATCCTATTACTGGGTATATAGCCAAAGAAATATAAATTGTCCTATCATAAAGACGCATGTATACGTTCACTGCAGCACTATTCACAATACCAAAGATATGGAATCAACCTAAAAACCCATCAATGGTAGACTGGATAAAGAAAATGTAGTGCATATATACCATGGAATAGTATGCAGCCATAAAAACAAATGACATTATAACCATTGCTGGAACATAGATGGAGCTGGAGGTCATTATACTTAGCAAAGTAATGCACGAACAGAAAACTAAATACTGCATGTTCTCACTTATAAGTTGGAGCGAAAAATGAGAAAAAATGGACACACACAGGAGAACAACAGACACCAGGGCCTACCAAAGAGTGGAGGTTGGGAGGAGGGAGAGGATCAGGAAAAATAGCTCATGAGTACCAGGCTTAATACCTGGGTGACAAAATAATCGTACAACAAACCCCCATGACACAAGTTCATCTGTATAACAAACCTGCACCACATGTATGCCTGAACTGAATATAAAAGATTTTTAAAGAATAAACAAAAATTAGATTTCAAAACAAAAACTTTGAGAGGAGACACAAATGTCACTCTATAATAATAAAGGGGTCAATTCATCAAAAACATATAACAATTTTAAATATATATGCACCCAACACTAGAGCACTCAGATATATAAAACAAATACCATTAGAGCTAAAGAGAGAGATAGGTCCCAATACAATAATGGATGGAGATTTCAGCACCCCACATTCCGTATTGGACAGATCTTCCAGACAGAAACTCAACAACATCAACAACAAAAACAGACTATCTGCACTATAGAGCAAATGGATCTAATAGATATTCACAGAACATTTCATCCAATGGCTAGAGAATACACATTCTTTTCCTCAGTCCATGGATCATTCTCAAGGACAGACCATATATTAGGTCATAAAAAATTTTTTAAAAATTGAAATATCAAGCATCTTTCCAGATCAGAATGGAATAAAACTAGAAATTAAAAACAAGAGGAATTTTGGGAACTATATAAATACATGAAAACTCAACAATCTGCTCCTGAATGATTAATGGGTCCTAGAAGAAGCTAAGAAGGAAATTTAAAAACTTCTTGAAACAAATGATAATGTAAACACTACATATCAAAACCTATGGGATACAGCAAAAACAATACTAAGAAAGATGCTTATAGCTATAAGTACCTACATCAAAAAAGGTAAAAACTTCAAATAAACGATCTAATGATGCATCTTAAAGAGCTGCAAAGAAAGAGCAAACCAAACCAAAAATTAGTAGAAAAAAAGAAATAATAAAGATCAGAGTAGAAATAAATAAAATTGAAATGAAAATAAACCTACAAAAGAGCAGTAAAACAAAAAGTTGTTTTTTAATATGTTAACCAAAATTGACAAACCATTAGCCAGACTAAGAAAAAAAGAGAGAAAACCCAAATAAATAAAATAATAAAAATAATAAAATCAGAAATGAAAATTGATTTGGGAGGCTGAGGCAGACAGCATGTAGCATTATACTACAGAGCTATAGTAAACAAAACAGCATGGTGCTGGCATAAACACACACATAGATCAATAGAACAAAATAGAGAACCTAGAAAAAAATCCACACACCTACAGTGAACTCACATTTTACAAAAGTGCCAGGAACATACACTGGGAAAAGACATTCTCTTCAAAAAGTTGTGCTGGGAAAACGGGATAGCCATACATAGAAGAATGAAACTAGACCACAAGCTCTGGCTATATAAAAATCAAATCAAAATGAATTAAAGACTTAAATGTAAGACTGAAAACTATGAAACTGCTACAGGAAACACTGGAGAAAATCTCCAGGACATTAGTCTGGGCAAAGACTTCTTGAGCAATACTCCACAGGCACAGGCAACCAAAGCAAATATGGACAAATGGTATCACATCAAGTTAAAAGGCTTCTGCACAGCAAAGGATACAATCAACAAAGTGAAGAGACAACCCACAGAATGGGAGATAATGTTTGCAAATTACCCCTCTGACAAAGGATTTATAACCAGAATATACAGGAGCTCAAACAACTCTATAGGAATAAATCTAATAATACAATAAAAAATGGGCAAAACATTTGAGTAGACATTTCTCAAAAGAAGACATACTAATGGCAAACAGGCATATGAAAAGGTGCTCAACATCATAGATCATCAGAGAAATGTAAATCAAAACTACAGTGAGATATCATGTCACCCGAGTTAAAATGGCTAATATCCAAAAGAAAGGCAATAACAAATATTGGTGAGGATGTAGAGAAAAGGGAACCCTTGTACACTGTTGGTGGGAATGTAAATTAGTACAACTACTATGGAAAACAGTTTGAAGGTTTTTCAAAAAACTAAAAATAGAGTTAACATATGATCCAGCAATCCCACTGCTGGTTATATACTCAAGAGAAAGGAAATCAGTATATTGAAGGGATATCTGCATTCCTATGTTTGTTGCAGCACTATTTATAATAGCTAAGATTTAGAAGCAACCTAAGTGTCCTTCGACAGATGAATGGATAAAGAAATTGTGGTACATATACATAATGGGGTACTATCAGCCATAAAAAAAAATGAGATCCAGTCATTTGCTACAACATGGATGGAACTGGAGGTCATTATGTTAAGTAAAATAAGCCAGGCACAGAAAGACAAACATTGTATGTTCTCACTTATTTGTAGGATCTAAAAATTAAAACAATTGAACTCATTGACATAGAGACTAGAAGGATGGATACCAGAGCCTGAGAAGTGTAGTGGGGGGTTAGGGGTAGATGGGAATAGTTAGTAGGTAGAAAAACCTAGAAAAAATGAATACTATTTGATATCACAATAGGGTGCCTATAGTCAAGAATAATTGTGTATTCTAAAATAAATAATGTTTTTGGATTTTTTGTAACATAAAGGATAAGTGCTTGAGGGGTTGGATACCCCATTCTCCATGATGTGCTTATTTCACATTGCATGCCTGTATCAAAACATCTCATGTACCTTATAAATATATACACCTACTATATATTTACAAAAATTAAAAATAAAAATAAATTTTAAAACATTCAATGTATGTTTCATCACGTTGGTCTTCATGGTTATTCAGGTTCTAGAGTCTAAATTATAAAATACTAAAACAGTGAGTGGATTGTTTTAAATTAATGTGTCCTAAAACATAAGAAAGCTTCCAATGAAGGTAAGAACTTATGAGCAATGAATGTAACATGGAAAAAAATGATATAATCAGAGTGAATGACTAAACCAAAGCTAAAACTAGGCATAGAGCAGAGCCTGAGAGGTTGAACAGTGCTGTAGAAACCAGAGGCTCCTCATTCACAGTGGTAAATATAGGCTTTTTGTAACTTCTGCCCTTAGTTGAGATACTTCGGATGCCGGTCCTTGTGTGCACACACTCCTTTGTGTGATTGTATGAATACCATTTTCACACTTGCTGCATAGGAATTAGAGCACATGCAAAGTATGTTGGCATTCAGATGTGTATCTTTATTTTTCATGATGCATAGTGGTTTATATTGAATACCTAGCTCTTAGTAGAGTCCTCTGACAGGCACTCAACACAGATCATAACATTCTTCTGATGGGACAATTCTGCAGAGTCAATATCCTTATGATGTAATTTCCAACACTGTGTTTTTAGTGACTCATACTACTTTTGTCCCAAAATAAATTATAAAGCTAATTTAACATGGGCTGGAAAGCACCCTTGTGACTTCACCAGAGAAAATGAGACTTAAAATTTACATCCGTCCGTGCATGCAAGAAGTCATGACTCCACCCATCCGTCAGTTCAAGAGATATGGTTTGAGATCCTCCATAAGTCATGAACTGAACTACAGTTCACATCCCATTAAAGGACTACAAAATTACAGTTAGATAGGGAGAATAACTTTAAGAGACCTTGAAAAACGCTGAGAGTGGATGTTAAGTGTTCTCACCACAAAACGATAACTATGTGAGGTAATACGATGTTAATTAACTATATTTAACCATTCCATAACATATATGTACTTCAAAATATTATGTTGTGCACAATAAATACATACAATTTTATCTGTCAATTTAAAAATAAATAAATTCACTTGGAAAAAAAAAAGTCTTCAGCATCAGGGCAAGGGACTCTCTGAAGGGACCTTCTTTCCTAATTTTGAAACTCTGATCCTCTCTTGCCTTCTCTGAGCCCAGTTACTTCCTTTGGATGTTGTTTGACACATTTATCTCCAGCTCATACATAAAATTTCTCAGAGACAACCATGGTTTTTATGCATCTTTTTAGATGGTGTAACAATGAAGTTCTCCCCACTAGCCAAGAGCAAATTACTACAAAATAACCAAAAGACGAAAGTGCTACATATCCACTTGAATGGTGCTTTTCAAACCATAGGCATCCCAGAGCAGGAACTGCAACATCTAAACCCTTGTTTACAATGTAAAATTTTGAGATCAACTTTTTTAATATGTAGGTTGAGCATTTGACTTATTACTAAGCAAATTTCTAGCCCAATTTATCAGAAGACAGGAAATGTCTGTGATTCTTTTTGTTCCTAAATTGCTAGAAATATGGCTGAACTTCTTTCAGGTGAAGTAGGTTTATGGTAGAATTTGCTCTAAATAACTAGTTGTAGATATAGCTCTAAACATAATGTAAATGTCACAATGAGCCTTTTTGCTCTAAATAACTAGTTGTAGATATAGCTCTAAACATAATGTAAATGTCACAATGAGCCTTGGTGGATATCCACATATAAAAAAAATCAATCCAGACACAGTCCTTATACCTTTCATTAAAATGAACTCAAAATGGATCTTAGATTCAAATGGAAAACTGTAAAACTTCTAAAAGACAATGTAGGAGAAAATCTAGGTGACTTTGGGTTTGGTGAGATATATATATACATATATATATATCACCAATAAATATATATATATCACCAATAAATATATATATCACCAATAAATATATATATCACCAATAAATATATATATCACATATATATAAACATATATATATATATATATATATATATATATATATATATATATTTTTTTTTTTTTTTAGAGGGAGTCTTGCCCTGTTCCCCAGGCTGGAGTGCAATGGTGCGATCTCAGCTCACTGCAACCTCCGCTTCCCGGGTCCAAACATTCTCCTGCCTCAGTCTCCCGAGTAGCTAGGATTACAGGCGCCTGCCACCACGCCCAGCTAAGTTTTGTATTTTTAGTAGAGACGGGGTTTCACCATGTTGGCCAGGCTGGTCTCGAACTCCTGACTTCGTGATCCACCTGCCTCGGCCTCCCAAAGTGCTGGGATTACAGGTATAAGCCACCACGCCCGGCCTGGTCATGACTTCTTAAAAATAACACAAAAAATACAATCCATGAAAGAAAAAATACGATAAATTGGACTTTAATAAAATTAAATGCTTCTGCTTTCTGAAAGATACCGTTCAGAGAATGAAACAAAATACAGAAGACTGGGAGAAAGTATTTGTAAAACACATGTAATGAAGGACAGGTATCCAAATACACAAAGAATTCTGAAAACTCAACAATAAAAAAAGGAAGAACCCAATTAAAAAATAGGCAAGAGATTTGAACAGACACCTGACCAAAGAGGATATACAGATGGCAAATATGTGCATGAAAAGATGTTCAACATCACGTGTCATTAAGGTACTGCAAATTAAAACAACAATGAGATACCAATACACACCTAGTAGAATAACTAAAATTTAAAATACTGACTATATCAAATTGTCACCGGTAGAGGGTAGTGACACCAAGTTGTCCAGGTTCTTGGCATTTTGAAAAAAGAATTGGACAAAACGCCCAGCAAAGCACAGAAACAATGAAGAACAAAAAAACGAAAGCAGGGCTTTATTGAAAAAGAAAGTACACTCCACAGTGTGGGAGCAGAGCCGAGCAGTGGCTCAAGGGCCTGAATACGGAATCTTCTTGGGTCCGAATGCCCCCTAAAGTTTCCCATTGGCCACTTCATGCTCACCTTGTAACGAAAGTGGTAGCCCACAATCAGTCTGATTGGTTGCAGAAAGCAGCCAACCAGAGGCTGAAGTGAAGTTACAAAGGTCACACTCCTGTGCAAACTTCAGAGGCTAGGGTGAAGTTATAAAGTTACACTTCTATGCAAAAGAAGACTCTGCCCGCAATCAGTATGATTGGTTGTGGACAGCAACCATTCAGAAGCTGGAGTTACAAAGTTGCAAACGAAGACTCGGCCCACACTCAGTATGATTTGTTGCCGGCAACCAGTTTCCCATCTGCCACGCAGAAAAGGTGAAAGGGAGTAGCCTCTGGTCCTTTTGTTACTTAGGTGTGGAAAGTTAGGGTTTTCCTTTCAATTTAGTTCTAGGAAGTCGGAGTGAAATAGCCTTAGGTTCCCTGCCTCCAGACCCTATTCTCCTGCCTCAAAATGCTGGCAAGGATGTGGAAATTGAAATAGCAATGAGATACCAATACACACCTAGTAGAATAACTAAAATCTAAAATACTGATTATACCAAATGATGGTATAATTTGGTGGACCAACAGGAACTCTCATTCATTGCTGGTGGAAATGCAAAATGGTACAGCCACTTTGGAAGACAGTTTGGCGTCTTTTTAACAAAACTAAGCAATACAACCCAGAAATCCTGCTCCTTGGTATTTACCCAAATGAGTTGAAAACAATATATGGGCCAGGCACGGTGCTCATGCATGTAATCCCAGCACTTTGAGAGGCAAAGGCAGGTGGATCACCTGAGGTCAAGAGTTCAAGACCAGCCTGGCCAACATGGCAAAACCCCATCTCTACTAAAAATACAAAAATATAGTGGGTGTGGTGGCTCACACCTGTAATCCCAGCACTTTGGGAGGCTGAGGTGGGTGGATCACCAGGTCAAGAGATGGAGACCATCCTGGCCAACATGGTGAAACCCCTTCTGTACTAAAAATACAAAAAATTAGCCGGATGTGGTAGCAGGTACCTGTAGTCCTAGCTACTCGGGAGGCTGAGGCAGGAGAATCACTTGAACCCGCGAGGCGGAGCTTACAGTGAGTGGAGATTGCGCCACTGCACTCCAGCCTGGTGACTGAGCAAGACTCCGTCTCAAAAAAAAAAAAATTAGCCAGGTGTGGTGGTGTGGGCCTGTAGTCCCAGCTACTCGGGAGGCTGAGGCAGAAGAATCGGTTGAACCTGGGAGATGGCAGTTGCAGTGAGCCAAGATTGTGTCATTGCACTCCAGCCTGGGTGACAGAGCGGGACTCCGTCTCAAGAAAAAAAAAAACTTAATATGTGCACAAAACCTACACATAAATGTTTATAGCAACTTTATTAATAATTGCTAAAACTCAGAAGCATTGAAGATATCCCCCAGTGGGTGAATGGATAAACAAACTCTGGTATGTCTGTACAATGGAATATTATTCAATGATAAGAAGAAATGAGCTCTTAAGCCAAAAAAAGATATGGACAAACATTAAGTGTATACTGTTAAGAGAAAAAAAGCCAATCTGAAAAGGCTATATACTGCACCAATCCAACTGTATGACATTCTGGAAAAGGAACAATTTTGGAGACAGTCAAATGATTAGTAGTTGCCAGGGATTTGGAGGAGAAAGACAGGGATAAATGATGATGCACATGAGATGTTTAGGGCAGTGACACTATCCTGTAAGATACTGTAATGGTAGCTACATCTTACATATTTGCCAAAACGCATAGGCTATACAACTTAAAGAGTGAAAACTTAACTATAGACTTTTGTTAATAATTACATATTATTGGCTTATCAATTGTAACAGATTTACCACACTAATGCAAGATGTTGATAACAGAAGAAACTTTGAGGCTGGGGCAAGATGGAATATGGGAAGCATCTGTACCTTCCCTTCATTTTCCTATAAATCTAAAACCACTAAAAATAAGTCTTTAAAAAGAAAGCCTTGGAATAAACAGTATGCAATAATTTTAAAAGATAAGCAGTGCCTCTCTTCCTTTCATGATCTGGCATCTGCCTACATTCGCACATCATCCCTGCCTCCCGCACTTATACCTCATGCCCCAATCAAAGTGCTCCTCTGGGCTGGAAGGAATGTTATGTACATGCTTCTGTGCATTCACAAGGACCCCTGTGACAAGCAAATTTATTGATCCAGCACTGAGGCCTTCCTCCCACCATCTGCCCACTTAGACCTCAGGTGAGACTGGGAATGTGCTTTGCTAATAGCAAGAGGATAAATGTGTGGTAGATGGTTCCAGCAGAGAGGTGAAATCTTGGAACTCCCTAAGAAGGGACTGGGGGAGGGACCCGATTCACCAAGAAAGCCTTCTGTCTAGCATTGAGATCCTAAGAAACAATGATGACAATGAAAGTGCAATAGTTATAACATGTTCTGTGTTTTTCTCCAGCAGTACTCAGTGCTACAACCCAGGCCCTGGGAAATGCAGTCTGTGTTGTTAAAGAACACTGGAGCCTAGCATCACTTGTAAAGGGCAATGATGAGCCTCTAGGAGGCCCTGCTCACTCAGTGACAACGCTCATCAGTTTCTTCATTCTGTGTGTCAGTCTTCTGGTCCTCCCCTCTTTCTGTGCTCTTTTCTGGGGGGTCTTTTATGGGTGGTTAAAATTGTCCTGGGTTAACAGAAAACCATATACTGCATGTTCTCACTTATAAGTGTGAGATAAGCATTGGGTACACATGGACATAAAGTTGGGAAAAATACACACTGTGTACTACTAGAGCAGGGGAGACGGGGAGGTGAGCAAGGGCTGAAAAACTACCTATTGGGTACTATGCACACTACCTTAATGACAGAAGCATTCATACCCCAAAGTTTAGTATCACCCAATATATACCCAGGTAACAAACCTGTACATGTACCCCCTGAGTCTAAAATGAAAGTTGAAATTATTTTTAAAAATTGTCCTGGGAAAATGAATTGATTACTAACTCCATCTCCCATGTGGCATGGCCAGCCTCATGTCTATTAAACTGTTTCTCTATTACAATATCATGGTCTTTCTTTGTGCAGCAGGCAGGGGAAAAACCCTCAGGTGGTTACAAATTTGGAGGCTCCTTCAGGATCCCCTGCCTATGGCTCATCAGCCCTCTGTCTACCAGTATGATTGACCCGGAGGTGAGCTCCGCTTATTTAACTGAAGGCCATCTCTGGTACTGTCCCTACTGATGACGTGATATTGACCCATAGTGCTTGGGATTGATTGCAGTGGAGAAATAGTTCCTGGAAAAATACCTTTAAACTGGTCTGGTGGGTATTCTAGGCACTGGCAACACCTCCTTCCTTCCCCCCCGCCCCCCGCCCCCTGCCCTGATCAGTTCATCTCCTTTCTTAGGGCTTGGTTTGGCTCCTTTGGGAGTCTTGGCTGGCTCTCCCTAATTAGTAGGAAGAGTCTTGGTTTGGGAGATTTCTCCTCAACTGGCAGGATTTCAAGGAGATTTCTCAGATGGAGACTAGGAGGTTAGTTTGGAAGAAATACTCTTGAAAATTCTTGGTTAGGAATATTGGTTTGGAAGGCCTTCCATTTGTCTTCTCTTGGTTGTGTGTATTTGTGGAGGGGATCTCTGAAGGAATTGCTGACAGACGTCCAGCAGGCCTAACTCCGAGAACCTTCCTTATTCGTCTGGTCACATTCAGTGAGCTCTGAAGGAATTGTCAGCAGAAAGCTCAACAAGCCTGACTCAGGGTGACTGTCTGCTCATTACCTTGCCCAGAGACCACCTATTGAATTCCTGGTCAAAGGTCATCCCTCCCTACCTTGAGTGGGTCAAAGATGACAAGGACCAACACAGGCAGGTCGATATTGGGTCAGTGTCTGTTTTGTTATGTGTATTTTGTGTCAGCTGGGATGGAAAATGTTAACTCAGTTCCCCCATGCAGCCCATTGGGCGGCATCTTGCAAGATTGAGAAGCTTTTGCCTATGCTTCCATGAAACAGAAAAAGGTGATTTTTCTTTGTGATTATGGTGCGGCAAGCAGGGTCACCAGAGCCACTCAGGGAAAGGGACTCCAGGAACCTGGCATGCTGGCAAAAGGGTAAGAATTTCTTACCAGAAAGTCTTTTGGTCTCTCTCTCTCTCTCTCTCTCTCTCTCTCTCTCTCTCTGTGCAAACTGGTAAACCGTAAAAATTCCTGTCTCTAAAAAGGATTTGTGAGGCTAGTCTTAGGCTGTAGCAAATCTGGTGCAATTTGTGCTATGAATTTGTCTTTCTGTGTCGTTCTGTCATAAAGAGAGATACTGAATGATACAGCGTGGGCCTAGGACCCTTATCAGCCCACTGTTCAAACCCACCCAGCAGACTGGTCACAAACGTGGCTGTGGGTCCCTGAAACAAAAACCAAATGAGGTTTCCCTCTCATCTTGTTTTATGTCCTTGAGAGCATGACTTTGTGACCATGTGGAGGCACTCTCTCTTGGTCTCCTCCATCCAGTAGGCAGGAATTTTCGAGTTCATGTCAGGTGGCCAGTCCAAGAAGACCTGGAGTCTGAGATGAGTCAGCATATTCTGCCTTCCGAATGTCAAGCCCTTGGGTGACTTTTGTCTTAAAAGGTCTCATCCCTTCGGGGCTTTTGTAGTATTTTGCTATCTTAAGCTCATTTCTGAGAGTGAATTCTTGGGGATCATAAAGATGCCTCCTCTACCCCCTTTCTGGAAATACCTCGTGCTTATATGGTAAAAACCTAGAAAATTACCATCTGGACTTTAACAAGCTTCTTGGATTGAGTTATTATTAGAACTGAGTATACCACTAAAAGAAAAAGGTTAAAAGGAGGACGCATAATAATGGCATGGCTAGTGTTAGAAAATTCTCTTGAGCACTTAAAATCTTTTGCATGCTTGAAAATGCTCTATGCTCCTTCTGGGAATGACAATAGCAGTCACCTTGTATCTTAGGTCAGCTGCTAAGGTTTTGCCCTCTCACAGTGGTGGCCCAGGGTTCAATTCCTGGCTTTGAGAGTGAATCATTTGTGGTTTAATACCTTTGGAATTTTGCCATTTATTGATTCTTTTCCACTCCATGGACAGCTTCTGATTTCATGCCTTGAATTCTCTTTCCTCTAAACTACCTTTGGGGAGACTCTAGATCTTGTAAAAATCACTTAATATCGCTTTGGAGACACCTCGTGCGTCTGTGGTTGTCATCCCCTTAGTTAAGGCTTATTAATTTCACATAGGAAGTTACTTTAGTATAAAAATATTCAAAAGCCATAAATATTGACCATTTGTCCTGGCTGAAATCTGGTAATAAAAGATTTTTAAATAATTTTTCTTTTGAGAGCTCTGTAGTTAGAAATCAACTTATTTAAAGCTGATATTTGGCTGTGTACATATGTTGTTTTAAAACTCCTGCTCTCCCTCTAAAAACTTCTCAGTTGACGGAATTTTTTTCATGATTCTGTTTCTGTCTCTCTGTGTATCTGTATGTGTTATGTGTGTGATGTTTATATAAAAGAGCTCTAGTTAATTGGCTTAAACAAATATAAGCACTTGAATCAAACATAATGTCAGAAAAATAGAAACATTAATGCCTTTAGTTCACGTGATTCTGATAATCTTTGAAAAATAAAGAAAGTTTAAAGATAATTGGTAAAGTAAAATAAAAACGTCTTCAAAGTTCACACATTTGGTCTACATTAGGCAAGTCAGATACTGTTTGGTAGATGTTTTAAGGGCATAAAATGCTATGACTTTTAGTAATTGTTTGACTTGTCTGTTTTAAAGCCATTAGATTCTAGGTAAGGCCTGGGGTATATGGAGTTAGCCAACTACCTTGGCTAAGCCGGGAAAAGTCATGGGCTCTGCAATCTTATACATTGTTAAAACTGCTTACCTACCAGGTTTTTCACTAAAAGTAAAAGCTGCTAAGAGTTAACATTGTAACACGTGTATCTGAGACTACTGGAAAAACAGGTTTACATGCAAGGTATAGAAGGAAAGTAGAATGTTTTTGGTGGGAGATTATAAGATGGCATGGGAATATGGTTTTTGTTAAAGGGAATGTAATTTTGTCTAGTTCAGATGTTTTAAAGCATTGTCCTAGCCTAAAAGAGCAATGAGGCAAAACTAAAGGTTGAAGCAAGCTGCAAAGTGTTTGTGAAGGGTTGATCTTGTAAAAGAAGCTCTGTGGGTATGGGCAAGTTAGCTAAGATTTGAAGGGGATTATTTAGTTTTTCTGTAGGTTGAATATTGAAATAAAAGCACACACATGCTGGGTCAGAACCTGGGCCCATGTGACTGAATAACAGGGTTTTCTTAGAGAATTGATTGGCTGTTTAATAGAAAATTGTAAAAGGTTGTAAGAGGTTTATGAAAATTTTACCTCATGGTCAAACCAAGTAAGATTGTGTAGATTTTATTATAAGGGGTTTTTTTGGTCTTTTTTTTTTTTTAGACAGGGTCTCGCTCTGTCACCCAGGCTGGAGTGCAGTGGTGTGATAGCTCACTGCAGCCTCTGCCTTCTGGGTTCAAGCAATTCTCGTGCCTCAGCCTCCCGAATACCTAGGATTACAGGCATGTGCCACCACGCCCAGCTAATTTTTGTATGTTTGTAGAGATGTGGTTTTGCCATGTTGCCCAGGCTGGTCTCAAACTCCTGGACTCAAGCGATCCACCCACCTCAGCCTCCCAAAGTGCTGGGATTACAGGTGTGAGCCACTGCACCCATCCTATAGGGTTTTATTAAGGATCGGGTTTAAGATTAATAATATACTAATGCAAAGGAGAAATTTGATTTTCTCTTTTAAACAAGATTTTCATGTAATGTTAAAATGTAATAAAAGATTTTTGTTTGCCTTTTGAATAAGTGACAGAAAAAAAAAGGAGGGGAGGAACAAAGAGACAGATTTATTTGGCCTCTTGCTGTCTTTATTGGGTCCTGTTTGGAAAACTGAGTCTCTCCTCTATCCATGAGTAAAGATTTTTGCCTTTAAAAATGTTTTGAGTTATCATTTTGGCTAAATAAATGACTTACAGTAATCTGGGATCTTATCTTGTAATAGCAAGTGTTTAAACCTTTGATATTTGACAAGCTTTCCAAAGTTAAATTCTAAATTAAGCCTTTTTAAAAATCTGGTTAACCTTTTAGATATTAGTTACCCCAAAGTCCAAAAGACACATATTTGGCTTATTTGGTATATTAAAATAGTACAAGAAACATTGTTAAGTATGAAATGGTATCAGGTTTTCTTTAGAGTGTATTTATATGAATGTGTTATTGGTATGTGTTCCATAACAATGTAAGATTTTTGTAATTCTGTTATGTCTCAGTATATGTTATCAGTAATAATCATGATCGTTATGTTAAACTACAGTGTGCCACAGAGATGACTAGACTTTATCATGGCTGTTCTGAGGCTTTTGTCATCTGCAATTGTTTCACTTTGGTTATTTTCAAGGTGGTTTCATAACCAGCTATACAACTATGACAGGTGCTCCTGAATGCATGTTTCTGATAACTTTGGAGATTGTGACACTAGAATAGAGGAAAAAAACTTCCAAGACTCCCATAGAGAGCTAATGTGTTCATGAATATCAAGCAGAACAGGAGTTAATTACATAGACTGAACTAATGGAAGACTAAAATAATCCTTTTATGGCTTTTTGTTGGAAACATTGCTAATTTTTTGTTTTTCAGAGTTCAGAAAACCTTTATCTCCTTTTAACTATTTATAGATTTTAACAATTGGCTAAAGTAAACTCCTGTGAGCAAACTTTGAAGCATATTTCTTTCGATCTAGCTGATTTCTCCAGAATTTGGAAACTATTCATAAGTATACTTAATTTATGGTGGTAAAGTTATTTGCATATGTTCAATAAATACCTGTTTTCTTTTGTAACAGGACACAATTGGAGACACTGGCTATTTTACCCAGGCTTTGACTGGAATAGCATACTTTCAGACATAAATAGATTGAAACAAAGTTGATTTATAGAGCCAATAAAAACCCTTTGGGAAAGCTGGCCTCATATCTTGTCTACACAGTCCCTGTACAGGGTTCCTGACCTGTGGTAAGTAAAGAGTGTCACTTTCTGACAGGCCCAGGAGTTCCAAATTACCTTGGGACTACAAGGTGTGGAATTTACCCAATTAATACAAGTATTTGTAGGCACAGATAAATCCATGGCTGGGCTCAAGGTTTTGAAGTCTAATCTGCAAGCAAAGCCAAATTTTAAAACAGCCTATAATGGCAAATAATATGCTGACTTTATGCAAATACTCAGGCCAAGTATAATAAAACTAAAACTTATTTTGCAAATGAATTTGTCCTACTGTGATTTGTCTTTAGTAAAAGCAGGAACTGGAGAGAGAAAAATTATGTTTCAGAAAAAAACGGTAGTATACCTGTTGGTAGATTTTAGTCTCATCCACTGTTTTTGAGTTTTTATTATTTTCTGCAACTGAAGCCACCATTGCAAAGTTATAACTGAGACAGTGACAGAGATCTGACCTAAGCAACTCCGTCTTGCTTCTAACTTCTAAGCTGTCCTTGTTCATTCCTGAGTGTAGGCTGAACTAACTGGGAGGAACTTAGTTTACAGTTTAGCTTTGAAACAAAGGGGATAACAGTCCCTTCCCAAAACAAATCCCCTTCCTGCCTGGGGACTAGACTGCCTTTGCAGGACTAACAAATTAGCCACAAGATTAGAAATTATGGTTTAGGAGTCATGCAGCTGGAGATTGCAAGATTCTAAACGTCCCCAAGTTGCTCCTGGGGATAACATCACTATTGTCAAACCTAAGATCAGAGCTTGAGATATTTTGCAGACCCTGTACTCGATGGACCAGTTAGCACCACCCAGATAAACTGGCTCATCTGGTTTTGTGGGCCCCATCCAGGAATTGACTCAGCACTACAGGACAGCTTCAACTCCCTGTGATTTAATCTCTGACCCCACCAATCAGAACTCCTGATTCACTGACCTCCTACCCACCAAATTATCCTTAAACTTTGATCCCCAAATTATCAGGAAAACTGATGTGAGTAATAATAAAACTCCAGTCTCCCACATAGCCAGCTCTGCGTGAATTACTCTTTTACTATTGCAATTCCTCTGTCTTGATAAATTGGCTCTGTCTAGGCAGTGGGCAAGTTACACAATTTGGAATTGTGTAATTTGGGCAAGTAATTTGGACTTGTAATTTGGGCAAGAACCCATTGGGTGGTTACACAATTTGGACTGAATCCTGAATTCTTTCAGGGCTACAATCCCCATCCTAATGCTTTCAAATGTTTCTTTTATTTTTCTGACTTTTCCTCAATGAAATTGCTACTCCCTCTTTACTGAGGCCCTGCAAGCTGAAGCTTGTGCCTTGTAATATAGGCCAGAGAAAAAAATGTCAGATTGTCACTGCCTTCCTCCTCTATGACTAAAGATGTCTGGATAAATTGTGCTCAACATTAATGTTTGTTTTTCTTCTGTCTCTATAGAAATGCCTCTTATTAAAAATATGTTTGTCTTCATGACATATAGAAGCCTTGTCCATTTGCAATGTCACCTCCTAATGGATATAGCTGTTTAACTGGACTGATCTAGTCTCAGGACTACAACACTGACTAAAAAGATATGGAACAGTATATTCAAATTTGCCTGTTCCTGTTTATCTTATAAACCAAAAAGTGTCTGAGACAAATCTCAATCAATTTAGAAAATTTATTTTGCCAAGGTTAAGGATACACCCATGACACAGCCTCAGGAGGTCCTGACGACATGTGCCCAAGGTGGGCAGGGCACAGCTTGGTTTTATACTGTGAAAGGAAAATCTTGGGGCCCCCAAATGACTAAGCTAAGGGAAAAGTCAAGCTGGGAGTTGCTCAGGACAAACCTGCCTCCCACTCTATTCAAAGTCATCCCTCTGCTCACTGAGATAGATGTATATTCTGATTCCCTCCTTTGGAAAAGCTTATCTGAAACTCAAAAGAATGCAACCATTTGTCTCTCACCTACCTGTGACCTGGAAGCCCCCTCCATGCTTCAAGTTGTCCCCGCCTTTCTAGATGGAACCAATGTACTTCTTACATATATTGATTGATGTCTCATGTCTCCCTAAAATGTATAAAAAGAAGCCATGCCCTAACCACCTTGGGCACATGTTGCCAGGACTTTCTGAGGCTGTGTCACTGGCACACATCCTCAACCTTAGCAAAACAAACTTTCTAAATTAACTGAGACCTGTCTCCAGTATTCGGGGTTTACATTTGGTAACTATGGAAGGATTGTGAGTAGAGATGCCCCTGACCTTTGACAAATCTCCTGTTGTTGCTTGGTACTAGCATGAGCTAACTTTATGGCTCAAACTAAGAGGACAATTTTCTGAGGTCTGAGAGCACCATCTCCAGAGAATCCCTCATCTCCCAAAATTTGGTTGAGATCTAAAGTTTATTTTGCTGTACAACTCCTCTTTTTTGGAGTTTTACTTGCTTCCCATGACGAAGGCAAGATTTCCTCTTTCCATAACTATGGAAGGCAGGTAACTCATTTATGGAGTTTGAGCTCGATTCCAACATGGAAGATGAGGTTTTTTTTTTCCTTCTTCTAGGATGGTAGACAGCAGTCTACAGCCTGAGACCCATCCCTAGGTAACTAACTGAATTGGGGTTTGTCTTGGCTAAAGTTAAGATTAACAACCAGCTGGTCTTAATTTCTCCTTACCATTAGAGCACTCAAGTCATCATATAATTTGTTTCATTCATTTGTTTGCTTAAGTGTTTTTCTGTTGCTGTTTGTTTGTTTCTGTTTTTGATGTTGTTTCCATCTTTTTCCTACTGGGTTTGGCCAACTCTACCTGACTTGATCAAATCTGAAGAAAAGTTCCAAAGGATGGGGAACAAGGCCTCTAAAGTGGCTAAATTCCTACTAAATGAAAGGTAGTATACTGCAGGGAGAAAAACAGCCAGCAAAAGAAAAATAAAAACAAAAGGAAAGATTTTTGATTTTGACTATTTAAGGGGATTTATTACCATAACAAAGCCACATTTTTTTGCTAACCATGCCAAACTGAAAGCAATGGCTGTCCCCTCTCTCCCCCCAACCATGCTGCAGTTCAATAGCTAAGGTTCTGCCTTCTTTTTTTCCCCACCATGACAACCTAGGTTTGGTTCTAAATCAAATCCTTTCTGGTTTGATACTTGGTAATTCTGAAACAGCAGCAATTTGTTCTAGCTGAAATACAGTAATGAGATTTTAAAAGATTTTTTAAAAGGAGCTCAATGGTTAAAAGCTTAATTAAAAACTAACATCCAAGATGTGTATGTGTATGTGTGTATGTGTGCCTGTTTGTATTTAAAGGCCTTCATGTTTTTTTTTGTAATACCATATGAAGTAAATTTTATTTGCTAGAATAAATTTTAAATTGTAGTAAATGACAGCAGGAAAGACATTATGTATGTCTCCTGAACACTATATATATGTTCTTGTAATTACTTTAAAATATGTCATACTATACTTATATAAGATATTACCATTGGAGGAGACTGAGTGTGCCTCAAGTGAACATTGTATACAAGGTGTTGTTGAAAGGCGTGGTTGAGTACCTAAAAAAAATGGAGAACTTGGAACCGCATTACTTGTTATAGAACAAGTTGTATAAACTATATTCAAAAAAATGAATTTTTATTTTTAAAAATGTGTTGCAAATTTGATCTAAGACTCACTTTTATTAAAATCAGTTATCCATGTATGGTGACTGAGTTGGGAGGAAAGCAAGTAGGTAACTGTTTCCCTACTTAACTTTCTTGAGCAGTTACTGTTATCTTCCAAAAAGAACCTAAGTTCTGTGCATGACCAGGTCAGTCTGCAATTGTCCTGACCGACTGACAATCCGTGAATAAAATAACCTCCCTGTCTCTGTCCCCTTCCTTTGTAATCAGAAGATCACTGGAAAACACACGTCCTCAAGGCAGGTCAAGACTGACTGAATCAAAAAGTAAATTAATTAATTAATTTTTAAAAGACTGACTGAATCTTCTCCAATGGCTTCCCTTTGCTCTCAGGATAAAGCCAAACTCCCTAATGTAGTTTTTTTTTTTTAATCAAAGCCACAATGAGATACCATCTCACACCAGTTAGAATGGCAATCATTAAAAAGTCAGGAAACAACAGGTGCTGGAGAGGATGTGGAGAAATAGGAACACTTTTACACTGTTGGTGGGACTGGAAACTAGTGCAACCATTGTGGATGTCAGTGTGGTGATTCCTCAGGGATCTAGAACTAGAAATACCATTTGACCGAGCCATCCCGTTACTGGGTATATACCCAAAGGATTATAAATCATGCTGCTATAAAGACACATGCACACGTATGTATATTGTGGCACTATTCACAATAGCAAAGACTTGGAACCAACCCAAATGTCCAACAATGATAGACTGGATTAAGAAAATGTGGCACATATACACCATGGAATACTATGCAGCCATAAAAAATGATGAGTTCATGTCCTTTGTAGGGACATGGATGAAATTGGAAATCATCATTCTCAGTAAACTACTGCAAGGACAAAAAACCAAACACTGCATGTCCCCACTCATAGGTGGGAACTGAACGATGAGAACACATGGACACAGGAAGGGGAACATCACACTCTGGGGACTGTTGTGGAGTGGGGGGAGGGGGGAGAGATAGCATTAGGAGATATACCTAATGCTAAATGAGGAGTTAATGGGTGCAGCACACCAGCATGTCACCTGTATACATATGTAACTAACCTGCACATTGTGCACATGTACCCTAAAACTTAAAGTATAATAATTATAAAATTAAAAAAAAGGCCTTCATGTTTTTGTGTTTGTTTGTTTTTTCTCTCCTAGGACCTTGTTTTTCTGAGCAAAAGTGTTTTTTTTTTATTTTCTCAGTTGACTGAATTCTGTTTTCTTCATTAATAGCTAGTGCAACAGAGACTACTCCTGAGTTTTTAAGGAAGAGTGCAGTTTAGACTCTTAGAAATGTCTTTGTTAAAAAAAATTAAGTGCACTGTAAAAGCATCATGTGGTCTAACCTCAAAATTATTCTCTCTTTCTTTGGAGACCCAGGATTCAGACTGGTGGGCTCTGCCCAAAGCTGAGATCCAGTTAACAGATAGGTAATCCTTACCTAAATAAAATTGGTCTCCCTATACAATCCTATGATAAATTTCTGTAATTCTATGTTTAATTTGGCTCAAAGAAAAATAAAAGTGTCTCCCTCTAGCACCACCAGACTTTTTTTCTCTGTACCATATGATGTAAATTTTGCTATTTGATTTTCACATGAGTTGTTTCCTTTAATATACAAATTTAAAGCTATTTAGCTAATAACTGCCTAGTGTTGGAAAACAGGTTATTAAGAATCTGAAAGTCTAAGATAGGAAAAAAGAAGGGGGGCCCTTTATTAATCTATAAGATGTATTTCCATCAGCATGCCTAATATGTCTCTGTATTTATGTGCTGTTTACACAATGTTTCACTACTTTTTGGTTGCATTTATTAATCAACCAATTTCACACTTATCCCTGCCAAATACTACAAAGTGTCAAAATTTAGCGTAGCAGTTACAAAAGAATAAATCCAGCCCAAACCAGAATAATCTTTACTTTTTTAATTTTTAATAAATCAGACATTGATATTTGTTTAATAAAAATAGCTGCATCTTGAATTTAGTAAAATTACCATAATTTCTAATCCTGTGGCTTTAGGCAGTTGAGTCCACAGGCAGTAAGGAGGTTTGTTTTGGAAAAGGACTGTTATTGTATTTGTTTCAAAGTGAAACTATAAACTATCCTCCCAAAGTCCAGCAATGAACAAGGACAGCTTGGAGGTTAGAAGCAAGATGGAGTTAGTTAGGTCATATCTTTTCCACTGTCTCAGTTATAATTTTGCAATGGTGGTTTCAGAACTTTAAATCATGACTATCACAGTTTTCATAAATAATCCAGGTAAACAATTAAAATAATTTGGTAAATGTAATGAGGTAAATACTTGTAAACAAATGACATAATTTAGAATATAAAGTTATATTAAATTAAATAATAAATATTTCATTATTTGGGTATTTTCCAATAAAAATATATTGTAGGAAAACATTCTTGACAAAAAAAGTGTGTCCTTTTTTAAAAAGGTGAACAAGTTATGTCTAATTCAAAGCTTATTTAAAGGTTATGTGTAAAAGAAGGTAAAGGAACCAGGAAGTAAAAAAGATGTAAAGAAAGTTATAAAAATAAAGTAGTTTTTTTTGTCGTAAGAAAGATTAAAGAGAAATAATTTTATGTGAGAAAGACTCTTGCATGGTAAATTTAGTCCTAAAATAAAATGACTGGTTGTTTAAGAGGAGGGATGCTCAGAACAAACCAGAAAATCAAAGCATGTCATGAATGGTCTGTGTAAGTAGCAATAAGGGGATTTATTTAAACAACTATATTATCAAATTATTTATAATTAAAGGAAAATTAAAATGCCCTTTCTAGAGATTGGGCTTAATGTAAAACAACACTTATACACTAAATAATTGGTTAAAACAATAAAACTTTCTTAATGGCTTAATTTACTCTTTTTTTTTGAGACAGAGTCTCACTCTGTTGCCCAGGCTGGAGTTCAATGGTGCGATCTTGGCTCATTGCAACCTTTGCCTCACAGGTTTAAGTGATTCTCCTGCCTCAGCCTCCCAAGTAGCTGGGATTACAGACCCATGCCACCACACCCAGCTAATTTTTTTATTTTTTTAAGTAGACATGGGGTTTTCCCATGTTGGCCAGGCTGGTCTCAAACTCCTGACCTCAGATGATCCACCCTCCTCAGCCTCCCAAAGTGCTGGGATTACAGACCCGTGGCACCACACCCAGCTAATTTTTGTATTTTTTTAGTAGACATGGGGTTTTCCCATGTTGGCCAGGCTGGTCTCAAACTCCTGACCTCAGATGATCCACCCTCCTCAGCCTCCCAAAGTGCTGGGATTACAGGCATGAGCCAACTTTACTCTTATGAATTATAAGAGATTTTAACTTTTTTAACCCAAAGTTCAACTTTTATTGCATCTCGCCACTTTTCAGCTTTCTCTTCCCTTTTAAAAGGCATGTTTTCTTAAAGGTCTAAAGGAAATGTTTTCTTCCAACATAACAATCTGTGCACTGCTGAAGGTTTTTTCTTTTGCCCTTTGGTAACTGGCCTAACAGATTTTATGTTTTATTGAAATAGTTTGTATGCCATTATTATTAAGTTTGATTTTGCTTAGGAAAAAACTGAGATTTAAAATTTTTTAAGTTAAGGTTATTACATCCCTGTATCTTTCTGTATGTGCTTTTAAAGTACTTGTGACATTAAGTTATAGGGCTTTAACTCCTGGTTCTAAAAAGAACACCAAGTCCTGATAAATCTTAAACACTGACAGCAATTACAGCCTAATCTTCAGGCCCTGTAGAAGACACCAATCAAAATAAACTGCATTCCTGAGACACAATGCCAGAAATTAAAGCTATTCAACTCCTCAAGGCCCAGGGACTATTGCAGAAGAGGTGGGCATGTGAGATTGTAAGAGTCAATTTTAAAAGATAAAATAAGTTCATTTTCTCTAAATTAATCATTAATGTCAAAGGCACACTGATGCAAGACCAGCATATGGACCCCTGTGTCAGATTAACAAGGTTTTCTTTTTTTTTTTTTTTTGAGACAGAGTCTCGCTCTGTTGCCCAGGCTGGAGTGCAGTGGGGCGATCTCAGCTCACTGCAAGCTCTGCCTCCTGGGTTCACGCCATTCTCCTGCCTCAGCCTCCCCAGTAGCTGGGACTACAGGCGCCCACCACTACACCCGGCTAATTTTTGTATTTTTAGTAGAGATGGGTTTTCACCATTTTAGCCAGGATGGTCTCAATCTCCTGATCTTGTGATCCACCCGCCTCAGCCTCCCAAAGTGCTGGGATTACAGGCGTGAGCCACCATGCCTGGCCAACAAGGTTTTCTTGAAGCATTAACCAACTCCTTAATAAAGGTTATAAAAGGCTTATGGAAGTTATATTTTATAATCAAGATTAAATTTTATAAATTGTTTACAAAATTTTAAAAAACAAATTTAATTGGCTTCATGCTGTTTTTATTAGGGCTTCTTCTTTGGAAAATTGTCTCCTCTCTCAAAGAATGAAGGTTTTCACTTTTTAAAAAATCCTTGAGTTATCACTTTGGTTGAATGAATGACTTTACAATAACCTGTAATCTTATTTTGTAATATCAAGTGTTTAAAAAACCTTTAATATTTAACAAGCTTTAGAAAATCAAATTATGAATTATATCTTTTTCTGACCTAATTAATCCTTTAAGATATTGGGTTCCCTAAGGTCCAAAAACTACATAATTTGGCTTATTCGGTGTAAAAATTATACAGGAAGCACTGTCGAATATGAAATGGTGTTTGGTTTTCTTTGGGCTGTATTTGTATAAATGTTATTGGTATGTGTTCTAAAATTATGGGAAACTCCTATAATTCTAATATGACTTAGTGTACATTGCCAGTAATAATTGTAATTGTTTTGTTAAAATTATTGTGTGCCACAGAGGTAACAAATGTCCTTGTCAATTATGTCTTTGACTATGGCTGCCCTAAAACTTTTGGTCATCCATGGGCAATTATGTTGTTTTGGTCTTCTTTAGAAGGTGGTTTTATAATCAGCTATAAAACTCTAACAGGTTTTATATGCAGGTTTCTGTTAACTTTGGAGACTGTGACATCAAAGTAGAGGAAAAACTTTGAGGACTCATAGATAAAATGTTCATGAGTGTCAAACAGAACAGGAATTAACTGCATGGACTGAACTAATCTTTTGACTTTTTGCTTAAAATGTTGCTGATCCTTTGTTTTGTTTTTCAGAGTCTTGAAACTTCTCTTTTGAGCTATTGACAGCTTTTAACAATTTAGTATACTCCTATGAAAAAATTTGGAGCATATTTATTTCTCTCTACCTGATCTCCATATTTGTTTTTCTCTACCTGATTTGGGACTATTTGTAAGTATTCTTAACTTACAGCAATTCAGTATTTGCAAAAGTGCAGTAAGAATCTGTTTCCATTTGTAACAGCATACAGTTGGAGAAACTGATTACTTTACCAAGGCTTTAACTGGAATGGTGTGCTTTCCTTTAAGGAGTCAAACTTGACTTATGGAGCCAATAAAGCTCTTGGAAAAATTGGCCTCATATTTTGCATATACAGTCCCTGTACAGAGTTTCTGACCTGTGGTTAAGTAAAGAATGTCACTTTCTGACAGGCCCAGAAGCCCCAGGTTTATCTTGGAACCTCAAGAGGGAAGGAAATGTACCCAACTCATAGATATTTGATGGCGCAAATTCACAGCTGGGCTTAGCTTTAAAAAAGTCTTACCTGAAATTCCTTCTATGGAGCAAAGTTCCATCAAAGCCAATTTAAAAGCCTATGTAAAAATTAATTATTCTTGCTGTGCTATATACAAATAATTAGGTCAACTGTAATAAAGTAAACCAGTCTTACCATGATTTGTCCTTAGCAAAAATGGGAAACTGGAGAAGGAAAAATTACGTTTCAAAAAAACTATAGTACACCCATTGTTAGTTTCTATTCTTGCCAAGTGTTTTTCAATTTTTATTGTTCTCTACAGTTTGGACCAAATTCTAATTTTCTCTTGGCTACAAGTCTTCAAAATAATGTTTTCAATTTTTTTCCTTCTTTTTTTCACATTTTTTCCTAATTTTTAGTCACCAAAAACTAAGCTGTGCTTTCATAAAGCCCTGCAAATTGAAGCCAGACAACCCAAACGTGAGAAGAAATTAACAGCACCCTATTTACTTACATAAGCCACTTTTATACCTGCCTACTGATGTATGGACTTCAGAGTAATGTGGCCTATATCAATTTTCTAGAGTTGTTCTTTGGTTTGTTGTTTTTCTCCCTTCCTCCCCCTATTTTTTTTTCCATAGGACATGAGACCTCACAACCTTCTAGAAATGAGCTTTCCTAATAACTCTAGACCTACCTGTACAGAAATAAACCATCCTGGCCATGAGAGATCAGACAAAACCTGGGACCAGAGACTCATTTCCTTTTAAAATGCTTTCTCTAAAAGACTTTAAAAAAGAAGTCGGTGGGTGGGGAAATGTTAAAGGAAATTAAATCTTGGAACCCCAAACTCATTAAGCCAAACGGAAAATTCAAGCTGGGAACTGGGTCATGCAGACCTGCCTCCCACTTTTGGTTCCTAAATAAGATGGCTACAAGATGAAAAGCTACCTGCCTCTCCCATATTTTGCCCACAAGGAAATTCCTAGTAAGCTGCAAAATCTTTCAAGGTGTTTCTGTTAAAATTTCACCATGGCAATGTAAATTGATAGCTTATTTTACAGGTGCAGTCACCCCCAGCCCACAAGACACAAATGCATTTCTGGTTGTTCCTTTGCCCCATTTTTATCTATGTTATCTTATGTAAAATGCAGATTCCCTGCATTTTTCCTCTGTCCCATTTGTCTATGTCATCTTATATAAAAAATGCAGATTCAGTGAGCCACAAAAAAGCATGAATGGCTATTTTTGCCTACCCCCCTTTTTCATGAAATTGTGTACTTCTCAGTATCCTGCCCTTTCCCCTTCAAATTTGGGAGCCCTCAAAATCATCTTCAGAGAAAGGCATAGACCTGTTTCCCAGGCATGCAAATAAATCTCCTAAAATGATTGAGACTTATCTCATCATTTTTCTCAATTGACAGTCTTTTTAATTTCACAGATGAAGCAACATAGAAGCCTCCCTCAGTTTACAGGGACTGACGTGTATTGAAAGTCCAGTTGTTTTAAGACTCTGGAAAAAGACATTTGCCTCCCTGTAACCTTATGCCCCCATTGCTGGTAGCCCCTGCCAATCATTCCAACAACCAAAGCTGTCCTTGGCAACTTCCAAAATGTCCCAAAGTGGGCGATGATATTCTGCCTATAAACCACAAGTTTACGATTTAAAAGAAGTACCCTCAAACTTTTTATTTACATTGAAAGAATAGAAATGTTTCCATCAGAACAGAAGAAATAACATGGCACCAGGAAGATGGAATTAAGCCAATCAGGCAAAAATTTAAAAAAAAGAATAAAAATAAATAAACCAAGTCTCCAAGAAATAAGGGATTATGTAAAATGGTCAATCCTAAGAATAACTGATGTTCCTGAGGGAGAAGAGAAAATAATGTCTGGAAAACTTATTTGAGGGAATAATTGAGGAAAACTTCCTGGGCCTGGCTAGAGATCTAGATATCCAAATCTAAGAAGCTCAAAGAAATCATGCGAAAGTCACTGCAAAAAGATCTTCACCAAACTATACAGTCATCAGGCTATCTAAAGTCAGCATGAAGGAAAGAATTCTAAGAGCACCAAGACAAAAGTAGCAAGTAATCTTCAAAGGAAAACCTATCAGACTAACAGTAGACTTCTCAGCAGAAACCTTACGAGCCAGAAGGGATTAGGGCCCTGTCTTCAACCTCCTTAAACAGAACAGCTGTCAGCCAAGAATTTTATATCCCACAAAACTAGTGTATAAATGAAGGAGAAGTATAGTCATTTTCAGACAAACAAATGCTGAAGGAATTTGTCACCAGCACTACAAGCACTATCACTGCAAGAAATGCTAAAAGGAGTTCTTAACCTTGAAAGAAAAGTCCAAAACACACCAAAATAGGACCTCTTGAAAGCTTAAAACTCACAGGGCATATAAAACAATAACACAAGGATAAAAAAAATCTAGGTAATAATTAACATGATGAAGAAAACAGTACCTCACATCTCAATATTAACATTGAATGTAAATGGTCTAAACCCTCCACTTAAAAGATACAGAATGGCAGAATTGATAATAGATCACAATATAAATATCTACTGTCTTCAAGAGACTCACCTAACACAGAATGATTCATATAAATTCAAGGTAAAAGGGTGGAAAAGGTACTCCATGCAAATGGAAACCAAAAGCAAGCAGGAGTAGGTATTTTTTTTTTTTTTTTGAGATGGAGCTTCACTCTTATTGCCCAGGCTGGAGTGCAATAGTGTGATCTTGGCTCACTGCAACCTCTGCCTCCCAGGTTCAAGCAATTCTCCTGCCTCAGCCTCCTGAGTAGCTGGGTTTACAGGCGTCCGCCATCACACTCAGCTAATTTTTTTTTTATTTTTAGTAGAGATGGGGTTTCACCATGTTGGCCAGGCTGGTCTTGAACTCTTGAACTCAGGTAATCCACCCGCCTGGCCTCCCAAGTGCTGGGATTACAGGCGTCAGCCACTGTGACTGGCCGGGAGTAGCTATTCTTATATCAGACAAAACAGACTTCAAAGCAACAACAGAAAAAAATAAATAAATAAGACAAAGATGGTCACCATATAATGACAAAAGGATTAAATCAACGAGAAGATAATAAAATCCTAAAGTTATATGCATCAAACACTGGAGCTTCTAGATTCATAAAACAATTACTACTAGACCTAAGAAATGAGACAGACAGCAAAACAAAACAATAATAGTGGGAGACTTGAAGACACCACTGATAGCACCAGACAGATTTTAGGGGCAGAAAGTCAACAGACACAATGGACTTAAATGACACACTAGAACAAAGGGACTTAACAAATATTTACGGAAAATTCTGCCAAAGATCTGCAGAATATACGTTATTTTCATCAGCACATGGAACATTCTCCAAAATAGACCATATGGTAGGTTACAAAACAAGTCTCAATAAATTTTTAAAAATCAAAATTATATCAAGTATCTTCTCAGACCACAGTGGAATCAAACCAGAAATCAACTCCAAAGAGGAACCCTAAAAACTACATGAATACATAAAAATTAAATAATCTGCTCTTAAATGATATGTGAGTTAATAATAAAATCAAGATGAAAATTTAAAAATTCCTGGAATTGAATGATAATATTGAAACAAGTTATCAAAACCTCTGGGATACAGCAAAAGCACTGCTAAGAGAAAAGTTTACAGTGCTAAATGCCTACATTAAAAAGTCTGAAAGAGCACAAATTGACAACTTAATGTCACACCTCAAGGCACTGGAGAAACAAGAACAAACTAAACCTAAATCTAGAAGAAGAAAAGCAATAACAAAGATCAATCTATGGATACTTCTGACCCATACACTGTCTAAATGACCTACAGGTAGCTCTAGAATGGGGATTAGAGGGTTGGAACTTTCAGCCCCACCCCCAACCCTCAGGGAAGGGAGAGGGGCTGAAGGTTAAGTTGATCACCAATGGCAGGCCAACGGTTTAATCAATCACGCCTACATAATGAAAACTTCCATCAAAACCCAAAAGGACAGGGTTGAGAGAGCTTCCAGCTAGCTGAACACATGGAGGGTACCATGCCCACAGAGAGCATGGAAGCTCCTTGCCCCTTCCAACATACCTTACCCTATGTGTCTCCTCATCTGCATCCTTTCTCGGGGTAACCCATTTGCCACAAAATATGTGAGAAGTCCCTAGGCTGTAAAGCTGGGTGAAAGAATTAGGGCCTAGGTAGAAGAAACGGGAAAGTAACCAGGGCAACTTGCTGAGGCAAGATGACTTGGGTCTACCTACACTGTCGCTTTACAGGCTATGGCATGAAGTAGCCATGGGTTTCCCTCCTGCCTCTCACACACTGGCATTGAAGTGTCGGGCAAGATACTTATATTCTTTGGGACAGTTTCCCCATTTCTAAATTAGAAATGAGAATATTTACACTAAATTATTCCTATGAAGAATCAATGAAATAACATACCAAGTAGGCATTACATTGTAGATAAATTTGGTTTACTAGTTATATTTCCTTTTTTCCTTTAAAATTTCAAATTTTTTTCATTCCAGTTTTCTTTACAATTACATCTCTAGTATATGATAACTGCTTTTGAATGTCAAGCAGGGATATCTACTTACCTTTTTAAATGAATATCAGTTCAGAAACTTATTCGATTTAAATAAGTTATGTTAATTAAATAGCAGTGTAGCTGATGTCAGACATGGCATCAATTCTAAAGTTCATTTGTAAATAACCAAGGTGTGACAAGGCCAACCCTAAGTCAATAGTACATGCTGAAAACTTGTTTGCTGTGTGTGATGCCATGAAGAATAGGCCAATATTCTGGTCAGGCGATACCACACACAACTGAATACAATACTGTGTCAAGTGCTCAAGCATTCCCTAAGCAGCCCTGTGGTGGCGGACAGGGCCACAAGGATCACCACTGCAGCTGTTAGTTTGGCTTGTCACATATCCATAGATTTGGCCAATAGGGAGACAATGAGCCCAAATGGATCCCAGTGGTTGACTGCTTGAAGACACAGCAAAAGCAAGAACAGCATCATGTCCCATAGTATGATGCTAATTTGGAGGTACTCAGTGACAGCACAGATGGTCGATCTCTCTGCCTATGAGGAGCCCACAGACATACCCTAAGACAGTGAGCACTTTTATACTTTACAACTGTACCTTAAGATGAGGAAAGGCCTGTGGTTAACTGAAACTATGAAGATGAATGAAGAATGGCCTTGTGTTGGCCTTCAAGAAGATAGGCAGCTGATGAGAAAGTACCTGTGGCAGCTCCCACCATGCTGCATATCTCCCTTTGCTCCAACGAGATTCCAGGTATTCTGCCAAGACTCAGGTTAGCCTGCAGCCTGGCTTTGCCTACGTGATCTATATGGTGACCTGCAAGAGCTCCAGGACACCATGGCAGAGCCATTACCCTAGAGTGTCTGGCACAAAACCAAACACCATATGTAAGGTGCCTATAAACACACCATCTCCAATAATGAGTCCAAAACAGAGGAGGTGATTTTCTGTTAAGATCATTACAGAAGATTGATTAATCAATTCAATAGACAATGATTGATGCCTGCCACATTACAGGAAATATCTGGGATGCTGGAAATGGGAAGACCAACAACACATGGTACTTGCTGTGGGGGCTGTCACACTGTGGTGGGACAGACAGACCTTTAAACAGAAGAGCAGTTGAAGTGCAAAGGAGAAACAAAGGGAAGGGACACAGGGGAATAAAAAAACAATGAATGTAGTGGCCAAGAAGCACGAGGAAAACAACACAATTTCTTGAAAAGACAATTTTTGTCCATTGCCTTTGCACCTTTTCTGAAAATCAGTTTTACTATGTCTGTGAGTCTGTTGCTGAACTCTATTCTGATCTGTTCATTTTTTTCTCCAATAGCACACTGTCTTGATTCCTATAGAATTAACATAATTGACATATGGGGCTGGATAATTAAAAATCATATTAATAAAATAATAAATAAATAAGATAATTAATGTGAATCTTGACATTATGCAGCATGAGTTCCCCAAAGTTATCCTTCAGAATTGTTTTGGCTGTTCTGATTCATTTTCCTTTCCAGATAATTTTGAAAATTGATTCCAATGCAGTCAGTTGTTTATGTTGATGCAGTTTTGCTTTCAATGGCAGCAGATAAATATGTTAGTAACTACACAAGGACATGGGGGAAGAAGGTGAATTTCACCTTAGCTTGGGGAATGATCCAACATAGAGGGAGCAGTTGATGGTTCAGGAGAAAGAAGTGATCGTTGCAGGAACAAAGCCCCTGAGAAGGTGGGAGGCATGGGATCCTGAGCTGAGGTGAGGGGGTTGGCTTCGGTTATGAGCATTGTATGCAGAAGGGCAGCAGAGAATGCCATGGAATCACTGAAAGTGAGGGTGGCCTTGGGGATCCCTGACACAGTGGCAGCAACAGTGTGAGTCACCAGCAAGACTCTGACTCACTAAAATATGGTGAAAGCCTTCTTCCAATAAAGGAAGAGTGAAGGGATAGACATGATGAAGCTGTCACACCTGGGAGACTATGGATTTCCCCATAATGTGAAGCAGCAGCTGACCTGCTGTCTGTTATGAGAAATACATGTACTCCCAGCATTTAACAATAATCCCTCCAACTGCAAGAGAGCTGGCTCTCTGGATCCCTTAACCGCTGTTCTGTGCTGGATAACGGAAGGGGGAAAACTGCAGCCAGATGCTGACTCTGGTTTTGTCTTCTCCTGCAGGAAGGTAGAGAAAGGACCCAAATGTCAAAGAGCTTTGAGTAGCCAAAAATTCCTGAATGTTTGAATTGCTCTTTCCTCCAAGTGGGAGGGAAAAAAATCAGTTTCCTTGGCTTGAGCAAGCCTTAGATCAACTTTAAGCCTTAAAGGAAAAAAACAGGGAAAACAAGCCAGGTGTAGTGACTCCCACCTGTAATCTCAGCACTTTGGGAGGATGAGACAGGAGATCACTTGAGGCCAGGAGTTCAAGACCAGCCTGGGCAACACAGTGAGACCCACCTGCTCTACAAAATTTTAAAAAGTTGTTGGGCGAGGTGACACGTGCCTGTAGTCCCATATACTCAGGAAGGTGAGGCTGGAGGATCACTAGAGCCCAGGAGTCTGAGGTTGCAGTGAGCTGTGAGCCCTCCAGTGTACTCCAACCTGGGCAAAAGAGCAAAACCCTGTCTCAGAAAGGGGAGTTGGGGGTGTGAAGACACATTCCAGCCTTGTTTTCAGCTGGGCTGCGGCTACTGCAGCCACCTCCCAACATTTGAGCCAGGATCTCTCTTGTCCATGATACTTTTAATTCTGTGAGTGCTGAATTTACTGCAAGGAGCTTGAAGGAAATTTCTTGGAGATGAAAAAAGGGGGGAGTTTTAAAACAGCCTTCCATTTCTTGGTTAATACATCTGGATGTGTGACGATATTGACAGAAGAGGTCCAGCAGTTTGGCTACTCAATGCAGCAGCCACAAGCCAGGGATTGCAGTTTTCCATGCTTCTCTGGATAAATGATAGAGACAAAAGGGATAGAGGTTCTGTAAACCCATTTTTTAATTTTTTCAAAATTCGGAATTTTATCCTGACTATTTCTTAAACATGATGAAAATTTTTACTTAAATTATACTAAAATGTGGTTTCTGAAAATGCTTTTGTCCCTCTTGCATACAACCCTTCCAGAAAAGAAAAGTCTGGAGGAGAAAGAGGATGATTAAAGAGATAAAAAGTTTTCATCACAGAAAAGGCCCTCTCCTTTCCCTGAAGTTTGGGGGTGGGGCTGAAAGTCCCAACCCTCTAATTCCCCATGGTAGAACTACCTAGGGGCTGCCAGCCTCAGTCAACTCACTAGCATATAAAAGATGCCACTTCCTTTGGGAGGCCAAGGCTGGTGGATCACAAGGTCAAGAGATCGAGACCATCCTGGCCAACATGGTGAAGCTCCATCTCTACTAAAAATACAAAAATTAGCTGTGCATGGTCGCAGACACCTGTAATCCCAGCTATTTGGGAGGCTGAGGCAGGATAATTGCTTGAACCCGGGAGGCGGAGGTTGCAGTGAGCTGAGATCACGCTATTGCACTGCAGCCTGGTGACAGAGCGAGACTCTGTCTCAAAAAAAAAAAAAAAAGTCACTTCTTGGAGATTCTAAAATTTTTAGGAGTTGTATGCCAGTAAACAGGATGGAGGACCAAATACGTATTTCACAATATCACACTTGCTTACACTAGTTCAATCAGAACACAAAATTTCAAAATACTCTTTCCCCCCGCCTTTTTTTTAAAAAAAAACAAAGTTTCCCTCTGTCACCCAGACTGAAGTTGCAGTGACCTGAACATGATTAACCTCATCCTCATGTTCGACCTCCTGGGCTTAAGGGATCCTTCCACCTCAGCATCCGGAGTAGCTGGGACTACAATTACATACGTACATGCATACATTCATGCATTCCTTCATTCATTTTCGTAGAGCCTATGTTGCCCAGGCTAGTGTCAGTCTCCTGAGCTCAAGCAATCCTCCTGCTTCAGCATCTCAAATGCTGGGATTACAGGCGTGAGCCACTACACCCAGCCACAATTTTCAATAGTCTCAAATACTTGGAAATAAAATTAACAAAAGATGTGCAAGAATTCTTTGGAAAAAACTGTAAAACTTTATTGAGATCTTTTTAAGTCAAACATCTTAGATAAAACCAGTTTACGTTGTTTCAGCTTATTTTCATTCAAACCTGTGGTTGCCCTTCACCTATGATAGAAACATAAGAGGAGGGGACATTACTAGCAGAACTGTATTCAGATGACATTAAAGGTTTGCAAACAACACCAAAGTTTCACTTTTATGCAATGGACTAAAACCAGAAGTCTAAGAGTTACCCTTCAGCTTACATTCCGTTAGACCTCGTAGAGACTTTGGAGATAGACTTCCAAGCATATACATTAAAAAATTTTTTTAAACACACCCTACTTTCTAGTGCTACAAGAAAACCAAAAGACAGTCCGAAGTCAGAACACATTAAATCAAGTGAACCTATTAAAAGAGGGGTTAAAATAGAAAACAAAAGTTGTGTATAATTTTACTAAAAATAAAACCAACACTCAAAAAAACCTAAGAAACAAATGGAATTTACAAAAAAAAAGAATAATTTAATGTTCTGGCTTGAAACTATGGTCTGGATGTCAAATAGGCTCCTGGAAGTTGTTTGAAAGCTATCTTTTAAGAAAACAGTTAATGTCACATTAAGAACTGCATAACTGAAGTGAATAGAAAGGCCAGTATTTGATTTTTCCCTCTTGTGCAAAAGTACAAAAAAAAAAAAAACTTGCTTTAAGCTAGTTTATCTTTATGTCGTTTTTCAGGTATGGTAAACATTTGTCCCCAGTTTTCACCTAACAGTGCTGATGTCAACATGAATAATGACTCTTTTTTCACTGGAAAAATCGTACACTCATGCATGTATGATTTCAAGAACTATCTCCGATTGAATCTGCAAATCCCTCCTCCCCCCATCTCTGACTTTACCATCAACCTAGGTAAATGTACCCTTGCCAAACCCCAAAAACAAGAGACTAAAATGCAACCCAGTCGGAGCCGAGAAATCGTGTTTTAACGACGAACACCCCAACAGCTACCCCTCAATTGATGTACTTTTTCTAAAAAATCTAAGACCCTCCCACCAAATTTATCCTCCATTTCATACAATAAATGCAATAACTATACTTCTGCCCTAATACTAACATGATACTTTGAGCATATCCCTCTGAAAACACTGCCCCATATATTATGTCCTAAATCAATTATACTCTAATTATAACTAACCCTCTCGGCCAAACCTCTGCCAATTCAATTTTAAAGACCCTGAATTTCCAGAACTGTAAACAACCATTCGTACTTATTTCTTTTTCATATTTTAATTTTACATTTAAGTATTTATATAGTTAATGTAGCTTAACTATTCAAAGCAAGACACTGAAAATACCTAGATGGGTCCACACGACACCATAAACAGATAGGCTTGGTCCTGGCCTTTTTATTAGCTCTTAGTAAGATTACGCATGTAAGCATCCTTGCCCCAGTGAAAATGCCCTCTAGATCACCCGGATCAAAAGGAGCAGGTATCAAGCACGCACGAGTGCAGCTCAAAACACCTTGCTCAACCACACCCCCACAGGAAACAGCAGTAATAAATCTTTAGTAATAAACGAAAGTTTAACTAAACTATACTAATATTTAGGGTTGGTCAATTTCATGCCAGCCACCGCGGCCATAGGATTAACCCGAGCTAATAGAGCTCGGTATAAAGAGTGTTTAAGGTCTGCCCTCAATAAAGCTAAACTCCAACGAAGTTGTAAAAAACTTCAGCTGAAATAAAATATACTATGAAAGTGGCTTTAATACCCTGAAGACACAATAGCTAAGACCCAAACTGGGATTAGATACCCCACTATGCTTAGCCCTAAACCCTGATAGTTACATTAACAAAACCATTCGCCAGAGTAGTACAAGCAACAGCTTAAAACTCAAAGGACTTGGCGTTGCTTTATATCCCTCTAGAGGAGCCTGTTCTATAATCAATGAACCCCGACACATCTCACCACCTCTTCCCCCCAGCCTATATACTGCCATCTTCAGCAAACCCTAAAAAGGTTATAAAGTAAGCACAAGTACACACATAAAAACGTTAGGTCAAGGTTTAGCCCATGAGGTGGCAAGAAATGGGCTACATTTTCTATGTTCAGAAACTCTCACGACAACCTTTATGAAATCCAAGGCTCAAGGAGGATTTAGCTGTAAACCAAGAGCAGAGTGCTTGGTTGAATAAGGCCATGAAACACACACACATCACCCGTCACCCTCAAGTATTACTCCAGAAATCACTACTACTAAAAATTTTCTACACACATATAGAGGAGATAAGTCATAACAAGGTAAGCGTACTGGAAAGTGTGCTTGGACAAACCAAAGTGTAGCTTAACCCAAAGCATCTGGCTTACACCCGGAAGATTTCATCACGACCTGATCACTTTGAGCCAACTCTAGCTCCAAACCTCACTAAAAATATTATTAAATTATCTTAATCAAACCATTTACCCTAGACAAAAGTATAGGCAATAGAAATTTTTACCCCGGCGCAATAGACATAGAACCGTCAGGGAAAGATGAAAGAACTGTATCAAGCATCAAAAAGCAAAGACAAACCCTTATATCTTCTGCATAATGTATTAACTAGAAATAACTTTACACAGAGAATTATAGCCAAGTTCCCCAAAACCAGACGAGCTACCGAAGAACAGCTGAAAGAGCACACTTACCTATGTGGCAAAATAGTGAGAAGATTCATAAGTAGCAGTGACAAGCCTACCGAGCCTGGTGATAGCTGGTTGTCCAAGATGGGATCTTAATTCAACTTTAAACTTACCCACAGAATTACTTAATCTCCCCATAAGTTTAGACAGCTCTTTAGACCCTAGGAAACAACCTTCCTACAGAGAGTAAAAAATATTTCCACCATAGTTGGCCCAAAAGCAATCACCAATTAAGAAAGCGTTTAAGCTCAACATCTATCTTAAATTCTAGTCACTCTACTGAACTCCTAACATCACATTGGACTAATCTATTACTTAATAGAAGCAATAATGTTAATATAAGTAATATGAAAACATTCTCCATTGCATAAGCTTACATCAGACTGGAATAACCCACTGACAGTTAGCCTAATATTAATAAACGATATAATAAGCTCTTTATTATTTACACTGTTAACCCAACACAGGTATGCTCTAAGGAAAGAATACAAAAAGTAAAAGGAACTCCGCAAATTTTACCCCGCCTGTTTACCAAAAACATCACCTCTAGCATTACCAGTATTAGAGGCACTGCCTGCCCAGTGACATACGTTCAATGGCCGCAGTATCCTGACTGTGCAAAGGTAGCATAATCACTTGTTCCTTAAATAGGAACTTGTATGAATGACCACACGAGGGTTCAGCTGTCTCCTACTTTTAATCAGGGAAATTGACCTATCCGCGAAGAGGCGGATATAAACAAATAAGACGAGAAGACCCTATGTATGGAGCTTTAATTTATTAATGCAAATAAAAACTTAAGCCTACAGGCCCTAGCCTACTATCCCTGCATTAAAATTTTTGGTTGGGGTGACCTCAGAGCATAATTCAACCTCCGAGCAACCTAAACTAAGACTGCACTAGCCTAAGCAAGTTAATATATATTGACCCGATAATTTGATCAACGGAGTAAGTTACCCTAGGGATAACAGCGCAATCCTATTCTAGAGTCCATATCAACAATAGGGTTTACAATCTCGATGTTGGATCAGGACATCCTAATGGTGTCACCGCTATTAGGGGTTCGTTTGTTCAACAATTAAAGTCCTACGTGATGTGAGTTCAGACCAGAGTAATCCAGGTCGGTTTCTATCTATTTAACATTTCCCCTAGTATGAAAGGACAAGAGAAATAGGGCCCACTTCATAAAGTGCCCTCGCTCCACAGATGATGCTATCTCAATCTAACAAATCATCACATACCCTACCCAAGAACAGGGTTTGTTAAGATGGCAGAGCCCGGCAATTGCATAAGACTTAAAACTTTATAATCAGAGGTTCAACTCCTCTCATTAACAATATACCTATAATTAACCTTCTCCTACTTATTATCCCTACTTTCATCGCTATAGCATTCCTTACACTCATCGAATGAAAAATCTTAGGCTACATACAACTACGCAAAGGACCTAACATTGTAGGTCCCTACGGGCTGCTTCAACCATTCGCTAACGCAATAAAACTTTTCACCAAAGAACCCTTACAGCCCTCAACATCTACTATTACCCTTTATATTATTGCTCCAATCCTAGCCCTTCCTATCGATCTCCTCTTATGAACTCCCCTCCCTATACCAAATCCTCTAATTAATTTTAACATAGGCCTCCTATTTATACTAGCCATATCAATCCTAGCCATTTATTCTATGATCAGGATGAGCATCTAATTCAAAATATGCACTAATTGGCGCATCACGAGCTGTGGCCCAGACAATTTCAAATGAGGTCACCCTAGCCATTATCCTGTTATCAGTTTTACTGATAAGTGGTTCATTTAACTTATATGCATTCATCACAATGCAAGAACTCCTCTGACTGCTCCTACCATCATTACCCCTAGCCATAATGTGATTATCCCCACACCAGCAGAAACTAACCGAGCCCATTTTGATCTAACAGAAGGAGAGTCAGAATTGTCTCAGGCTTCAACATCAAATATGCCACAAGCTCATTTGTCCTCTTCTTTATAGCAGAGTACATGAATATTATCATAATAAATGCCCTAACTACCACTATCTTCCTAGGAGCACTACATACCATATATTCACCAGAACTCTATACCATAAATTTCATTACCAAGACCCTTCTTTTAACCACCCTATTCTTATGAATTCTAAGAGCATACCCTTGATTCTGCTACAACCAGCTCATATATCTTCTATGAAAAAATTTCCTACAACTTACACTAGCATGCTGTATATGACATATCTCAATGCCTGTCCTAATTTCTAGCATCCCACCCCAAACATAGGAAATATGTCTGACAAAAGAACTACTTTGATAGAGTAAACAACAGAGGTTAAAATCCTCTTATTTCTAGAACTGTAGGAATTGAACCTACCCCTGAGAATCCAAAATTCTCCATGCTACCTATCACACCATGTCCTAGAGTAAGGTCAGCTAAATAAGCTATCGGGCCCATACTCCGAAAATGTTGGTTACACCCTTCCCATACTAATTAAACCCTTAGCTCAACTTGCTATTTCCCTTATTATTTTTACAGGAACTCTTATCACAATGCTAGGATCACACTGATTTCTCATCTCAACAGGCCTAGAAATAAACATACTAGCCCTTATCCCAATCCTAATTAAAAATATAAGTCCCCACTCTACAGCTGTACAAAAGCAGCAACCAAATATTTCCTTACGCAAGCAACCACATCTGTAATTCTCATAATAGGTATCCTTTTCAACAACCTGTCCTCTGGACAATGAACAATAATAAACACTATTAATCAATTTTCATCATTAATAATAGTGACCCTAGTAATAAAACTAGGAATAGCCCCCTTTCAATTCTGAGTCCCAGAGGTAACCCAAGGAACCTCTCTAATACCTGGTATACTTCTCCTCACATGATATTGTGAAGAAACATCGATTATGTTTTAAATTTTCCCATCAACAAACATGAACATCCTCCTGTCTATCACAATTCTATCCATTATAGTAGGCAGCTGAGGAGGGCTTAACCAAGCACAATTGTGTAAAATCTTAGCCTACTCCTCAATCACTCACATAGGCTGAATAATAGCAGCACTACTCTATAGCCCAAACATTACCATTCTAAACCTATTTATTTTATCTTAACAATAACCATATTTTTAACACTCAACCTGAGTATAAGCACCACAACGCTGTCACTATTACACACCTGAAACAAATTAACATGGTTGACACCTATAATTCCACTAATTCTACTATCTCTAGGAGGTTTACCTCCATTAACAGGGTTCCTGCCTAAATGAATCATCATCCAAGAATTTACAAAAAACAAGAGCCTTATTGCTGAAACATTATAGCTATCATAACCCTACTCAACCTGTACTTTTACATACGCCTAATTTATTCCACCTCAGTGACATTATTCCCCACGTCTAATAATATGAAAATAAAATGACAATTCAAAAACACAAAACCCATACCATTCTTCCCCCCACTTATCTCTTCTACCCTCCTCTTACCTATCTCTCCATTAATACTAACTATAACTTAAAAATTTAGGTTAAATAAGACCAAGAGCCTTCAAAGCATGAAGATTACACTTAATTTCTGTAACAGACCTGAGGACTGCAAGACTCTATTCTGCATCAATTGAATGCAAATCAACCACCTTAATTAAGCTAAGCCCTTGCTAGATTGGTGGAATTCAAACCCACGAAAATTTCGTTAACAGCTAAACACCCTAATCAACTGGCTTCAATCTACTTCTCCACCGTTGGGGGAAAAGGTGGGGGAAGCCCCAGCAGGACTGAAGCTTCTCCTTTGAATTTGCAATTCAACATGAGAAATCCCCTCAGGGCTGCTAAAAAGCGGCCTTGGCCTCTGTCTTTAGATTTACAGTCTAATGCTTACCCAGCCATTTTACCTTTTTTTCCCCACTTATGTTCATTAATTGTTGATTGTTTTCAACTAACCACAAAGACATAGGAACGCTATACCTGCTATTCAGCACATGGGCAGGGATACTAGGCACCGCCTTAAGCCTTCTAATTCAAGCAGAATTAGGCCAACCAGGAACTCTGCTAGGGGATGATCAGATCTACAATGTTACTGTTACCGCCCACACATTCATTATGATCTTCTTTCTGGTAATACCAGTCATAATTGGGGGATTCAGCAACTGATTAGTCCCTCTGATAATTGGTGCACCCAACATGGCATTCCCCCGAATAAATAATATGAGTTTCTGACTTCTTCCCCCATCTTTTCTGCTTCCACTTGCATCCTCAATAGTAGAAGCTGGCACTGGAACCAGCTGAACAGTTTATCCCCCTTTAGCAGGAAATCTAGCACATGAAGAAGCCTCTGTGGATCTGACCATCTTCTTGCTCCACTTGGCAGGTGTTTCTTCTATCTTAGGGGCCATTAACTTTATTACCACAATGACTCTTTTTTCACTAGGAAAGTATTTCTGATTACATAATTAATTATATAGCCACATTAGTGTTAAGCTATCACTATTTTTGACATCAAAACATCAAATAAGTATATATCATGAACAGTGTGGCAAAAAAGGAAACAGAGATAGAGGGAAATGGAAAAGAAGAGTAAGACACGTGAAGAAGACAAATATTTGTTTCTAAAAGTAAGTGTGTTTGAGGGACAACTGGCAAATGTCACAAGTTCTACAGTCTTTGTGATGTTTAGATATTCAGGTATTACAGGAATATGTTAAATAATGAGTGTGTTCTTATCATATCAATAATTTCATCCATACTTTGAAAATATTAGAGTTCAAGAATGTATTCATTTTCTATTACGCCCTATATTCAAAACCTGTGTCTTGTACATATTCCATGTCCATCTTTTTCCATTTTCTTCTAGATAGTGTAAACTACTATATACTACTGGATACTTTATTCATAGCTATTTTTCAAAAGAACAAGCTTTTAAATTTATTACTTTTGGATTAGTTTGCATTTTACTAATGATTTGTACCTGTCTTTTATTCACGACCTCTTTCCTCTTCTGTTAGGTTTATTCTGTTGCTCTTTTATTATTATTTTTGTTTTTTATTATGATTTTCTTGTATCATGTAATTTGCTATCCGCTTTAATAAGATGTGCATTTAAGGCTATGATCTTCCTAAGAATGCAATTGAGGCTTGTTCAATAGGCTCCTGGAAATAGTCTGAAAACTATCTTTTAATGCAAATAGTCTAATGAAATGGTTTAGCAGTGTAGAGTAAAAACATCTAGGTAATTTCTTCCCTAAACATGGAGTGTTTCCTTTAAATTCAGAAGCTCTTCTAATTAACAGTCAGCAATTTGGAAAATATGTGTAAACTATGCTGAATACTCAGGAATTAGTGAGTTACGGACTTTAAACTTTAGATCCTATTAACTGACATCTCAAGACAGAAATTTATAATATGTAATCTATGATACAGTTAGAGGTGATTCTATCATATGTGTCTTCAATGTAATTACACACAGTAGCTCATGAAGACTAACAGTAGGGCAAGGAGCATGCTCACTGGCCTACATGCATTCTCCCTACTTCATGGGCCACAGAAACCTGTCTCCTGCCATTTTATTATTCAGATATTCAAGGCTTCACGGCTGAAAGGATTTAAACTGCCATTATTCATTAAGAGCCACAGAATTGGTCAGGCACGGTGGCTCACGCCTGTAATCCCAGCACTTTGGGAGACCCAGGCGGGCGGATCATGAGGTCAGGAGATCAAGATCGTCCTGGCTAACACGGTGAAACCCCGTCTCTACTAAAAATACAAAAAATTAGCCGGGCGTGGTTGCAGGCACCTGTAGTCCCAGCTACTCGAGAGGCTGAGGCAGGAGAATGGCCTGAACCCGGGAGGCGGAGCTTGCAGTGAGCAGAGATCGCGCCACTGCACTCTAGCCTGGGCGACAGAGCAAGCCTCCATCTCAAAAAAAAAAAAAAAGAGCCGCAGAATTCAGAATTTGACAAAATCCAAGAACAGTCATTCAGGTCTCCATATAGAGAAACAAATATCAAGCAGAGTGGTTGTTTATTTTCTTAGGAGCAATGAAGTCTCAACTCAGATATTATAATTGGACTGAAGCTGATTGTTATGATAAACAAATCATGAAAGTCAAGTATCTTTGTATTCTATCCAACAAAACCACAGCATGTAGAAATCAGCACTGAAATGGAATTTAATCTGATGTGCATTCACTATTTTCAGTAAGAGCAAACATGGGTGTAGAATTTATAGGATTCATCCAGAATCTCACAAATTATGGTAGAGCTGGTACTAGAATCCTCTTCAGTTCTCAGCACATTTCACACAAACTGGTATTACAAATGCACAATGTATTTGTTAAAAGCAGAAATTAAAAACTAATTCGAAAATTGTGAGCTGTTGGTTATACTCAGAAGAAAATGCTTTCACATTTGATGATTCAACATGGCTTTGACCCAATTTGTTTCTGTATCTGATAGTGTTTAAGTCTTGCAGTCAGGCATTCAGGGTCTGAACTACCTTTCAAAGAAAGTCTGTATTTGAGCTCTGTTTTTAAAGGGGCACTAATGTTCTCTGCTTTTATTATCAAAAGTATAATATTGTGGAAAACAGAAAGCACCTAATTTTGCATCTTAATGGATAACATACCTGCGTCTGGCATTTTAAAATGCTCTAGTTTTGGCAGAATCTTCCCCTTGACATCAGGATCATCTCTGCATTCATTCCCAGTCTTTGACTGAGACAATTCCTGGAGATCAGCTTCCAGGTCAGACACTTAAAAATGCAAAAATTATCGACTGAAGCAGACAAACATAAAATATAAATAAGGAAATTATAATATTCTTTTCCTCAGCGTTATGAAATAAAAGCCTGTAGGCTAGTGTCATAACAAATGTGATGCAAAAATGTTACAATTTCGTTTTCTCATATTATGAAGTCTTATTTTATTTTATGTATTTAATTGCTTTTTGAGACAGGGTCTCACTCTGTCCAGGCTGCAGTGCAGTGGTACCACCTCGGCCCACTGCAGGCCCAACCTTCTGGGCTCAACGGATCCTCCTGTCTCAGCCTGACGAGTAGCTGAGCCTACAGGTGAATGCCACCACCAAGGATAATTTTTGTATTTTTTAGTAGTGATGGAGTTTCCCCAGGTTGCCCAGGCTGGCCTCAAACTCCCAGGCTCAAGGGATCTGCCGGCCTTGGCCTCCCAATGTTTTGGGATTATATACATGAGGCACTGGTCTTGGCCTGAAATCTTATTTTAAATGACAATCTAAGGATAAATCACACTATACCTACATTTTCCGTAAGTTAGTTACCATTGTGTATTATGAATAGCGAGTGTCAACTATCTAAGAAATCTGAAGTCTGCCACATAAATAGCATTTTAATCATAACTTAAATGTAATTTTCTGAGAGTTTACATCAATGTATTGGCTGGCCTATGACAAGTCATACAGTCGTGACACCCATCCCTTGTTGAAATAACTTGAACATTTTCTGGTAAAATGAATTAAAGTTATGCTTAGGTCCAAAGGCCCTACATGTAACTTTCCATAGATGAATCTCATTGAGAATGAAGTACCAACAACAACAGCAAAATCACTGTCCTGCAGTGAGAGTACAGGAAGTTGAGTGCAAATAAATAACTGGGTATATACCCAAAGGATTATAATTCATTCTACTATAAAGACACATGCACACATATGTTTACTGCAGCACTATTCACAATAGCAAAGACTCAGAACCAACCCAAATGCCCATTAATGACAGACTGGATAAAGAAAATGTGGCACATATACACCATGGAATACTACGCAGCCATAAAAAGGGATGAGTTCATGTGCTTTGCAGGAACATGGATGAAGCTGGAAACCATCATTCTCAGCAAACTAACACAGAAAAGGAAAACCAAACACTGCATGTTCTCACTCATAAGTAGGAGTTGAACAATGAGAACACATGGACACAGGGAGGGGAATATCACACACCAGGGCCTGTCCAGAGCTTGGGGGGCTAGGGGAGGGAGAACGTTAGGAGAAATACCCAATGTAGATTATGGGTTGATGGGTGCAGCAAACCACCATGGCATGTGTATACCTCTGTAACAAACCTGCACATTCTGCACATACATCCCAGAACTTAAAGTATAATTTAAAATAAATAAATAAACCAGGATTGTGGACAGTCATATTCTGGAAACCCCTTAACAGTGAATTGCTAAATAATCCATGGCCCAAATTCTGTCAGTGTTTACCTTGAAAATGCTACCCGTTGAGGAAACAATTTCTGTTTCATGATAATCTTACAGCACTTTAAGTTTTCTAATTATAAAAGTGTTTAAACAACTTTTAAAAGCCTCTCAAAATCATACTAATATAGCTATCCATATGCCAGTGTCCTGAATTATCCAACTTTTACCAAACATACTGTCAAAAACACCAATGAAAGGAAACAGTGGCTGTCATTCATTGAGCTCTTTTCTGGAGTTTCTATCCTGCTTCACTGAACTGTGTTTTGTCCTGAGCCAATAATGAAGTACCTTATAGTACAGCCATATTTGAGTATTACGCATCTTAAGCAAAACCAGTCACTTTCTCTTACAACATAGATGATAGGAAGAACATAAACCTTGAAACGAAATATGAATTCTGTCTCCATGACTCAAGTGTTCTTTGGTAAACCTCAACCCATGAGACTCAGTTTTCTTATTTATAAAATGGGGCTAACATTCCTATGCAAATGGGCTTTACTCAGGGTGTTACAAGGTAGGGTGACTTGGCACTCTACGTGCTATTAAAGGGTGCATACAACACTGTGGACACCACGGTTGAGAAGATGATATAACATTCTAAGAAGATCAAATTACACTAGTGAAATAATGTACATTTTCTTACATCAAATGGTTTCAAAAATCAAGTTTTGTTGGAATGCAGAGCCCCTACCATTCGAACCTCCAGGGTGGAGTTGAGAAGTTGCAACACAGCGCTGGGTGCTCCTCACTGGACACCTCTACCAGGCACTCTACAGACCTCAAGGCTGTGGTCACCTAAGTCCTAATTTAGCAAGGACTGTATTTGCAAGCATACAAAGTAGATCTCAAAGAAAAAGAGAAGATTCATTATATCCAGAGACTGCACAAGACTGCAAACCATACTCTTCACTTTTCCAGCCAACTTTCAGCAAATGTTTGACATCCTTTCCTAATATTTTCTTTCCTCCTGTTACTGGTCATGGTATAATGTGTGATGCACACATAGGCCTCCTCCCCTTCCCACAGACATCTTTCGTTCCCTTCCCAGCACCTTGAATCTCAGCTGCACCCTGATCTTCTTCTCTTTCCTGACCAGGTGTAGGATCCCGACTTTCAGTTGGTGGTTCCTCTTCTTGAGACTCTTCATGACTGGGCTCCTGGGACCAGGAGGGATGAGTGTGTGCAAATACACTCACATACATCTCAGTAATATAAGTATACAGAATACATAGATACTTCTGATCATAAGTCTAAGACATTTCTCCAACACTATTTCATATTCTTAATGTTTCATAAAGTTACTCTTCCCACAGAGAGTTTACTCTAAGACAGTTACCCTCAAGGGCTTTGGAAGCCATTTTAATCTGTCTTGGTACAGATGTGTGCAATCAGTTATCAATAAGCATGAGAAGGAAGTCATGGGCAAAAACCGTGGAACAGAAGATCATCCATCCAGACAAAACCAGAACATAATCCTCTTGGATTAGTCTGTCCTTCATGAGATGCCATGATCATTTTTTATCAGCATGGAAGACCTTTACCAGTGTATGTATACTATTTCAACAACACTATCACAAAAATAACTTTCTGCTAATAGAAAACATTGAATGTTAAGGCACTCACAAGCAGAGGCACAGTCAGCTCAGAAGGTCATAAACTTCATCTTGGTATAGGCCTATATGTTGATCTTCCTTGGCACCTCATATTTCACTCTGCAAACAGAATACGGTGATTGGGAAAATGCACTTGAGAGGATAGCTATATTTGGCCACTTCTATGGACAAATGTTAACTTGTAATTTTTTTAAAATTTGGAAAAACTTTGAAAGTAAGTCCCAGGGCAAGTGTGTGTGTATGTCTTCTGAATCGTATGCTTGCAAAGCTACTTATGTTGGTCAAGCTAGCACAGCAATGTCTTAAGGCTCCTGGCAAAGACGCAGGAAATTTCTGATGAGGTTTTTGGTGTCACAATTGGACTCTCCATCATGGAGACATTTAGGAAAATACAGCCAGAGAATTAAAATCTGAGTGGCAACGGCTTATCTCACACACCCATTTGCTAGGCCCATTTGCCCCCTAAAATCAAGTTTTGTTGGAATGCAGAGCCCGGCCCATTCGAACCTCCACGGTGGAGTTCAGAAATTGTGACACAGCGCTGGGTGCTCCTCACGGGCCACCTCTGCCGGGCACTCTACAGAACTCAGGGCTGTGGTCACCAGCCCACAGCGTTCCCAGTTTCTAGCCTCCTTCCTTACCACGCACTTCGTCCCTTCACAGCCCTTCCCACCCACCCAGACTCCCCACCTAGGAGTCTGGAATCTCTCCTCTGTTGGGGGTTCCAGATGCTTCCAGGACTCAGATACCTCCAACAGCAACCCCAGCAGTCGCCCCAACTCCGCCTGACCCCCCTCCACTCCGTGGCCCTCCTTGCTCCCTAGCTGTGGCCTTGCCAAGACCAGAAGGCCCATGGCCGTGGTGCCGCATGAGAAGAACTACGACCTTGAGGCACTTCTACCTCTGAGCCAGGGACCACGCCGCCTGACCCATTCAGAAGCTTGCTGGCTCCTCCTCACACTCATTCTCACTTCACCTCCCGGGAGGACTGGCCTGCGGACCTACCCGCTATGTTTCAGTAGGGGAGAAAGAGTCCAGACAGCAGGAAAGCGACCCTCACACCCTCTCAGCCCCATAGCGTTTGCAACGTGCTGCAAAGGGGTCGACCAGAGGAAGCCTAGTGAACATGTGCACTGAGGCGGCCACCCAAGAAGCATGCACAGTGAGATCTGACTTTGTCTTGTGGGCTGAGTTGCCCCTCCTTGTCCCGCCACGTCCAGTCCTCCTCTCCTTCCCAGGTCCCCACTAAGGAAGTTGGAATCCGTCCTCTGTGGGAGGATTCATATGCTTAGGGACTCAAAGACCTCAAATAGTGTACCCCTTCACAACTCACTCCAAGTGCAACTGACCCTCCTCCCCTCTAGGGCCCTCCTTCCTTCCTTGTCTGGTCCTCCCATGACAACAAGGCCATGGCAGCATCACTGCCTTTTAGTAGAAGGATGACCACCTTGCAACCCTTTTCTCTACGTGGCCATGGATCCAGTCGCCTGATGCACGCAAAGACCACCCGCCCCTCCTCACACTCACTCCCCCTTCAACTTCTGGGAGGGCTGATCTGCGGACCTACTGGCTGGATCCTAGTTGACAAGAACGAAAGAAGTCACCATCTGTCGCCAGGCCCAGTGGCTCACACCTGTAATCCTAGCACTTTGGGAGACCGAGGCGGGCGGATTGCCTGAGCTCATGAGTTCCAGACCAGCCTGGGCAACACGTTGAAACCTTGTCTCTACTAAAATACAAAAAATTAGCAGGGCGTGGCGTCGTGCACTTGTAGTCCCAGCCACTCAGGAGGCTGAGGAAGGAGAATTGCTAGAACCTGGGAGGCGGAGTTTGCAGTGAGCCGAGATCATGCTATTGCATGCCAGCCTGGACAACAGAGCGAGAGTCCACCTAAAAAAAAAAAAAAAAAAAGTCACCATCTATCAGGGCTCTGCAGGGACAGGAGACAGACACCAAGGCACATGGGCAACAAAGGACTTGCCCAGCAAGGGGCATGCACACTATTAAGTCACATACATGCAGGGCCAGACAGGGTTTTCCTGCTGTCCCCAGACTCACATCCACAGGGTCTCAGGAACACAAAGAAAGGGACTTGAGAGATCTTTTTGTTTTGTTTTGTTTTGTCTCTTGCCAACCATTCTCATGCATCCAGAAACTTTGGGAACAGACAGTCCCACATTACCCTTAGTGGAGGACATAGAAAGACCTTTTGTGAAAGAACTAAATTATTTTCATATCTATATTTATAAATGCTTTTCTTCAGACAGGATGTCACTCAGACACCCAGGCTGGAGGGCAGTGGCATGACCATACCTCACTGCAACCTCGATCTCCTGGGCTCAAGCAATCCTCAAGACACAGTCCCCCCGAGTGGCTGGTACTACAGGTGTGGACACCACACCTGGGCAATTGATTGATTTATTTTTTTAGGCAGTGGTCTCACTATGTTGCTCAGGCTGGTCTTGAATTCCTGGGCTCAAGTGATCCTCCCACCTTGGCCAATTTTTATACATGCTTTGATTAATCAATTTTTATTTGGTTCTGTGTTTTCTGTCATGCTTGCAATGAGTTTAACTAAATTCTAATGCAGACTAAATAAATACACACCTGTTTACTATTTTTAGGTTGTGTTATTGCACATTTAACTCTCTGGAATAGTAACAGATTTACATGAATATAACTGTAGGTCATTCAGGCAGTGTTATAGTTCAGAAATCTCCATAGATGTTGATGGTAGGATCTAGGCTCAGTCTACTGTGACATGATGTACAGCAGTGGTGACTATGCTCATCATAAACTGCACTCCCCAAATAGCAGCCAAATAACCTGTTCATAAGAGAGCTCTGACATTATTTGCATAGCACTGTAAGGAAGAGCACTACCTCAAAAGAGCCACTAGTATGTCAGATGTGTACTGGCTTTAGGCACATTTATTCTGAGTTTGAAATCTGGTGTAAAGTGGGTCTTTTAAAGTCAGGGACAGTTTTGTTAGAATTGGGTAGGAATCATAATGATTTAGGATTGATGGAGCCAACAAGACAAGGATTTTTAGACTAAGGCTTCAAAGAGTTTTGGGATTGAAAAACGTCATTTGACACCTTTTATTGAGGAGTTGATAGATCTTTCAGGCAGTTGCTGAAACAACAGTAAAGTTCTTTGCAACGTTTATTTTCCTAGGCAAGAGATTCCTGTGTTAGTAAACATGTTGATGAAGCTAGTGGAGTATAAACTCACACTAACGTAGACAGTAAGCTGTGTGCATGATTCCTGTTGTCTTTACTTTTATATTACTTAGCAGTTTAATGTGGGAAATAGTACATGAAAAGGAAGCATAGGAAGGGGGCCCTGATCAGACGTAGCTTTTTGTAAGTAAATTAGAACATCTTGTTGAGCTGACTCCTATATATTCCATCCAGCTGGGCTTCCCTTAAGGAAATACCTTGAGTAGGAAAAGAGAGGTTTCTCAATTTCTCTGTCTCTAAAAAGCAGCTTGAGTAGGAATTGTGGTTCTTCAAGGTGTTTGTTTAGATGAAGTCTCACTCTGTCACCCAGGTTGGAATGCAGTGGCACAATCTCGGCTCACTGCAACCTCCACCTCCCAGGTTCAAGTGATTCTCCTGCCTTGGCCTCCCAAGTAGCTGGGACTACAGGCATGCGCTACCACTCCCAGCTAATTTTTGTATTTTTAGTAGAGATGGGGTTTCACCATGTTGGCCAGGCTGGTCTCGAACTCTTGACCTCATGATCCACCCGCCTTGGCCTCCCGAAGTGCTGGGATTACAGGCCTGAGCCACCGCGCCTGGACCTTGTTTTTATTTTCGTTTTGTTTTGTTTTGGTTTTGGTTTGTTTGGAGTAAGAGCAGTCATAATCCTGACCTAATATTTAGTGTATCTTTTATCTTTCTTGTTAATTTCAGTTTTTAGTATAGTGCACTCACAAGTTCTCAAAGAATGGAAGATAGTGATTTCCGGATTTAGACTTTCTGTGAGCAACTAATTAACACATGATCAAAGTCATGGCATCAGATGGCTGCATGGTTGTTCTTCACTGAGACCTGGATTTTAATGATTGCTGAGTAGCCGCACTCCAGCTTCAAAGGGCAGTGTTTAACCTCATGCCAAATTTAAGTTTCTTCCCACCATTCTTGTGGGAGATAACCCTTGACCAGCTGGATGAGTTCAAAGAATGATAATTTTAAAGAAATGAGATAAAATAATTAGTAAATAGTATCCATTGCATACAAAATATACAAATACACGGCACATCCACATATACATACTTATATTTATTTGTGTACTGAAGTATATACAAACTGTGTATTTCTCATGCATTGTAATAAAAGAGTTTGAAGGTCACTACCTTAGAGATTATGAGACAAAATGTTTAGAGGCCCTTTCTTTAGCCATCTGTGAAGATGATGGATTAAGACTTGCTCAGAATAAATTCACTGTTGTCTGTAGCTTTCTACATAATGCTCTAAGTAGCTCTCAGTGATGTTTAAATTGGTCAGTTTTATTGTGGGCATTTGACCCTTAGCAAACTCATTTGCGAACTCCTGAGTTGGTGAGAAAAAGTCTGATTAGTGGTGGGGCTTTAGTTCCTACCATGTGTTTCTGCAGCTACAGGGTGTGTTCATGTGTGTGCTTCTGCACTCATCTGATGGTGCTTTGATGTGTTCCCTTTCATTTCCCCCCTTTATTATTGACTGTCTCTTATGGTTCCTATTATGTACTTCATTAGCATCTAGTGACAGTGCCATCTGTGGTATTCGGATTTGATCCGTTTTACACATATTCCAAAATATTTTCAAGCATGAATATTTATTCTTACCAACTTTCCTGTAAGTACTCGGAGGAGTCCAATGCAATTAAATATGCATATTTGATGTTACATCTTACTGGGCAATAATTCTACTGCATTTATAATCAGACTAACAGACGTTACACTTGAGGTATATGTCACCATCATGCTTACATAAATGATACATTGACCAAGACATAGAATGAAAGATTCTGAGATATTGACATTTTTTTAAATGACCTTGAGAAATACACAATCATGGAATACTTGGAAAAATTCTCCCTTTGAAACTGATGCAGGATAGGCCAGCCCCAAAATTGAAGCTTAGCCTGAGAGGGCTCTTGGCTTTGCCCAGGAGAGATTTCAAGTGTGAGCTGGTAGTGTCAGACAGCAATCTTTTATTGAATGGAACTCCTCCTTGCAGAGCAGGGCTAACTCATAGGCACTACACTCAGAGTCACCAACTTATGGGGTCTTTGCAAACGCATTTCTATTGACTTATACCCACTTTCAATTATATGTACATTAAGGGCAGGTTAATGCAAGTTGAGGGGCGAGATATTTAGAACTTTCTATGAAAGGGGGTAACTTCCAGGCCATTGCCATGGGAAGCTGTTGTAACTTCCAGGTCATTGCCATGGCATTTGTAAACTGCGATGGTGCTGGTGGGAGTGTCTCATGCTAATAAGCAATAAGGGCAACCAGGGATCACCCTTGTGGCCATCTGCTGGTTTCTGCCAGTTTATCCACTTTATTCTGTCTGAATCAGATTCTGTTTTAGTCAGCAGGGTTATGACCAGAAACAAGTCCTGCCAGTCTCCTACCTCAGATATATGTTTCTGTATCATTTAAGCCCTGGGACAAGTTTCTCAGACTGAAAACATGGTTTGGTAAAGCTGGATGCTTTCTTAAGGGGATAGGGTAAGATCAGAAAATAATCCACACTTTTCAATCTGCGAGTAAATAAATTAAATAATGGATGAAAATGTATTTCTTAATGTGATGCAGAATGGTAGATATTAGATTAATACAGGGTCATGAATTTTTCTTTAACAGGCTTGGCAATAAATATTTTAGTCTTTGTGGGCCACATAGATTATGTGGCATATTGTTGTGTTTTTTAAAAATAAGAGTTTAAAATGTAAAAAAAAAAAAGTCCTTATCTTAAAGGCTATGCAAAAATGAGCCATGGGCTGGATTTAGCTACCAAGCCATAGTCAGCTATCCCCTGGATTATCTTTTAATTCAAATATTTGAATGCTGCATTTTTGTACCAGTAGTCAAAATATTAACAAAGGAGAGCTCTACCTCCACATAATATTTAGAAAGGCTCAAGAGAAAGTCACTTTAGCCCTGAAAATGAGAAAAAGCCTAATAACCTATATTATCATTTTTTTTTAGATCATGAGAGAGCTGAGGTAATAAGGCAGCCATGGGAACTGATACAAGAGGATGACAAGCCCCTCTGAGGAGAGATGACACACACAAACTGTGTTACCTCTGGCAGAACATGTGTGCAAGAAGTGACAGTCATAAAAGTGGGTAAGAAGGAAACAACTGAAATGTAATAAATTCATAAAGTTCAAACGTAGGCAGCTGAGAGAGCTGGAATCCCTAGAAGTCTCTGACATAAGTAGAATCCACGTTCACAGACAGATGAGACCCTGTCTCAAATAAAAAAATAGTCAAACAGTATAAGGCTAAATAAAAAAATCAAGAACAAAAATAACAGATGCTGGTGAGTTTATGGAGAAAAGGCAATGCTTATACACTATTGGTGGAAGTGTAAATTATTTCAGCCACTGTGGAAAGGAGTGTGGCAATTCCTCAAAAAGCTAAAAGCAGAACTGCCATTTGACCCAGAATCCCATTACTAGGTATATAAAGACACATGCACAAGTATGTTCATTGAAGCACTATTCACAATAAAAAAGACAGAATCAACCTAAATGCCTGTCAATAGTAGACTGGATAAAGACAATGTGGTACATATACACCATGGAATACTATGCGTCTATAAGAAAAAGAGAGACATCATGACCTTTGCAGCAACATGGATGGAGTTGGAGGTGATTATCATTAGCAAACTAATGTAGGAACAGAAAACCAAATGCCACATTTACTCACTTATAAGTGGGAGCTAAATGATCAGAACACATGGACACATAGCAAGGACCAACACACTGGGGCCCATCAGAGGGTGGAGGGTAGGAGGAGGGAGAGGATATGGAAAAATAACTGATGGACGCTAGGCTTAATACCTGAGTGTCAAAATTATCTGTACAACAAAACCCTGTGACACGCATTTACCTGTATTACAAACCTGCACATGTACTCCTCAACCCAAAATAAAAGTTTCAAAAAAACTCACAAAATTTATGAAATATTCTGATATTTCTACTGAGAAGAAATAAATTCACTTATTTTTTGTACAAAGAAGGAAGAAAGGAAGAAGGAAGGGAGGGAGGGAGGGAGGGAAAGAGGAAGGAAGGAGGAGAAGAAAACAGAGAAAAATAGGGCTGAACAAATGTGTCTGTCTCTACCCAAACAGCTCTTGATGAGAAGGCACTTTGAGCAACTTGAGTGAGAAGTAACATAAATCAGAGGATGTATTAGTCTGTTCTCATGATGCTGATAAAGACAAACCTGAGACTGGGAAATTTACAAAAAAGAAAAAAAACAAAAAGAGGTTTAATGGAGAACTCACAGTTCCACATGGCTGGGGAGGCCTCACAATCATGGTGGAAGGCAAGGAGGAGCAAGTCACGTCTTACACGGATGGCAACAGACAAAGGGAGGGAGGTTGTACAGGGAAACTCCCCCTTATAGAACCATCAGATCTTGTGAGACCCACTCTCTATCGTGAGAACAGCATGGGAAAGACCTGCCCCCATGATTCAATCACCTCCCACCGAGTCCCTTCCACAGGGTGGGGACACCACCAAACCATATCAGAAGATCTCAATCATCTCCATTTACAGCCTTTCAAAAGTTATTCTGGCTGTTGTTTCTGAGCAATTCAAAACTTCCCTGGGGCCCAATGAATCCATGTATTCTCCTGAAGGGCATCTTTTACCTGGATTAACAGCACAGCTGAGAACCAACACAGACCGGTTAGTTTAGGAAGAAAAAGAAAAGAAAAATACAGTAGACCAACATTTCCCTCCCCCATGATATTGTTCTCTTTTCACTTTTTCCATTCAATGTAGAGAAGGATATTTGAATCCCAAAATTTCTAAGCTGAGAGACCTCTGAAACATTATCCTATACAGCCATTTTCAAAATATTTTTAGCAACAGAACACTTTTGTGAAATGAAATTTCATCTAAAAGCCTACTGCAGAAAATGGGGTGATAAAGTAATATTTTTCATATAAATGTATCACTTTAGTTTCAAGTTATCTTTCTATAAAGGCTGTCAGTAAATTTGATTGAGGTTCTTTTGAGGAACCTAACAAATTATTCTGTGGATTTCTGCATAACACTTCAGTTCCATATTAACTTCTACATCTGATTTTTTGGTGTTTTTACTGTTACCGTTTCACGGCTGCAAGAAGATCTTGATTTTCACAATATATTTATCGCTAATCTGTATCTTGGGAAAAAGAGAACCTCACTTTAAAAATAAACAAGTTACAAGTAAAGGATGGAAGAAGATATACCCTGCAAACATGAACCACATAAAAACTCAAGGTGTCAAATTAATACCTCACAAAGCACTCTTTATAGTGGAGATTATTACAAGGGACAAAATCGGACATTACATAATAATCATGAGATCTGGTCATTTAAAAGTGTGTGGCGCCTCCCTCCCCTCCTCCAACTCTCTCTCTCTCTTGCTCCTGCTTTTGCCACGTGAAGTGCTTGCTCCTGCTTCACCTTTTACCATGAGCAAAAGCTTCCTGAGGCCTCCCCAGAAGCTGTTACCAGAAAGGGGTCCCGATCCAGATCCCAAGAGAGGGTTCCTGGATCTCGCCCAAGAAAGAATTCAAGGTGAGTCCACAGTGCAAAGCAAAAGCAAATTTATTAAGAAAGTAAAGTGGTGAAAGTACAGCTACTCTACAGACAGAGTAGGATATTCCCAAAAGTAAGAAAAGGAATGCATCCACCCTAGGTACAATACTCGTTTATATACAGGATAAAAAAGATTATGGGGAGATGTGCTCTGCTACAAGGGTTTGTGATAAAGGATTAATTTTCTTAATTACTATATCTTGCAAGAATTGATATTATGATCTTTAAAGCAAAATTAGGAATGCTTCTGTTCTCAAGATATTGGGATATCACGACACTCCTAAGTCTGGGTCTGTTCAGTAAAAACATCTAGAGGCTAGAAATACCTAATTTTCTGAGAATGCAGCCAAGCAAATCCCAGCCTCCTTTTTCCTAGATTTTTCCTATTTTTTCAAGATAGAATTGCTCTGGTTCGAACGCCTCTGACAAATCCGGCGCCATGCTTTCTGTACAGCCTGCAGAACCATGAGCTAATTCAAACCTCTTTTCTTTATAAATTACCCAGACTCCAGGTATTTCTTTACAGCAATGCAAGATGGCCTAATACATGGTCTGCATTGCTTAGGAGTCTCATGTTGATTGCAGTGTCCTCAGTGGTTTCTGAAGGAAGGCTAACTTATCTCCCAAATCCTGCTGGTGATGCTGATTTGCTCACGTATGTCTGTGGCTGGTGTAACTTGCATTTTTGTCTCTCTCATCTTGGTCAGAATCTGGTACTCCCTGGCTGACTCAGCCTCAGCCCATGTGTGCTAGCTTCTGCAGACCCCTCTGAATCTGGGCTTCATCCTCCCTTCAGCCCCTGGCCAGGGTTGTCCACTCCACAGCCTCAGCTGCAAGGTAACCTAGTCCTTATCTGGCTTAAGCTTGCCCCATGGTAGCACCCCTGGCTCTTGAATCAGCCACTTTCCATACCCTCCAACCCCTCCACCTTCCTCAGAGAATGCAGCCCCTTGGGGTCTCACCTACAACACAGCAATAACCAAGATCAGCTCTTGAAAGCAAAATCCCTCATTTCTAACCATCTATTTGCCCACTTTGTAGACGATAGCATGATCCGATAGACATGGAGAACATGGTGATTCAAGTAAAAGGAATGATCATTACAAAAGCTTGTTCCTTGAGAATGTGGAAGGGCATGGGATCCAAGTGAAGGGTGTTAAGGAAAAAAAATTATTCATGGCATTTGTTAAAGAACGGTAAGGCAGACTTCATTCAGGACCATCAAGATAGGTGTAGGGACCACTGCTATGGGGTTTTGCAGTGAAGGGAGAGAAACTGGGTTCCACTCCAAATACAACAACGAAAAGTGGAAATTTATAGCCAAGGAGCAGGGTGGGGAGCAATGGACGGAAAATTACTAAGAGGAAACACCACGGGTAAGGGGGTATTGTGGCTAAATTGAACTAACAGGATTGTTGGTGAAGGTGGGCCAGGGTGACTAGACATCACCTGGGGGATGAGGAACCTAACTGAGATATTGATGATGGGAAATTCTAACTAAACTGACTTAGCAGGATTCTTGTTAAAATTGCACAATGCAGCGACAAACATGGCAGTCTAAAAGTCCCCTGTCCAGGGCTGTCTACTCCACAGCCTCGGCTGCAGGGTCACCTAGCCCCTAGCTGGGTTAGGCTTCCTTTATGGCATGATCTTTAGTTCTTGAATCAGCCACTTTCCACATCTTCCCTTCCATCCTCAGGGAATGCAGCCCCCTGTGAGATCACCTACTTAACAGCAAGAACCAGGATCAGCCTAAACTCTAGCACTCCCTTTGCCAACTTTTTAGATAATAAATACAGATAGAGGAACATGATAATTCAGGAGAAAGCATAACTGCAAAGGATGATCCCTTAAGAAGGTGGAAGGCATAGGATCCAGGTGAAGGGCCTGGTCTCAAGTAGGATCCTGTCTCTTCCTCCAGGGAAGCAGCCAAGATTATAAGTGCAGGTCTACTGCTGTTGGGAAGTGGTGTGAATTCTTCTCTGATTGCTTCTATTTTCTCAAGGGAATATCAGTGAATATCATGAGAAAATTGGGTGCTGGTGCTTGTGGAGGGATCTTGTAAGTAGACTAGACAGAGAAGGTACACTTGTGGAGGGTGTACATTGTTTGTCTACTTGGCGGCGGGGGGACTGCCAGGAGAGTAGGGAGGAGAGAGTTAATAGCTTTGGGTAAGCTGGCTAAGGAAGGTGAATGGTGAGGAACGCGGTTGTGGTTAGTGGAGAGGAGGCCTCCTTGAGGCTAAAGGCTGTGGATGCTGGGGCACTGGAAGAGGTAGCTGTTAGGACACGATCGGGTGCTGCCCGTTATGAGAATGGGGGATGCAAGAAATGGACATCGTGGAGGGGCGCGGTCTTTCCTGAGGCCCAGGGCATGACCGCGGGCAGAAGAGACTTAAGTGGGGGGAAGGAGACCCCCCCGAGGACGGAGAGGCGCCGGCCACGGCCTGGTCAGCCCCGGGGGCGCTGAGGTCGCCGAGGAGGATCAGCGGTGTGAGGGCTGCGAGGACAGGGCGTGTGCCACGTGAGAAGCGTGTTCAGAGGCTGGCTGGGTGGGAGGAGAATGTCCATGGGATTGGCACAGGTCTCGAACATGGGGCGGCTCGGGCAGTCGCGCAGCAGAGCCTGACCCTCAGCGGATCGTCCCTCAGGCGTCAGCTCCCAACTGCAGGGAAGGGAGCCTGCGGCGGACCCAGAGGAAACAGGAGCCGACCTCCCCGGGCTCCGATGCGCAGGCCCAGAGCCCGTCAATCCTTGGCCAGCCCCGCCCTCCGGGCTGCGTTTTTCCGGCGGCGCAGGAACTTCCTGCGCGGTTGCTATGGTTCCGAGGGCAGGACTATGGGAGGCTGCCCTGTACGGTAAGTTCGTCGGGGCCTTTCCGGCCGGTACCAGTCCGAGCTCTGGTCCCCACGGTCATCACGCTTTGCTTTCTCAGCCAAGATCTCGGGGCTCAGGGCGGAAACGCAGCGGATATGTATTTTCTTCCGGGGTTGGTGGCGCTCGGCTCTCATGACCTGCAGGTGACAGTGTTGGCCGGTGGCGCGGCCCTGCTTGCCTCGTGCCCCGCCCTTCGTGCTTGAAAAAAAATCCCGCGAAGCCTTCTCCGAAAGAACATGCTGGTTCTTTGGTTGTCAGTGCCTTACAAGCCCTGGAGGCGGGGGTGAGGTGGGGATGTGGTCCCTCGCGAAAACTCAGTCAGTGGACAATAGCATTCTGTTTTTCAAATTGGCATTTCCTCGGTGAGGCTGCTAGGTACCCTAGCAACTGGTATTTCTGTTTCTCTGATTGGTTTTGTCATCTTTCTCCACGTGTTACTGGGGTTCTATGGACCTTTATCAATGTATTCTTTCATTACAAACGTCTCTGAATCTCATGGTAGAAAACTTGGTTAGACTGTTAAAGCGTAATAAAGGAAACCAATCTTATCCACAGTCCGATCACCCAGCCGTGACCATTAATCATATTCTGTGATAAATTTCCTTAGATGTTTTTCATTCGTAAAGTTGCATTTTAAAAAATGAGATTAACATTGTTTCATGAACATTCCGCTTTTTAAACTCAGCTTCACACTTTGAAAAATCATTTTCATAGTATTACTCTGTTTTAAAAACAATGCAAACGTATTGTAAGCTGTTGAAAGTTTCAGTAAAACTTGAGCGCAAAATACTCAAATACTCAAAATACCATGATCAAAGACAAACATCACCATGCTCCCTAATGAAGGCAGAGCTGTGGCATGTGTTTGTTTCACTCTTTTATCCTGGCACCTGGAGGAGTGCCTAGCACTTAGTGGATGCTCAATAAACATTGTGAAATAAAATAATATTTACACCCGGTCATTTTTTCTTTATATATAATCAATCATTTCATAATGGAGTGTAATATAGGAGCAGTTTTCTACGTGATTTTTTATTTGGCATTTTGTACTCAGTACTCAGTCTCCTAGAGTCTCCTAGTACTCAGTCTCCTAGAGATGAGAATTGATTAAAGAGTAATGAAATTATAAAAATGAGTAAACTCAGCCATTCTTAGGAGTACCAAAAACTCAAAAGTAAGTCTCTAAGCAAATGTCTGGTTAATAATAGAGTGCTGTGAAAACTATGTCAAACGCTGCAATCTGATTACTTATTGACAAGGAACTTGAAACTGAAGATGTAATCTTACCAATCATTGAAAACAATTTTGAGAAAAGAATGTTTCAAGGAAGTAATCAGCCACAATCTCATGGTGACAATCTAGTGGAGTAACTATGTCATAATATTAGCTGGTATAGCAACAGTAAGTGCCTAACCACATTCAGCATACAAGAAATATCTCTTCAGTGTCGCTACACCACTGGCATAAGAACTTAAGAGTAGACACTGGCAGACACACATGTCTTACGATCTTATTGAAGGAGTTAAAAATCACTTACCCTGGAATTGTAACTTCATGGAGTCAAAACAATGAAACTAATTAGGTAGATTTTGAAAACTTAGCTATTAAATTCCTCATATTCTTTATTTTCAAGGATCATTTAAGGTTATGAAAATTATTTCTAGAAATGAAATGCACAGCTTGGCTTTACTTAGAGTTCTTGTATTACATTTTTTTATCTTCATGCCTGGTAATGGAGTACTTATATGACTTTTATATCTTGGGATAGCAGATAGTGACATTTTTTCAGACAAGTTCTCATATATGTATGTTGTCACGGCTTTACAATTTAAGCATCCAAAAGATCAGTTGTTTCATGTAACAACTCTCTCTTTACAATTTATTTTCAGGAAAAGAAGAAGAAATGGCAGTAAAGAGGGCAACCATCATTCCACCCAGCCCAAAAGGAATAAGAGAAACCCTATCTTTCAGGATTCTCAAGATACAGAGGTAGCAAGTATGGTCAGATTGCCTCTATTTCATTCATTGCCTACACTAAATTATCCAATTTGTGCTCCATAATGAAAAGAAATGTATTATTCCAAGAAACCTTCATAAAAGTTTTCTTGCTTGATTACAGTGGCTTTTGAGCTGGAGCTTTAAATTATGATATAGTATCTCACAGAAAATGGAAAAGAAGCACAGAAAAACTTTGCTAAACATAATCAGGAGGAATTAGCCCCTGTAATTTTGTCCCCTCATATGAGCAGGGAATAGTAGTCTTACTTCCCTTCTTTTTATATGGAAAACATATTTTCTAGTACATAGTGATATGTTATTAGCTGGAAGGCAAGTCTTGCTTTCTCAGTGAAAAAAAGTGAAAAATTTGGGGCAGTCTCATGATTTTTGCAAAACTTTAATGGTGCTGGAAAAAGAGTTTGAAGTTTTTAATTTTTTATTGATATAGAATAGTTGTACATATTTTGGGGGTACATGTGATATTTTGATACCTGTATATAATGTGTAATGACCAAATCAGGGTAATTGGGCTACCCATCACCTCAAACATACATCTTTTCTTTGTGTTGGGAACTTATAAATCTTCTCTTCTATTTTGAAATATACAATAAATTATTGTTAACTGTAATTTTCCTACTGTACTGTTGAATTCTATAACTTATTCCTTCTATCTAACTGTATTTTATACCCCTTAGCCAACTTCTTTTCATCCCCCCTTCCTCTCTTCTAAACCTCTAGTAACCACCATTCTAAGGAGCTTGAATTTTAACTTCAAGGTGCTTCACTTTAATAACTTGTATTCATTAGCATAATATAGCTTTAATTGAGATATAATTACTAGTGGAGTGTTAAAGGAACCTCATAAAGTCTTTCTGAGTTAATCCTCTTAGTTAATAACTAAGTATGGCTCACCTTGCCCTCTTTTGAGCAAGATGAGAAAAGATTATCAATCCAGGTCCTCTTCTTGGTACCTACCTATACACAGGTATGATTATCCAAGATTGTGGGCAGCTACTTGGATGGGTAAAACATAACTAGATTTAACTTATATAATTTGTTCTCTTAGGTGCTGGGGGATTTTTGTTGGATATGTTTGCACATATAGGAATATTTTCTTTCAACCATACATCTTACAAATTATACCACCACTTTCCCTGTAAAAACCCTAGTACATAGGTATAAGACTTACAGAAAGTACAAACACAAAGAGCCGAACATTTCTGTACAAGTGTGTCTAACTTGCCAGGAACATTCATTTTACCTTTCAGATTACTGAGTAGTACAAGAAATTAAGAGTGGAATATTATGTAGATATACACACAAGTGGCTTATCTGGAGCAGATCTCTGCCTTTTTCTCTTCCCTACTGTATAGAGTAGGAAAAGATTTTGTGCCCTAATGCTACAATTCCAAGGGGGCAGCAGAAATAAGACAAATGAGAGAAAAACAGAACTAGGAGGCCCCAAATACATTTAAAATTAGAGGTCTATGAATCCTGTTATTTTTCAGCTGATAGGAAATCTCCCCTTGTCAGGTTATCATTTTAAGTAATATCAATTCAGATGACAACTGGGGCATTTTTGTTTTTTTGAGACAGTCTCACTGGGTCACCCAGGCTGGAGGTGCAGTGGCACGATCTCGGCTCACTGCACCCCCACCTCCCGGGTTCAAGCGATTCTGGTGCTTCAGCCTCCGGAATAGCTGGGATTACAGGCATGCACCACCATGGCCGGCTAGTTTTCGTATTTTTAGTAGAGGTGGGGTTTTTCCATGTTGGCCGGGCTGTTCTCGAACTCCTGGCCTCAAGTGATCCGCCCGCCTCGGCCTCCCAAAGTGCTGGGATTACAGGCATCAGCCACCACGCCCCGGCTTTGGTGAAATTTTTTGAAGAACATTTTCTCTTAGGTTCTTAGTAGTTTGGAGTCATTCTCATCACGTTTGATCACATAAATTCTAAGAGACAGAACTACTTTGGGAAACATTTTTGGGGATGAAATCGTTGTTGAACAATGTAATGGTCATCAGATGTGGTTTTAAACCCTATGGCAAAATGGGAACCTTCTGAAATTAGCTTCTACTTAAAGATACATTCAAAATGGAGGAACAAGCTTTTTCAAAGATGGCCTAATCTATTTTGTACATTTTAAGAAGCCGTGTTCATGGAGCATACTAAACATCCCAAGCACTTTCATATTGCAATTGAATCTTACAATCTCAGTTGTTTTAATGAATTGAATATGTCCACATGTTTTTCTGCAGGTGAGGATTACCTATCAGTCTTTTTTTTTTCATTTTTGTTTGTTCAAATCCCATTTACTGAATTGAAACAAGGTGAGTTGTATAGATTTTTAAATAGTTGTATAGATTCTATTATAAATTTAATTTTTGAGCTGGAAAATAACTTACAACTCAGTGTCTGTTCTAACTTCATCTTAGGAGGGAAACTAAGCTACAAAAAGCATTGATTATTTACCCCATCAGCACAGAGAAGTTAACACATGAATATCATTACCTTGCTAATTTGGAAAGTGGTTGTAATTCAACAACCTAATTAATTTTGTATTTTACAATTCATAAGATTCCACAATGTTTCTAGTATTAGAGAATGTGTACACGTCATTTTAAATGCCTTGGAACTTTGGGAGCACATATTTTAAGTGCCCTCTGATGGATTTGGTTAGGATCATCTGTTTTACTTACTCAAGTTTCTACAGGTGCCTTTGAATAAGCATCATATTATTATTCCAGGGATAGACTATGTATTAGGAGTGAATGTTTTGTTGTGGAGGTTCACATAAAGGAAAAGCTGTAAGGCATGGAGGGATGGAATTGAGAGGAAAGCTAGGGCTTGAAAGAAAGTAAAATACTGGGCCAGGCGCAGTGGCTCACGCCTGTAATCCCAGCACTTTGGGAGGCCAAGGCGGGTGGATCATGAGGTCAGGAGTTCAAGACTAGCCTGGCCAATATGGTGAAACCCCACCTCTACTAAAGAAATACAAAAATTAGCCAGGCTTGGTGGCGCGCACCTGTAGTCCCAGCTACTCGGGAGGCTGAGGCAGGAGAATCGCTTGAACCCGGGAGGCGGAGGTTTCAGTGAGCCAAGATCGTGCCACTGCACTCTAGCACTCTAGCCTGGGTGACAGAGTGCGACTTCCTCTCAAAAAAAAAAAAAAAAAAAAGAAGAAGAAGAAAGTAAAATACTGGGTTCATCTGCTTTTATCATTAAAAAGTGTTATATAATTTTATATCATGAATACATGCATGAATTTCTGCTCTGTTTTTGTGAAGATATTCTGTAACTAATATTCCTCCTCATCTCCTCAGTTCTATTTATCCTTCATTAGCCTGCTAAGGTTCTCTTTTCACTCCCTAACTAATCTTGTGTCTAGTTTATTTTTCTCTCAAGTACTGTGTCTTTTCCCTCTCTTTTAAATCCAAACTGTAATCTGCATTCACTCCCTTTTGTTTCTCACCTCCATTCGTGCTCAGTAAACCTTAGCTCCTCCATCCCCTCCCTATTCCTTTGCTGTAACATGTCAGGAAACATCTGAGACTTCCTAAATTGCATTACCAAATATTTACTGAGCACCTACCATTTGCCAATCATTGTCCTGGGTGCCTGGCATCAACTTAGTGTCTCTGTCATTTCCTCAATGATTCCTTTCTATTCTACCTCTGCGTGTATCAAATATATCCCTTTCTTTACATTTCCACCATCCTAATTCAGGCTTGCATTGCCTCTTGCTTGATACATTGCAAAATTTCCCAGTGATTTTTGTGGTCTCATCCACCCCCTATTTCATTCATCCATTAAAATGCTCTTCCTAAATATACATCTGAGCATTTATCTTATGCTCAAATACCTGTTTGTACAGACTTCTTAGAGTAACATTCAAGGCCCCTGATAACCTAGCCGTATCTTCTCTTGCATATTTTAGCTCTCACTAACTCTTCTCTGGGAGATACCAGCCACATCATCTGTGGCTTTGTCTCCTCAAGAACTCTTCTTCAGCTTGCTTGTGCTCTTATTGCTCTCTCCATTTGTCACACCCTTCCTATTAATATTCTCTGTATCTTTGAAGGCCTAGCTCAGATGCATTTCATTTTAAGAAGCCTCCTCTATTTCCCCAGTCAGCATTCATTGCTACATTCTTGTCATTGCAATAGCTTGATGCTGTCATTCTCAGAGTACTGTATGCTTCTTGATTAGGCTCAAGAATTACCTGTTGAATCCCTAAGTAGCCCAGGCAAAGTGCCTTCTTATACATTGTATAATAGACATGCGAATATTTGTTTAGATACTGCTTGGGCATCAGAACAATCTGTGCCTACTTGACAGCCTCTCAGAGGTTGGGCCCCAGCATATGCACACGAGTCAAAGTGTTAGAAAACCACACGGTGATTTTGATGCCTATTCTGAAACAGAATGTATTATAGCAAATCCCTGCTGGCCTCAAAGTTTCTTTGGTTACAGGTAAGTATGCAGATTTCTTTATGGCCCAAACTAACCTAAATCCTGCTTTTTCACACAGACCTGGACCCCAGGAGTTTTGTAAAGTGCCTTTGTGAATTTTGCATAATGAGATCCCCTTCTTTAGAGTCTTCATAAATATAATTTTATTTTGCTATGTGTGTGAATTTGCAAGGGCTCTATTCTTCATTTGCCTTGCACAGATATCAAGCATTAAACCTATATTGAAAATTCAGACAAAAAAGAATAAGCTTTGTAACTGTCAGATAGTATAAGCATTCTGGTAAGACATTTGTATGAGGATTCAGGAGGATGGTGAAGATGTTTTATATATTATGAGCCTTTCCAAATACTAAAGTGCTTAAAATCTCATTTATTCTCTGATAAAAGAATTTGCACTTTGGGAGGCTGAGGCAGGAGGATCCCTTGAGCCCAGGAGTTCAAGGCCACAGTGAGCTGCAATTGCATCACAGCAATCCAGCCTGGGTGATGGAGCAAGAGCTTGTCTCTAAAAAAATAATAAAATAAAGTGTATTAAGGTTAATGCTTCTGTACTAAGATAGCAGTTTCAAGTGTCAAAACCATACACCATCAAAAGCAAATTTTCCTCTTAATCATTCTGATAAACGGTCCATTAAGTGGGATCTCACATGAAACAGATTCACAAGGTAAGTGTGACAAAGCCCAGGTTGCATAATATAGGCTATGTTTATTAAATAAACAGCATTATTAGCCTAGAAAATGCTAGTGTATATGACTTTGTAGATGCTCTTTACTAGGCTAAAGGAGGTTAAACCCTCTTCCCAAAATCTCGGTTATGGAATCACAGTGCTTTTTAAGTCTTTGCTTTGAAGTCAGAAGTAACTGAATCCATAAGCAGGAGATTTTACTTGGTTTTGTAGTAGCATTCTTTAGTTTGCCTACTTAAAATGTTTCTTTTTCACAAAAGAAATATATTTGTAGTGGATGAGTTAGAAAGTGAAGATACAGGACGGGCGCGGTGGCTCATGCCTGTAACCCCAGCACTTTGGGAGGCCGAGGCGGACAGATCACAAGGTCAGGAGATCAAGACCATCCTGGCTAACATGGTGAAACCCCATCTCTACTAAAAATACAAAAAAAAAAAAATTAGCTGGGCGTGGCGGCATGCGCCTGTAGTCCCAGCTACTCGGGAGGCTGAGGCAGGAGAATGGCATGAACCCGGGAGGCAGAGCTTACAGTGAGCTGAGATCGCGCCACTGCACTCCAGCCTGGGTGACAGAGCGAGACTCCGTCTCAAAAAAAAAAAAAAAAATTAATAAATAAAAATTTAAAAAAAGAAAGTGAAAATACAAAACTAAAATTTAAAAAAAATTATTTAAAGTCCCAACTCTGTATATGTGAACTCAAAATATCTGAGACAGGTCTCAATATAGAAAGTTTATTTTGCCAAGATTAAGCACGCACCTGTGACACAGCCTCAGGAGGTCCTGACAACATGTGCTCAAGGTGGTCGGGGTATAGCTTGCTTTTATACATTTTAGGGAGACGGAAGACACCAATCCATATGTGTATGATGTACATTGATTCAGTCTAGAAAGACGAGACAATTTGAAGCTGCGGCTTCCAGGTCATAGGTAGATAAGAGACAAGAGGTTGCAATCTTTTGAGTCCTTGATCTGCCTTTCACTGAATATACAATTTAGTCTGGCTTGGTGAATCTGCATTTTTACACAAACAATAGGGTAGAGGGAGTAATCAGATATGCATTTGTCTCAGGTGAGCAGAGGGGTGACTTTCTGTCTGACACCTGTGAAGATAAGTTATCAGTTTACATTGCCAGGGTAAAATTCAACAGAACTGTTTTAGGGTAAAGATCTTGAGTCCCACAAGGAATTTCTTTGTGGGCAAATTGTGAGAAAGGTATGTCGCTTTAAAAAGAATCTTTATAGCTATCTGATTTAGGAATAAAATGGGAAGTGGGTTTGCCTGATGTAGTTCCCTTGGCTTTGTCTTTAGTGAAAATGTTTTTCACTAATTTTCCCTTGGCCTAATGATTTTAGGGCCCTGAGATTTATTTTCCTTTCACATTTTTACCACTTTCTTTCTTAAATCTTTTGGAGAAAGCATTTAAGAAGAAAATGAATCTCTGGTCTCAGATTTTGTTTGATCTCTTGTGGCAAAGATGGTTTGTTTCTAGATGGGTAGGTCACACATTATTAGGAAACCTTATTTTTAGCAGGTTGTGAAGTATCATGTTCTATGACAAAAAAAGTAGGGGGAGGAAGAGAGAAAGAAAACAACAAACAAAAAGATGGAGAACAATCCTGGAAAATCAATATAGGCCATATTACTCTGAAGTCCATACATCTGTAGGCAGGTATGAAAGTGTTTTATGTATGTAAATAGGTTGCTGTTATTTTTTTCTGAAGCTGAAGTTGTCTAGCTTCAGTTCACAGGGTTTTAAGAAAGCACAGCTTGGCCGGGCACGGTGGCTCACGCCTGTAATCCCAGCACTTTGGGAGGCCGAGGCGGGCGGATCACGAGGTCAGGAGATCGAGACCATCCCGGCTAAAACGGTGAAACCCCGTCTCTACTAAAAATACAAAAAATTAGCCGGGCGTAGTGGCGGGCGCCTGTAGTCCCAGCTACTTGGGAGGCTGAGGCAGGAGAATGGCGTGAACCCGGGAGGCGGAGCTTGCAGTGAGCCGAGATCCCGCCACTGCACTCCAGCCTGGGCGACAGAGCGAGACTCCGTCTCAAAAAAAAAAAAAAAAAAAAAGAAAGCACAGCTTAATTTTTAGTGATTTCAAATAAGGAAAAATGGAAAAAAAGGAAAGGAAAGAAAGAAAAAAAATGAAAACATTATTTTTGGAGACTTGTAGCCAGGAAAAATTTTAGAATCCAGCCTAAACTAGAAAATAAGAAAAATTGAGAAAACATTAGGCAAGACTAGAATCTAACAACAGGTGTACTGTAGTTCATTTTGAAACATATTTTTTCTCTCTCCAAGCCCCATTTTCACTAAAGACAAATCATAGGACAAATTTATGTGTAAAATAAGCGTTAGTTTTATTATACTTTGCCTGAGTATTTGTATAAAGTCAGCAAGAATAACTATTTGCCGTGCACGCTCTTTTGTTTTGCTGGAACTTTATTCCATAAGGAATCTCAGATTACACTTCAACGCCTTGGGCGCAGCCATGGATTTATCTGTGCCTGTAAATACCCACATTAATTGGGTAAATTACTTACTGAGGTCCCAAGATAATCTGGGACTCCTTGGGCCTGTCAGAAAGTGCCATTCTTTACTTACCACAGGTCACGAACCTGTACATGTACTGTGTAGACAATATATGAGGCCAGCTTTCTCAAGGGGATTTTATTGGCTCTATAAGTCAACTTTGATTACTTAAAGTAATCTGTTTGGATCTGCCATTCCAATCAAAGCCTCAGTAAAATCAGTGCCTTCAATTGTGTCCTGTTACAAAAGAAAACAGAGTCTTATCAATTTTTTGCAAATAACTATACTACCATAAACTACGTATACTTGCAAATAGTTTTCAAATTCTGGAAAAATCAGGTAGAAATATGCTTCAGATTTTTCTCACACTAACATAGTTAACCCAATATTAAAAGCTGCAAAATAGCTCAAAGAAAAATGGTTTTCTGGACTCAGAAACAAAAGTTAGAAAAAGAAACAATGTTACAAATTCAGAAACAAAAGTTTCTGAGTTTCAAACAATGTTTCGAAGTCACAAAAAGATTATTTCAGTTTTCCATTAGTTTCATCTGGGTAATTAACTCCTGTTCTGCTCAATGTTTATGAACACATTAGCTCTCTGTGGGAGTCTTGGAAGTTTTTCCTCTATTCTAGTATCACAGTCTCCAAAGTTATCAGAAGCCTGCATTCAAGAGTACCTGTCAGAGTCCTATAGCTGATTATAAAACCACCTTTTGAAAGTGATAAAAGTAAAACAACTATGAATGACAAGAGTCTTAGAACAGTCATAAAGACATAATTGACAAGGAAATTTGGTTACTTCTGTGGCTTACAACTATTTTACATAATCATTATTACTACTGATAACATATACCAGAGGTTCCCAATCCCTGGGCTGCAGACTGGTACTGGTCCACGGCCTCTTAGGAACCAGGCCGCACAGCAGGAGGTGAGTGGTGGGCAAGCGAGAAATACTGCCTGAGCTCTGCCTCCTGTCAGGTCAGCAGCAGCATTAGATTCTCATAGGAGCGCAAACTCTGTTGTAAACTGCACATGTGAGGGATCTAGGCTGTGTGTTCCTTATGAGAATCTAATACCTAAAGATCTGAGTGGAACAGTTTCATCCTGAAACCATCCCTTCCTTCCCCCATCTGTGGAAAAATTGTCTTCTACAAAACCGGTCCCAAGTGCCAAAAAGGTTGGGGACTGCTGACATGTACCAAGACATATCAGAATCACAGGAATTTCATACAATTCTGAAACACATACTAATAACACATTTATATAAATATAATCCAAGGGTTAAATGCCATTTTATATTTGACAATACTTCTTGTATGATTGTATTATATCAAATAACCCAAATATGTCTCTTTTGGGCGTCAGGGGACCTAATATTAAAAGATTAATGAGGACCAAATTTAGAATTTTATTTTGGAAAGTTTGTCAACTAGAAAAAGTTAAAAACACTTGATATCACAAAATAGGATCAAAAGTCATTGTAAAATAAGTCATTCATTTAGCTGAGTGATAGATTTCAAAGAAAGACAAAAGTTTTTATTTTTTTGAGACAGGAGACTTAATTTCCCAAACCATAAGCTTTCATAAAGACAACATGAGGCCCATTAAATCTGTCTTTTAAATTTTTCCAAACAAATTTATTAAGTTTTGGTCATCTTGACCATAAGATATAATTTCAATAAATTTTTTCATAACCTTTATTTTTCTTTAATTAAGAAATGGGTTAATGCGCCAAGAAAACCTTGTTACTCTGACATCGGGGCCCAGATGCTGGTCTTGCATCAGTGTGCCTTCAATATTAATAGTTAATTTATAGAGAAACTGAACTAATTTTATCTCTCAAAATTGGCCGTTACAATCTCACACACCCACCTCTTCCATGATAGTCCCTGGGCCTTGAGGAATTTAATAGTTTTAATTTCTGGCCTTGTGCCTTATGAACACAGTGTATTTTGATTGGTATCTTCTACTGGGTCTGAAGATAAGGCTTTAACTGCTGTCATTGTTTAAGATTTAGCAAGACTTGGTGTTCTTTTTATATCCAGGAGTCAACGCCCTGTAACTTAAAGGCACAAGGACTTTAAAAGCAAGAAAGTTACGTGGATATAGTAACCTTGATTTAAAAGAAAAATTTAACCTCAGTTTTTTTCTAAGCAAATTAAAACTTAATAACAATGGCATAGGAGTTATTTTGATAAAATGTAAAATTTGTTAGACCAGTTACCAAAAGGCAAGAAAAAAAAAAAAAAAAACCTCCTGCAGTACAATTGATATTCCCTATGGAAAGTCCATTTAGGTAAGCTGCAAATCAAAACTAATGAAAATGATACTTGAATTAGTTAGACATAGGCAGAGTGTTTCCTGGGTAATAAATGAAAATTTTCAGATTCATGGACAAATTTAAAGCCAAGAGCACAGAATGTTATGTTGGAAGAAAACATTTTCTTTAGACCTTTAAGATAAAACATTTTTAGCATCAGGCTATGACAAACAGTTAGAACCTGAGGAGAAAAATTACAGAAGCTGAAAATGAGTTGAAGGAGAGGGTTATTATCTCAGGCCTTTTCAAGGGGGAGAGAAAGCTGAAAATACAAGATAATAAAAGTTGAAAATTGGGTTAAACAAATTAAAATCCGTTGTAATTTTATTGAGAGTAAATCAATACCTTAAGAAAATTTTGTTGCTCTAACTGATTCTTTAGTGTATGTTTTTTAAAAAATCAAAACCCAATCTCTAAAAAGACTATTATAAATAATTTCCCTTTAATTATAGACAACTTGATACAAATCATTAATGAGATGCTTGGACTTCCTGTTTTATCCCAGACATCTTTCTTTCTTAAATAACCAGTTATTTTAGGACAGAAATTTACCATACAAGATTTTTTCTCATATAAAATTATTTTCCTTTTAACGTTTCTTGCCAAAAATACCCCTTTATATTTATAAAGAGGTAAATATATAGTATGTAAAGAAAGAGACATTTCTTTACATTGCTCTTATTTACTGGTTTCTTTCACCTTGTTTCATAAATAACTTTTAAGTAACCTTTGAATTAGACAAAAATTATTTTCTTTTAAATAAGAAAATATTTTTTAGAAAAATATTTTCCTATAATTTTTTAAAAATTAGAAATCATCCAGATGTTTAATGAGTATTTATTATTTAACTTAATATAACTTTAGATTTTAAATTATATGACAAGTTTATTTACAGGCATTTTTTCTATTACATTTACCTAATTAATTTTTTAAATGGTTTACTCAGATGAAAGCTGTGAATGTCATCATTTAGTTATTTCTCTGTTAACTATTTTTATAGCCTATAAATTTAGGTTTTTCTAAGAACCTGAAGTATAAAGACTTCTGATATAGAATGATATATCATTATTGTTAATGGCTGATGAGATTCTGTTGTATGAATGCATGCACTATAATTTAAATACTTCTTTGTTTTTAAACATTTAGTTATTTCTGATTTTCAGCTAATAAAAATATTGATAGCATAAAAATGTCTTAATGAGCATTTCTATCTGTACACAATTGAGTTTAAAAACTTTTAAAATGAAACAAATTAAAGGTAGATTTTTTTCTTAATAATTATTCTAAAGAAATCCCTTCTAGCCTATGAATTTTTAATGTACACAGCATAGCATCACCCTAGTGTTGCACTACAGTGTAAAATCAATATGTTGTCATTGGAGAAGAAAATTTGATTCATCAGAAATGATTTCTAGTTCTTACCTTATTTTTCAGGCAGTACTGTAACAAAAAAAAAAAAAAAAAAAAAAAAACAAGGAAAGCCAACTAAGAGGAACCGAATTGTCAGCTGTGGGTTTCTTATCCAATGTAATAGCTTACTTAATTTTGGAATATTCATAACTTCATTACTTTGTGACAGTGGGCATTCTATATTTTTATACTCAGGCCTAGGAAAAATTTTTTTTTAATTTTCTTTTTGAATTGGCTTTGACATTTAATCCTTAAATCAATTTGATTGCTATTGCTAACTCTCACATCTGGCTTCATTTGACCCCTTCTATCTCTTTTCCTGCACAAGTTCTTTTAACATGTTTCTAGTTGGATAAAGATGAGCATAGGTTGTCTCTTGGTACCTGTGGACAGTGTTACTGTGTGACCTAAGTTGAACAGCTGCAAATGACCTATGGACTATGACCATTCTTGGTTTAAATCTTACTAATGTTACCTTTGGAAAAAACTTACTTAGAAGAAATATAATACCAGCATTGTTAAATATTGTAATTTGAATAAGAGTCCTTGCCATTACCTTCTTCTTTTGGGAATTGTAACATTGGAAGGCAGGAAATTCTTGGAAACAACTGTTTACAGGGATCCCTGAGTAGCTTCTCCAACATAAAAAAGACACTGAATCATGTTAGTTTAATGAAAGAAAAAGAGATCTTAAGAGGAAAATACACACCCTATTAAATTCATAAGTATAGAAGAACAATGAATACTAGTCATAAAATGCTAATAAGTAACATATAACTTTAACTAAAAGTATGTCAAATGCCTTTCAGGATATGTATGTAGCACTGAATTGATATAGGAAGACCATACATGTCCACCATCAGGATATGTGAACAAAATCATTGTTTATTTGTATCTATGTGTGTATGCACGTATGTATAAATGTGTGTGTCTTATTTGCTTCATTGTAACTTTTACCCATAGTCCAACTTACTTGTTATGGTCATTATTTCTACTACATCCTCAGCATTAATTGATACTTCAGGTGGAGGATGAGTACTTACTTCTCTGATGCAGTTATTGGAATAAATCGTACAAGCAAGGGTAGAGAATGTGTGAAGGGATTTGGAATTGCAAGGCCTGTGTTTGAATCCTCACCCTGCCACTTCGTAGATATATGACTTTGGACAAGGCAGTGATCTGTTTCCTCATCTGTAAAATGGGGGCTGTTAATCCCAACTTCATTAAAGGGTTATTGTGAGGATAGAATGAACTATCTTAAATGGCTCTACTTTGTAAAAACCATTAAGCCCATTATAGAGTTTTATGCTGCTATTCTCCAAGCCAAGTAGGAAAAATGTTGTAATAGCATAATAGCAATCCCCTTTCTGTCTTTTTCCTTCCAGTTTTCATGGAGTGATAATGAAAGGAGCAGCAGCCGCATTAATATCCCAGAGAGAGCAAGTGGACCAGAAGGCAACTTAAACCAGATTGTTACTGAACCCGATGCAAACTTTCCCCAGTTCTTGCATGAGGGGTATGTACCATGCCAAGGTCTTTACTCCCATATCAACCAGACCTTGAAGGAGGCTCACTTCAACAGCCTGCAGCAGCGAGGGCAAGCTCCAACATGATGAATTAGGACTTCCTTATTCCAACCTAAACTGTGTTTATAAAAGCAATTGCATACACACCAAAAAAAGTCTATTGGTTTTTAAGTCTACATTTTAAGTAACAAGTTAATGGGCAGTTGTTTAATTGGGGTTTTACTTCACTGTTGTACTTTTAAAGGGGCTGTGAATAAATGTTTATGAAATTTTTATTTTTATTTTTATTTTACTCTTTCTACATAGAGTTTTCAAGTTGAGTGTCAATTTCATGTTAAGGTAGCAATATGAGGAAACTTCTCCTGTGCATTGAAGCCATATGTCCAATTCAGATTGATTTCCAGATCTGTCAGTTAGAAACTCTATGTTAAACATCTTTTTAAAATACAAGTAAGTCTTCATTTTTAAAAATACAGTAGCCTAGTAAAGAGGTATGTAGCTTTCATTTAAAAAACAAACAAAAAATCCACACTCAAAAAACCATAAGTTAGTATTCCCAAATATGCAAAGCCAGATTCAGTCTTGCACTGAAATGAACTGCCATACTCCCCTCAGAAGGTAGATGTTCTGTTGAAATTGCTCTCTAGTTGTAATGGCAACAATCAGACCCAGTTTAGACTATGAACATGAAAATCTCTCTCTAATAACTGTCTCTACACTTTGTATTTCCAGGGAGAATGTTTCTAAGGCTCTTGTATACTTAGATACCTTCTGTATCATTTATCCTCTAGAGTGTGCACTTCAGACTTAGTAGGAAACACTGCACAATTCTGTCAGATAAGAAATATGTAATATTTTGTCTTAAACAAAAATTTATTACGTTAGCACATTATGTGATCTCATAATTCCATCTATTATGTATAGAGTTAATGTTAATACAGTGTAAGCTACTAAACTGATGTTTAAAGTAACAAGAATTATGGAAGTGGGTTGGACAACTGTCCACTTTATGCTACATAGACCCTTTCCCAGAGATTAGGGGGCTAGCTTCCATTATTAAAATTGCAAAGATTCACATGGCTTAGAAACAATAAGCTGAGATGCCATTAGAAGAAACAGGCAGTACTATTTATTTAGAGATGGGGGGGTCCCCATGTTTTAGTCATACTAAAGAGCCAACCAAATTTGAATGGGGAATTCATAGATGTGCTTCCTCAGTGGTGAGCTGTGTGAACAAAGGACCAGGATGCATCAGGTTATCTGCCCTGGACTATGCAAAGGGTACAACCTGTTGCTAGATTTAAACAAAAATGCGTTAGAGTCTAACAATCCTCTCCTCCCTGGTCACATTATCTTTTCCACTATATTTGGAGGTCCACAGAGTGTAAACTAGCAGATCTGAGAACTATGGATAGCTCTACAAAGAGGTGTTTGCCAATTGGCAAGGTTTGGAAAAGACGTAAGGTTACAGTTTTACTGAAAGAAGAATGAGATTTTATTAAATGACAGAATTAACATATGAAAATGAACACTATCTTAGGAAAAGAATACATACCTACACACACACACACACACACACATTTTCATGGTTGTTTCCTTGAATATGGGTAGGATTTTAAGGAAGATACTTGCAGTAGAATTTTAGTGTTATGGGGAAAAAATTACAGCACCACATTGGCCTCAAACTTAGGGAGTAGGCATGAGTCAATTATTTCTTAATTAGATGGTTTGAGTAAGAACATTTTTTCTATGGCCAGTGCTTCCAAAGTCAATACCAGATGTATGGTGAGAAGAAATTTAAATTCTAAAAGGTTTTATGGCAGAAAATAGAGAAAGGATACCTAGCCACCAGTTTCTCTAACAATAAAGTGAGCAACTAAGTACTAAAGAAGATGAGATATTTGAATTTTCAACCCACATGTACACAACAGGATTCAGAAATACCCAGGAAGAATTCTGCATGCTTAAATACATAGCATCCTACTGAAAGAAAGTGTCTATTAAAAACACAGTGTAGTTGAACAGCTGAGAAAGCAAATTTCCATTCATTCCCCCTATTTAAAGATATCAAAGATAAAACTGTCACCATGACAAAGCATTATTTTTTCAAAGTAAAATAATAATAATAATAATAAAGCAATTACATACACACAGAAAAAGTGTTGGCTTTTCAGTCTCTGTAAGACTTTTCAGTACTTAGTTGAACTAAGTAAGCACAGTCTTATTCCAGAGTGGTCAGTGTAAATCTCTTGTCCTAGTAAATACAATATGCAATCTCTGTCCTGTCTTTTGCAGATTGTCTAAACCTGTTTATGTCATAAACTGGTTTATGTCCTTTGGTCCTGAAATAAAACTCAATACTTCACAGCAGGGAAGGAACCAAGCTGTTTAAAACTACTTATCTCCGCTATGAAGGAGAAGTATTTTCAAGGAATATCAGAAGAAAGTAGAAAGTGAGAGGAGGTTCCAGCTGGGCTTCCTGGGTCAAGTAGGGGCTCAGAAAGCTGTGAAACTCACTCATTTCCTGCATGCGGACTTACTTTGGTCCTGGATGAATAATATTGAAGATATGTGCTTAAAACATTCCTAACATCAGAATTTGCGCCTGTGTTTTCTTCCCCAAGAAAGCTATAAACAGCGAAAATTTTGTTGTAAGCTTCCCTGTGTCCTCTCTCCCTCTCTCCCTTCCCCCTCCCCTGAAACTAAAAGGAATGTTAAAAGCCCACTTTTCTGTGACCAGCAGACCTTATCTATGGTCCCAATTCCAATTCCTTGTAAACACAATTTGTAAAATCCCGTGAGATCCTGTCTCCTTTGCCATCCCGCTGCAAGGTTATAAGTAGAGAAAACTTAAGTTACAATTCCAGTTTTCCTCAAGATCTGAGACATGTTAATTGTCTTTGTTTCTCCCTCTGGTAACATCTTCCCACCACACATATTTCCTGCCTTAGAGAGTTTAAAAGGTGATAAAAAAATCTAACACTGGCTACCCCGCTCGGGACCCCTTCCACGCTGTGAAAGCTTTGTACTGTCACTCTGCTTAATAAAGCCTACAGCTTTTTTACTCTCGGTCTGATCTGTGTCTCTCTCTTTGGCGTGGCTAAGGCAAGAACCTTTGGCGATACAAAAGGACTTGTCTGGATTTTTTTTTTTTTTCAAAATTAGGAGTTTGAAAAAAGGGAGCCAGATTAGTTTAAGAGGTGAAATTAGACCCTGTTATATATTTTAAATGAGAATATAAAGCAAGAGCAGAATGCTGCACCAATAATGAGGTGTGGTGGTGCTTGGGGGAAAGAAACTGCCCTTAAATTCAAACCCACCCTGTGCCACACTCTGTGCGAGTTACTCATTAACCCCTGAGGTAGGTGGTGTGGGCTCTCCATTTCATAGGTGAGGAGTGGGAGGCTGACAGTAAGTTATCCCTATGACTACATACAATCCTGAGAAAACTGAGAGTGGTTAATGATTTGCTAAAAGAAACACAGTGGCCAAGCAGCAGTGCCAGGGTATCTCTGCTTTTATAGTGAAGACCAGGGCTGCCAGGACACATTTTCTCTAGGGAGTAGTTCTCTGTTTACATAACCAAAGAAACAGTAGAATGAAACAAAGTTTACTCTAAGCTCTTCATCAGAGTCTCCATGTTGAATGATTTTCTAAATTCATTTCTTTTTATATAGCAGCATTTTCAAATGAATGCTCTGTAATATTGTCACTTAAATCCCTACAAAGTGAGTCAGATCTTAAAGCTGACACTGTTACCAGACTCTGTCTCCTCCTCGATTTCTTGTTCCTCCTGGCTGGAGGCTGTGGTCAGAGTACAACCTATATCATCTGAATGGAACAACTGGTTGAATACATGAACCGAGGCTGGGCAAAACAGGCAAATATTCTGACCAGGAAGCCATTGAGATCTATTTTATATTTTGTTTAAGACAATTTCTTGAGACCAACTGTACAAAGATGGTGCACCTGCCTAAATCACATGTGAGATTCTACACTGGCGCACATTTGACTGGTTGGCAATTTCCATGTATCTTCTGGCCACAGTATTGTTATAATGAATGGAAATTTTCTGGTTACAAACAAAACTACAAATTCATTTGCCCATTAAGATACTGGTGGAGACTTTAGGGAAAATGATATTTAGGTTGAAGAGCAGAAAATATATAGCCTTCTCCAGGGAGAAAGTCATTCATTCATTCTCATCTGATGGAAGGGAAAAAAATCCAACTTTTTGGTCTATAAAATCTAATTAAAATGAGTGGAAAAGATTTTATATCTGTGCTATTTCTCAGGGTTCAAGTGAAAGTAATTGTGTGGAGTTAGAGTTGCTCTTCCTTTACTACTAAAAGACTTTTTTGAAGTAGGCAAGATTGTAACATAATAAAACAAATAGATGATTAACAGATCAACATGGAAAGTATAAATTTACACATCACTCACTTTGACAATCCCCAGACTCCAGATTTGGTATTCCATTAGACTAAGGAGTAGGTCTTTAACTTCCTGTCACTTGGATTAAGTAGAATCAATTTCTTCCATGTTTCATTGGCCCTGGTTCTTTTTTTCATATCTTCTGTGGTTTCTCTGAGCTCCCTGAGTTGCCCCAAATGCATTTCTTTAGATGGTGTATTAGTTTGTTCTTGCACTAATGTAAAGAAATACCCAAGACTGGCCGGGCACGGTGGCTCACGCCTGTAATCCCAGCACTTTGGGAGGCCGAGGCGGGCGGATCACGAGGTCAGGAGATTGAGACCATCCTGGCTAACACAGTGAAACCCCGTCTCTACTAAAAAATACAAAAAAATTAGCCAGGCATGGTGGCGGGCGCCTGGGGCAGGAGAATGGTGTGAACCCAGGAGGCGGAGCTTGCAGTGAGCCGAGATTGCACCACTGCACTCCAGCCTGGGTGACAGAGCAAGACTCCATCTCAAAAAAAAAAGAAAAGAAAAGAAATACCCAAAACTGGGTAATTTATAAAGGAAAGAGGTTTAATTGACTCACAGTTCTGCATGGCTGGGGAGGCCTCAGGAAACTTACAATCATGGAAGAAGGGGAATGGCAGAAAGGGAATGGCAGAAGGGGAAGCAGACACCTTCTCCACAAAGCAGCAGGAGGGAATGTGATTGTGTGAAGGAGGAAATGTCAAACACTCATAAAACCATCAGATCTCATAATTCATTCACTATCATGAGAACAGCAGGAGGGAATATGAGTGTGTGAAGGAGGAAATGTCAAACACTCATAAAACCATCAGATCTCATAATTCATTCACTATCATGAGAACAGCATGAGGGAAACTGCCCCCATGATCCAATCACCTCCCACCGGGTCCCTCTCTCAACACATGGGGATTATTGGGATTACAGTTAAAGGTGAGATTTGGGTGGGGATAAAACCAAACCATATCTTTCCGCCCTGGCCCCTCCCAAATCTCATGTCCTCACATTTCTTTTTTTTTTTTTCTTTTTCTTTTTCTTTTTTTTTTTTTCTTGTTATGAGACAGTCTCACTCTGTCACCCGGCCTGGAGTGCAGTGGCACAATCTCGGCTCACTGCAACCTCCACCTCCCGGGTTAAAGCAAGTCTCCTGCCTCAGTCTCCTCAGTAGCTGAGACTACAGGCACCCAACACCACACCTGGCTCATTTTTGTATTTTTAGTAGAGACAGGGTTTTACCATGTTGGCCAGACTGGTCTCAAACTCCTAACCTCAAGTGATCTGCCTGCCTTGGCTGGGATTACAGGCGTGAGTCACCACTCCTGTCCTCACATTTCAAAACACAATCTTTTGTTCCCAGCAGTCCCCCAAAGTCCTAACTCATTTCAGCATTAACCCAAAAGTCCAAAGTTTCATCTGAGACAAGGCAAGTCCCTTCCACCTAGGAGCCTGTAAAATTAAAAGCAAGTTAGTTATTTCCAAGATACAATGGGAGCACAGGCATTGAATAAATACTTCCATTCTGAGTGGGAGAAATTGGCCAAAACAAAGGGGCTACAGGCCCCATGCAAGTCTAAAATCCAGTGAGGCAGTCATTAAATCTTAAAGTTCCAAAATAATCTCCCTTGACTCCATGTCTCACATCCAGGGCACACCGATGCAAAGGATGGGCTCCCATGGCCTTGGGCAGCTCTGCCCCTGTGGCTTTGCAGGATACAGCCCCCTGCCCTGGCTGCTTTCACAGCTGGCATTGAGTGTCTGTGGCTTTTCCAGGTGTACTATGCAAGCTGTCAGTACATCTACCATTGTGGGGTCTGGAAGATGGTGACTCTCTTCTCATAGCTCCACTAGTCAGTGCCCCAGTGGGGACTCTGTGTGGGGGCTCCAGCCCCTCATTTAGCCTTCGCACTGCCCCAGCAGAGGTCCTCCATGAGGGCTTCACCCCTGCAGCAAACTTCTCCCTGGACATCCAGGCATTTCCATACATCCTCTGAAATCTAGGTGGAGGTTCCCAAACCACAATTCTGGACTTCCATGCACCTGCAGGCCCAACACCATGTGGAAGCCACCAAGGCTTGGGGCTTGCACCCTCTGAAGCAACAGCCTGAGATGTACCTTGGCCCCTTGTAGCCACAACTGGAGCTGGAGTAGCTAGGACACAGGGCACCAAGTTCTGAGGCTGCACAGAGCAGGGGGACCCTGGGACTGGCCCATGAAGCCATTTTTCCCTGCTAGGCCTTCAGGCCTGTGATGGGAGGTGCTGCTGCCAAGATGTCTGAAATGCCCTGGAGACATTTTCCCCGTTGTCTTGGCAATTAACATTTGGTTCCTCATTACTTATGCAAACTTCTGCAGCTGGCTTGAATTTCTCCCCAGAAAATGGTTTTTAATTTTCTATCACATCGTCAGGCTGCAAATTTTCCAAACATTTAGGCTCTGCTTCCCTTTTAAACATAAGTTCCAATTTCATATCAACTCTCTCAAGTTCAAAGTTCCACAGATCTCTAGGGCAGGAGCAACATGCCACCAGCCTCTTTGCTAAAGCATAGCAAGATTGACCTTTGCTCCAGTTCCCATTGAGTTCCTCATCTCCATCTGAGACTACTTCAGCCTGGACTTCATTGTCCAAATCATTATGAGAATTTTGGTCAAAAGCATTCAACAAGTCTCTAGGAAGTTCCAAACTTTCCCACATCTTTCTGTCTTCTCTCTGAGCCCTCCAAACTGTTCCAGCCTCTGCCTGTTATGCAGTTCCAAAGTTGCTTCCACATTTTCAGGTATCTTGATAACAGGGCCCCACTCTCCGCAGTACCAATTCCTCTTTTAGTCCATTCTCACACTGCTATAAAGAAGTACCTGAGACTGGGTAATTTATAAAGGAAAGAGGTTTAATTGACTCACAGTTCCACATGGCTGAGTAGGCCTCATGGAACTTACAGTCGTGACAGAAGAGGAAGCAGGCATCTTCTTCATAAGGCAACAGGAGAGTGTGAGTGTGTGAAGGAGGAAATGTCAAACACTTATAAAACCATCAGATCTCGTGAGAACCCACTCACTATTATGAGAACATCATGGGGGGACCACTCCCATGATCAAATCACCTCCCACTGGGTCCCTCCCTTAACATGGGGATTATGAGGATTACAATTCAAGATGAGATTTGGGTGGGGACACAGCCAAACCGTTTCAGATGGGAACACTGTTTCCCCAGTGATTGACAGCATCTGACCATGGATAGAACTATGTGTACTTAAATATGGTTGTGGACATCTTGTCATCCTTGCATAATCTCTTCAATGCTTTGCAGCTCTGCCCACCTGCAGTACAAGATGTGCTTGATGAATGCTAGGGAGTGATTCTGGAGCAGCATTTCCTGCACAGTCCCAGTCTCTATAAATCTGTCAATGGCAGAGTTTTTAACCTGCATAGTGAGGACCTTCTTGGGTTGGGAGGAGTCATCAGAGGGAAAGTAAGCCAGAAAGTTATCCAGTTTAACCTTCAACTTAAAATCTAGGGTTGAAGGGAAGCTCTGCTCACAAGGACTAACAGCTGAGCATTAGTGGAGAGGCCACTATTGGCAAATAGACCCTGCCTTGTCGTATTGGCCCAGGTAGCATTAGAAGGCAGGTCTTGAGGATTCTCAAACTGGAGGAAGAAAGATATGCTTCACCTGCTTATTTGGATCTGTTTATTTGAAGTAGAATTGCTGGCCCTGATGTCAAGAACCTGCAAAGATAAAACCTGGAGCTCTTTGAATAGAGCTACTGGAGAATGAGTCTTGGCGTCCTTTCGTCAGAACCTGAAAGAGTATGAGAGGAATATTCTCAGATAATTCTTTCAAGGATATCTCAAGTCAATCTTTTTCCTAGCAGCCAGAATTCCCCCATTCCACACTGAGAAGGATAGAATGGTTTTGGTAGAGAAAAAAGAGGCCAATAGTAATGGATGTGGGCTTATTCCCAAACAACTAAGTGAGCCCTATTCTCTTTCAGCTCAAGAGTATAGATTCAGGTTAATTTCTAAGACTGATTTTTCCAGAACACAGCTCTTGGAGTAAACAAATTTGCTGAGGACAAACAACACCTCAAGAATGGAGCTGCACTGGGCCTTAAGGCCCTAGGAAGCCCCATTCACATTGCATTCTATGTGAACGGTGCCTTCTGGAGTTGTGTAACACAGAGACTCTTTTAAGATCCCTGGCACTTCTATTATCTAACACAATGACAACTTTGTCAATATTCAGCTTTTGAGAGAGGGGCATATTGTTATAAGTAAGGGTATTGAGGAAACAGATATCGGAATGTGGCATCCTAGTTTAAGGGCAAAAGAAGCCTGGAATTAGACTATGCTCACTGCATCTCTCTCACTAAATGATTACATGGCTTTGTCATCCCATTCTATTTGTTTTCCTCTTGCCAATTCCTTTTTCTTCTCAGTCAATATAGCCAAATCCTCCATCTGATCTTTGAATTTTGGAGTTCTCCAGGGCACAGTCCTTGGTCCTCTTTTCTTCTCATCAGGGATGTCATTCAGTTTCACGGCCCCAAGTAATATTCCTATACTGAGAGAATCCAAATGTGTATTGCCAAGCCTGAGCTCTCACCTCTCTCTTCCAGACCCATAAAATCCCCTAGCCCGTTCCTCTTCTCTATTTGAGGGTCTCAGTCCTCTCAAACTTGACATTTTCACATGTAATCTTATCATCTTATCCTTCTGACTATACAGTTTCCTCATTAACTCTGGCACCTCTTTCCCACACCCTCCACAGCCATCACTAAATCCTCTCCTCAGAACTAAACCTAAAAGTGGTTCAGTTAGCTTCATCTTCTTCACTGCTAACAATAATCCAATCCATGATCATTTCTCACGTGGATTAAGGTGAGAGCTTTGTTGTGACCTCCCAACATCTACTGCAGCCCCACTGTGATCCACTATCACATGAATGTAAAATTAAACTTTGACTTTTAAATTAAAATTTGAGTTAAAATTGTAGTTTTTATTATGTTACTCTCCTTCTCCAAACCCTACAATGGACTGTGTAATTAAGGACAACTGTGAAAATATTTGTTTAATTGTGATAGATGCTGCAAAATACAAGAATAAGATGTCTGGGCATATATAGTGAGGGATCTCTAAGGGCCTGGATGACTAGGGAAGGCTACCCATTCCTTTTAGGACAGTGTGCAAGACCCTTACTCTAGCCCACAAAGCTTTGCTTGATATAGCCAAGTTCAATCTCTATTTCTCCAGGCTCATCTCATGTCACTATTTCTCTCAATGCACAATTCTCAACCTCATTGACTCTTTCACATCCTCAAATATACCAACATCTTTCTTGACTCAGGCCTTTAAACACGCCCTTCCTTTTGCCTGGAATTTCCTCCCTTGTCTTATTCACCTGTATAACTCCTATTCATCCTTCAAGTTGAAGTTCAAATGTCACTTCCACAGGAAAGCCTTCTCGGACCATCTAGGCTTGGTGATGTCTCTCTGTTATATGTTTCTAAGGCAGATTATAATTTTGTTTTATGGCAATCACCAATATTGATATAGATACTTATTTATGAGTGAAACATCTGCCTCCCCTCCAGACTAAAACCTCTGTGAAAAAGGATCCATATGTGTCTGGTTCATTGCTATATTTCCAGAACACACAATAAATACCGATTGAATGAACCAGAAAAGAAAGGTGAGTTAGGGCTCCCACCCGTAGGATGGCCTCCAGAATGGATCAGAGCAACTCACAACAGGGATGGATCTGGAAGCAGGCCTTTTGGCAAAGTGTTGAAAAGAGGTTGATTCAAAGTGGTGGCCACCAATTAATCTAGTGAACAAAGCTGAGTCTTGATACCTAAGCCTATAGGAGGAAATTATCTTCATCTAACAATTTCCCTAGGTAAGCTAAAAACAGAAAGTGCTCTGGATCCTTCGTTCCCCTTCAGTTTACCCTTTCCTGTCCCATGTTTAAGGAGCTAAGTCTGAAGGCAGGCCAGACTCATTATGGGGCTGGTTGGGAATTAATTGAATGACTGCTTTTCTGGCCAACGGTAAGTCTGATATGACTTAGCAAGGAGGACTCTCTTCTATCAGCATGATAGAAGATAGGGCCTGAACTGCAACTTGGTCAGAGACATGGCTCAGCATTTGAGAAGTAACTTGCTTTCATTCAAAATTGCTCCCCTATAGAGGACCAATAAAAGGATGTGCTGGATGACAATGGTAGGGTAGGGTATGATGAAGGTCATGGGAGAAAGACCTTGGTATGTCAGAAAAGACACATACCACAGAACTATTGTGCTAAAGAGTGACTGTCATCAGAAATCTTTAAGCTACACCCACTCCTGAAAGTGGATGGCTCCTGCCACCTGCTGGATGAGCATATGGAATGCGAGTGGAAAGGAAAGGATCATAATGAACTAGAACATAGAAAGAGCAGGCTGTGAAAGTTGGCAGCACAACAGGTATGGAGATAATGAGAAGAAACCATCCAGTTTCAGATTGTTTTCAAGAATTCCTGATTGTAACTTGATCTGGTGGCCCAGCTATGCTATGGAACTTGTTTCATGGCTGTATGGAAGGGCAAAGAATGATGTCAGAAGAAAGAAAAGCAATGCCATTTCTCTGCATCTTTGGCGAGCAATTTGGAGCTATTTTTGTGTGATGACTTTGCATTAAGTTTCCTAATTCTCAGTGTGGAAGGTCAGTATGATTGAATGAGAGCTGACCAGCAGTGCTATAAAATTCCACTATTTATTTTCTACAGCTTGATAGCACCTTCCTTCACTCCCATGGAGAAGCAAGCTTAATTTTGTCATCTCACATGCTAGTTAACAAATATGGTAGATGCCTTTTCTCAGTTTTTTTTCTTTCAGTTCTCAACAGCATGGAGCCCTATTCACCACCACTCCTGGAAGCTTTCTCCTTCCCTTCCCTTCTCTGATCTTCTGCCTTACTACTTTTTCTCTTGTCTCTTTGAGTGCACAATGGAATTCTTTCCAAGCTGTTCCTCTTTGCCACACCCCCACTGCAATGGGCTGAATGTTTGTGTCCCCTCAAAATTCATGTATTGAAACTCTGATCCCAATGTGATGGTATTAGGAGGTGGGGCCTTTAGGAAGTGCTTAGGTCATGAGAGTAGAGCCCTCATGAACAAAATTAAAGCCCTTATAAGAAGTCAGAGAGCTATCCACCACCTAGGAGTACAGCAAGAAGCCAGCAGTCTGCAAGTCTAAGGGGGGCCTCATAGAACCCTGATCTCAGACTTACAGCCTCCAGAACTGTGAGAAATATGTTTCTATTGTTTATAAGCCACCAGCCTATGGTACTTTGTTATAGCAGGCAGCCAAACTAAGACACACACCCTATCAAATATTTCTTGAATTCAGTACTTAAGCCTCTACTCATTTTAGTCTATCCTCTCTGCCTCAGGATTCTCTTTCCTCAAACATTACTTCTAAGCACATGACTACTAGATGTCTATTGTTGTCCTCACCACTGCCTTAAATTCCAGATATGCATTCCCTTCTCCATGCTGAACATTTGCTCCAGTAAGTTTCTCTGTCAACTCATTATCAGTATAACTAAATCAAAATTCATCAAGACTACCCAAAATGTGCTTACATTCCTTCATATCTCAATGCATCCCACTACCATGTCCCTAGATATTCTAGGCCCTCCTTGACCTTCCAATTGTTCCTTGGATGTCTCTTCCCTATAATTTTTCAGTTACTACTTCCAGGTCTCAAATTTAGATCACAATCATCTCACGTTTAGATTAATCCAATAATATTCTAGGGGTGGTTTTCTTTCTCTGTCTCCTCTTGTCTTTCCTTTCTTTGCTGCCAGATTAACCTGATGCAGATGCCTTTTGGGTCATATTTTTGGTCAGTTCTAAAAGGGCCCCACTACTTTATATCTTACTTGGTGGTCAAGGCTTTCCTGGCCCCAGTGAACCCCTTCAGCTGTATTTCCCATTACCCTCTTTCTTCCAGAAACACTTACATCAAAACATGAACTGAAAGATATCAGGCTTCCCTTTATTTTGCAAATTGCACAAAGACTTTTATACCATAAATGTGACACCACTGACACTGCATAATCTTGCCTCAATCCATCCATTCATTTGTCTGTCCATCTCTCTGTCTATGGATGCATGAAACTATGATTCCATCCACATACCTATCCAAGAAATGTTTGGAGAGTGTCTATAGGCCATGAACTAAACCAAAGTGCACACCCTATTAAAAGCTCCAATATCATCCTGTGAGGCAGGGCAAGGGATCCCCTGAAGGGACCTTCCTCCTAATTTCAAAACTGGTCCTCTGTTGTCTCTTCTGAGCCCAGTCACCTACTTTGGAGATTCTGTGACATGTTTTCACCACGACCTACCTCGTCAAGAAAAGCTGTCATATACAACCATGTTTTCATGCATCTTTCTGGATGCTGGAGCATGGAGTTCTCCCCACTGCCAATACCAAACACTACAAAATCCCCAAATGATTTAAGTACTATATATCCACTTAAGTGATGCTTCTCAACTCACATGCATCCTGGAACAGGAAGTACAACATCTAAACCCTTGTTTGAAGTTGTACAGTTTTTTTTATGTCAAATCTTCATATCTTGGTTAAACCTCCCTCTCTGTTGTAAAACCGTGTCTCCATCCATTCCTTCATATGATTTGTCTGTAAGTATTTATTCAACACCCAATTACCTGCCTTCTGATTTGTCTGGACCATGTTAGAGACCCATGGGACTTCATTTTGCTAAAATCAAAACCAAGTATACTTAATTTGCGAGGTCATGTTACCAATTACCTGCCTTCTGATTTGTCTGGACCATGTTAGAGACCCATGGGACTTCATTTTGCTAAAAACAAAACCAAGTATACTTAATTTGCGAGGTCATGTATGCCATGGTAAAAATGAAGCTCTCCATTTCTCTCTCATAAAGATTGTGCTGGGTGCCCACTGGGGCATGAGGATCAAGAAGACCTGTAATAAAGCTGTTGCTCACAAGCAGAGCCTGTGGGTCTGATACAAAGGAGCCTGAGGTTCCAGTATTACTGGGCACAAAACTGTCTTGGTCTGTGTTTCCCTTCTGAAAAGACAGATGGTCAATTTCCACTCTGTGGAAATCTTGGGCATGTGGCTAATGTTCTAAATATATAAAAATGCAACCCATGCCTTGGACTCTCTCCATCTGTGATAGGCATAGGAGTCCCAACCAAGATACTTCTTTGTGTGGGAGCCAAGTAAGACCACTAGAATCTCCCACTGGAGTCCTCCATGTAGGTTCTTGCAAGATGCTCTGACCCATAGGGTCACTAGCAGGATGTGTGGTTGCTGGGATAATTTCTAGTTCTTCATCCTTGTCCCAAGGCAGCTCTTCCTATATGGGAGAAAATGCCCATATGAGGTGGCTCTTCTTTCTTGAAATAGATTTTTCCAATCAAGTTATTTGGTTTCCATCTGAAAGTCTGTCAAAAGAGCAGGAAACACCAAGCTGTGGTGTTGTGAGAAGATTATCCTGTTGGCCATCTCTATGCTTAACAGTGTCCCAGAACGGCTGCAAGGTCCTTATGCAGAAAGCTCGCACTAGACTTGTTCTGTCCCCTGGAGAGTGGCCTCATTTCCATCTATCCTTGGCATATGAGAACATACCATATTGGAAGCCTAAAGTATATTCATTCACCTATGTTGGACATGTTTGAAAACATGGCTACCACATGTCTCTGTCTCCTGAACACCTGTGCTGAATAATGGAACCAATCTCAGGGACTGAAGGGACAAAAATATTGGGGAAACCAACCAGAGAAAGGGCCTGACAAGCCCATTACTACATTGTGTATGTGTGTGTGAGTGTGCGTGTGTGTGTGAGTGCGTGTGTGTGCGCGTGTGTGTGTGAGAGAAAGAGGCAGCATTAATGAGAGAGAGAGAGAGAGACAGTTCTGATCATTATGCAGGAATCTAGGGGCCATTTCTGAGAGTGTATATTGATAAGTAATAGATAAGAGCTCAAATCAAATGGCACTTACCAATGTCCAGAATGTCATATCCTGAACAAAAACCAAAGAAATACTCAGGGCCAGGAGGGAAGATGACAGCAGGGCCACGAAGCAGGGCTGAGACTTTTGGTGGAGTGTTAGTGCAAGTTGAATTGAACTCAACTATGATTGGAAAACTGCAAGAAGTTTCACAGACTGATCTATCTGAATAAAGGAGCTGGCCATGCCTTTTTCTTCTCCAGGTGTCCTACATAAAAAAACAACCTACTGAAATAACTTATTTCTCTGGATTTCAGGTTCTACCTTTCTGCATTACATTAAGCTAGTTAATATAACCATCACCTCAAATATTTAACATTTTTGTTGTTCAAACAAAATTAGAAATTTACTCTTAGTGATATTAAAAAGTACAGAATGCAATCATTAGTTATATTCGACATAATCATTAGTTATATTCGACATACTGTGCAATTGATCTAAAATCAAGCTTATTCCTCCTGTCTAATTGAGGCTTTGTACCCTTTGACTATTGTGGCCCTATTTCTCCAACCCACCAGCCTTTGGTAACTACCATTCTACTTTCTGCTTCTATGAGTTCAACTGTTTTAGATTATACATATAAGTGAGAACATGGAGTATTTGTCTTTATGTGTTTAGCTTATGTCACATAGCATAATGTCCTCCTATTTTATCCATGTTGTCTGAAGTTGACAGAACGTCCTCATTTCTGAAGGATTAATAGCATACCATTGTGTAGATATACATCACATTTTCTTTATCCATGTATTCCAAGATTCGCTAGCATCACAACTGCCATAGGTCTGTACATGGGCCACTCCCTCCTGGGGCTTCTAGATAGAATGGCTGGCCTTCTTTCCAAATAACACGGTCGTCAATCAGCTCATCCACCCACCCAAAAATTACTTATGAGTGCTTTCTATGACTGAACACTTAAAACCCACATCCCACACATTGCTGTGGCCCTGTCTTGTGAAAAGGGAGATGGCAGGAGGTAAACATGTTATTTTGTTCAAACTCTCACCACCAACTGGCACATATTTGCCCCTTATCATCAGAGGCCTTATTGCCTCTTTGATGATGTAAGCGTTTTTGTAACATACATCCACCAACCCAATGGGAAAAAAACTTCTTCAGTTGTACCTGCATATACCTTTTCTATGTGTCTCGCCACCAAATATATTGTTCTTGCCCTTCCCTGTGACTAGTATTAGTGAGTAGACAATTAAATAATTGTTTAATGTTTATGAGACTAATGCTTCTTCTTATGTTTTCTGCCCCCAACACATTTGAAGGATAAGGAGCTTCCACATAAAAAACAGTGGCCCACCAATACAGTTCTTCTGGTGGGTGTATGAACAGGACTCCATGAATTTATAAGTTAGAACCCCAGTGGGGAAGGGGACATTCATAGAAATGATATTTGATAAAGCCCCTCTGCCCCAGTCCTCCCAAGTCAGGGTCTCATAACTAGGAAAATATGAAGTGATTAAGACCGAAGGGAATGCAGGTGTTACATGAAGTGCTGGAGAAGGGAGGCTGTTGCCACAGGTATGAAAGAGTCTAATACTGTGGAAGATAGAATACAGCCAAAGGAGACATGATTGATTCCAAACTCCACCTCTCTGATTGGAAATCCACGTGTTGCTCCCTCAGTTCTGATTATTAGAGCTTCCTACCCTTTCAGCTCCCATTAGCAGCTCTTGTCCCGTGTATTCCCAGGTACTCATTTCAGAAACCCCAGCAGTCCGCACTGTGTATAAGGGAAGATTAATCAAAAAATTGGATGGAGATGATGGACTGGGTTTGTGCATATGTGTGTCTGTGTGTGTTAGATATAGATATGTCATAATTGGGACTGAAAATAAAATGGCTTATTAATTAGGAGTAATTTCTGGACATCAGAATGCTTCAGAAATGAGATTAAATGAAAGCAATCACCACCCAATCCTGAAAAGGAGAGGATGTCTTCCAGAGTTAAAGTTTGCTCAAAGTGCTCTGAGGTTTAAGTTGCAGGACAGGGCATTATAAACAGGGAGTGAGAATACAGTCACCTCCCTGGTTGAGACGCTGTGGTAGGGCCAGCAGTCAAACTAGCTAGGCAGGGAATTCCCATTCTCCAGTGCAAGAAGCAAAGAGATGCAGAGTCATCTGCCCACAGTGTAAGTTCCTGCAAGTTGGTTCTGGTGTCCCAGGCTTAGAGGCGCCAGGCTTCCTTGTTGTCTGCTACCCCTCATGTGGTGCATGTGAATGTCACTCTCATGCCTTCTGCAGGAGACAAATCATATCAATGTGTTGGCATGTATTTTGTATTTTACATTTTCATAGCACAGTTAATTAAAAATATTATTTTTTCCTTTGTAGAGTTAAATTATAGATATCCTGTGTTTGGTGATAGCATTTTTCAACTTAATGAGGTATAACTGACAAATAAATGTTGTATATATTCAAGATCTACAACGCGATGTTCTGATACACATTCTGAAATGATTACCATAACCAACCTCATCAATGCACCTATCACCTCATATAGTTACTCTGGGTGTGTGTGTGGTGCAAACATTGAAGATCTACTCTCTCAGCATATTTCATGTATATAATACTTATTATTAATTATAATCACTGTGCTATGCATTAGGTCTCCAGAACTTATTCATCTTATAACTGAAGGCTTGTATACTTTGACCAACATCTTTTCATTTTCCCCACCCCAGACCTCTGGGAACCACTATTCTAGGAAATGAAATCAGTACCTTGAAGAGATATCTGCCTTACCATGTTCATTTCAGGATTATTCAAAATAGCCAATATATGGAACCAACCTAAGTGTCCATTGATGAATGAATGATAGGGAAATTGTGATAACTGTGGTATATGTGTATAAATGTGAATATTATTCAGCCTTAAAAATGAAGGCGATCTTGTCATTTGGGACAACATGTATGCGCTTGGAGGACACTATACTAAGTGAAATAAACCAGACACAGAAAGAAAAGCACTGCATGATCTCATTTATACATAGAATCTAAACAAAGCTATAATGTTTCCATGATGGGCAAATAAGTTCTTTCCTGTGGCTGCATGCATTTTGATGCAGTTTGTGGAGCTGAGCTCCAAAAAAATTAAAAAATAAAGTCATCAACTGTTTTTCCCTCAGATTTGACTTCAAACATATGAGCAAAAGATTCTACACCAGACAGTTTGGGAGTTAAAATGACTTCGCAAGATTTGTTCCCAAAATCAAAAGGAAGAGAAGAAAGAAAAGGATTGCTATATGTGTAGTTTACAGACCTAACATTGAACGAGAGGCTGGGAGTTAGGTGGTGCATGTGTGGGGAAAGTAGTGGAGGATCTGATCATAATAGCTGAGGTGTACTCATTGCATCCTGTGTACCCAGCAGTGTGTGCATTATTTCACTTATTTGACCTGCTTGAACTCAGTCAATCAGTCACAAAAGTACTATAATTTTGCTGCTATCAGTATCTGCAATTTATTGAAGGGGAAAATCAAGCTCAGAGCATTTAGAACTTTGCACAAGTTTAAAGAACTTGGATGTTGCCGAGATGGGATAGGAATCCAGGGAGTCTGACTTCAGTCTCCATTTTTAATGACCATAAGCCCTGATGAATGTCAAGGGTTAAGAGTAAGTTCAATATGTCAATGTTACACCTGCAAACATCAATATTTACATTTTTAACTCATAAAATCGCCACTGTAAAGTTATGGGTGTGAGCATATAATTATGCCCATTTGCAGAGAGGTCTCACAGAGAGTCCCATTGTGCAATAAAGATGCAAGCTCTGGGCAGATGGGAAGTTGCGTAATATGTAGATGATGAATAGGTTGTGATGTGGTGGGAAAAACCATGCCCTTGGGAGAACAGCCTTCCTTGTCTCCTTGATGGTGGACCTCAAACTTTCTGTTCACTGCTGGCATCCTGAGACAGAATTAAAGAGGGGTAGATACAATTTTCTCAATGTAAAGCCCATGACTCTGACTTCTATGAGGGTTGTGGTCAGGTGAGGGATGGTAGAGCTGCCCACACAGAAGGTGGATTTCTTTCATCCATAAAGTTTCCGGGTATAACACCCAGAAGAAATTGTAGGGGAAGAAAAGTATCTCTTTTGTGAAGGCAATGGTCGGTTTCTTTAAGGTTTTGAAGCAACCTATGTAACAAGAGCTTATTGCAAGGATACCAGGGGAAAGGAGGGAGAAGAGAACTCTGCTTACTTCTTAGGTGCAAATCCCTCAAAGTCCCTATCCTTCCAGGCTGGGAGACACTCCAGGCCTCACAGAGAATCCCAACACTCAAGCAACTCCATTAATATTAATGACATTCTGAGCTTCAAAACAAAGCACTTTCTCCATGTTAGTGGTATTTATCTGATTGGGTTCTTTTCCTAACACCCAATGAAGGGCTCCTCCTCTAAGCAGTGTGACTAGCACAGCCATCTTGGAGGCAGGTGTTCTCCCCTATGTCCATCAAATTCATAGCTGCCTTTTTGTCCAAAATTTTGGAAGACAAAAGTAAACTTTGGAGAATGGATGCTCCAGCCTCACTCTTCTCCTTTTTGGTTCTTACATGTGTGTTCTCTCTTATGGAGAAACAGCCCAATAAGTTGTTTACTTGACTAGATAAAATGCAAGAGGGAACCCCAAATTTCAGGATGAAGACCTCATTCATTGCCAGAGGTGAGTCGCCAAGAGGCCATTTGAGATTTCTATGTCAGTGTTTGATATTATTAGTGGTCACTGGACCTTCGACACTTCCATGCTTGCCTAGGGTGTGAGATCTCGTATGGCAAGCAGCAGTCTTCAAACGTGTTCCTTACATTCATGGGAACTTGGGAATGCACAAAGTCTTTCCAAGATGTTGTGAGACCAGGTGGCTTCAGAAACTCCATTTCCGAGTCTTCAGACTTCCATAAGTGCTAGACTCATCTGCTGGAGAATGGCTTATAGGTTACACTTTTTTGCCTTCCTTTTTCATAATCCTCCTCTTCCCACTTTACAAAAGAGAACTCTACTTCTAGCACATCCTTAATGTTATAATGGTGGATTAGACTCAGACTTTAAAATCTACAGGCATCAAAGGGAGAATTTGAATATCTGAATATTGATGTTAGCAAACATCCTTTGATTCAAAGACCCCTGGCATAAGCCTACTCCATCCATCTCATTAAGATACTCATTCCCAATGAAATTATATATATATATAACATATATGATATCTAGAAAACCTATATATAGGATATATCATATATATCTTATATGTAATATTTAAGACTATATGTACATATATGTGTATATATGTCTATATGTATTCTCAAAATGTATGTGTTGTTATACATATGTGTGATGCATATGCCATTATGTACATATTATGTCACATGAATAAAGCACAAAAAACAGTAAAATTAGATAATAGGCCTCTTTTTCTTTTTTAATATAAAATATAAATATGCTATTTTATGCCAGACTGGTAGAGGTTCCTATTTGTTGCCAAATTTTTCCATTAGTTCTTAGTGCATCTTGAGATACTCCTCAATCATTTCTTAAGTGATTCTTTACTGTTGAAAAAATTTAAGTTCTCATACATACCATTGTTGATTACCATGTGATTTACAATGTTGCCTATACATATTTCTTATCCTTAGATGCTTAGTGCTTCTATATTGCCTACTCTACCCAATATTCTTGATTTTGTCTTTCCTTGACTTTTAGGCCTAACCCATTCTGTGCTTTCTTAAAATGGCCTTAAAGGAACACAGTGATTCACTCCTTTGCCCTAGAAAAGGAAAGAAAATGACATTAATTAGGCATATCTAAAATTCTACAAATGATAATTAATTCCAAAACAATGATAATCTTTTGTTTACAAAAATCACAGAAAAACACTGAAAATGAAAATTTCTCTTCCTATGTTAATTTTCCATAAGTAAAATATCCTAACAAAATATATTTCAAATATTGTATATGTTTTAGGTTATAAGAAGTATATGCAAGTTTAAGCACAAAGACTGGTGTAGTAACTATGAAGAGAATTCTTTTTAGAAGGCTAGGTTCACAAATCCTTTTTATATTTTGTCCATTAAAATTAAAAGTTTGCAAAAGCATTAAAGGTCCTTTTAAGAATACTTAGGAATTGTAAGAGGCCAATTACTTATTTCAGTCTTTTATTAGATCTGGGTGCCAAGGCATATCTATCTACCTTGTCTAACTCAAATAGCAGCAAGAACCAAAGGTGCAAAAACTTTAGCTAATTTAGTTCTTGGGTCTCCACTAAACTTACCAGTTCCCCAAACTATGTATAATATTCTATAGACAGGAAATCCTCAGCGCTTCTTGGCTAGTCACCTACCCTCCTATGAAACATCATCGCTTTCCCCTTAACACATCCCTGTGCATTGCTGCACCTTCCTCCTTTGCCTGACGAAGAAAAATATATGATTTCTTAACTGTGTTAGGCAATTATCCATATCCTGCACAGACCTTCTAAAGACATCCTTGGATATCCTTGCTTTAATTCTGTTTGTGGTTCATACTGAAAAAGAAAAGCTAATAACTGGCAAGTGAGTTCTGCTACCCCAGACTGGAATTTACCCTTGAAATGTAACTTTCTCTCAGAAATTAAATCTGTTCATTCGGTTAAGTTACTTGCCCTTGTCTAGTCCTGCCATCTGACAAAATATGAATGAGCAAATATTTATACTGGTCACAGGTATGGTTTAGGGTTAGTCCATAACTTTGAAATGTTATAGAAACAGAGTTTTCAGGACTCTGTTAGAGAGATCTCTCTGTTAGAGAGATAAAGAATCTAGAAATGTTTGCTAATTAACTTTTATGATTTTATGATTGCCATCATAAAAGTGGGGATTAGAAAAATTATTTTATGTATTACAATAGCAAAGACAAATTGGCAGTTATATAGAATCAACATTGATGGGATAATTTTACAATTATTGCCACACACTCAGATGATGCCTCTAGTTTTGCTACCAACATGTACAAGCTGCATTTCCAGAACACACACCTAAGCAGCCTCTGCATGACCTAATACCTGGAGATCTGGTCTTCTGGAAAAAAGTCATTGAGGAAACACTGTCCTTAGGCAGCAGTGGAAAAGACCTTATCAGGTACTGTTAACAACATCATTTCATCCAAACTACAAAGGAAGACAACTTCTGTACAAGACACCATTAGTTTTCCAATTCATTGGCACCTATTTTTTTGGTTTAACAATTAGAATTGCTTATCCTGGTGTTAGATAGGCAGACATGAGCAGGGCAGGGGAGCCCCCCTCCACCCCCCGTCCAAGGAATGCCAGGTGACCACCAGGTGATGGTCAGGCAGTTGAACTGTTTCTATAAAATAATAATTGGCACAGCTGATGCCAGAGAAAGACGGTCTCCTAATAGAAAACACTTGGAACTGGTGATCAGCAGCTTCCTGATAAGATCTCAGGAGTTGGGTGAGTGGGCTGAAGCATGTGCACTAAGAAGCAAAATGGCAAAATTTAACCAGTATATGACCTTCTGTGAACGCGTGACTGGTTAGGGAATAATGCCTCAAGTGAGCATGCGCACAATTTCAGTAAACACGCTGTGCATACGGCCCCTCCCTAGTGCTGGTAGGGTCACTGTGCATGCGGACGGTCCTCCTCAAGGGAAAAATCAAGGGAGAAGAAATGCAAACCCAGAACCATGCCAATGTATAAAGCCCCAAGTCAAGGGCCAAATGGGGCACTTGGATCTCTCAAGTCATCCACTTGGCCTTCTTCCTAATGAACTTTGCTTCCTCTCATTCCTGCTCACTCCTGCTCTAGAGCTTGCCTTGGTCTCTCCCTCTGCCTCATACCTACTTCTACCCCTCGCCTGAATTCTTTCCTCTGAGGAGGCAATGATCAAGTTGCTGAAGATCCATACAGATTCACCGCTAGCAGCACTGGTGAAAATGAGTGACTGCAGCTTTTTTTCCAACTAAACCTTTGACCATGGTTTTATCTTTGCACCTTCAAGATAAAAATTGAAAAGATGAGGTAAACTAAAAATAAAATCCCAACCCCCCCAATGCCTGAATGGATCCCTTCTTGACCAAAGGGACCCTAGAAAAACTTTAAAACTGTAACTGAAAAGTAGGTTAGTTGCTTGCTGCATGTAGAGGTTTAATTAACAAGAGCAAGGCCACAAAAAAAAGTGGATTTATTCCAAAGCTAGCTTGGGGGAAGGGGCACAAAGCATCCTGCCTTTAAATGTGCCACTTCACCTTTGGAGCAGAAAGTGGGCATTTTTATAAGGTGAGGGGGAAGTGAACAAGTGCAGGGGTCCCCCTGCTATCTTGGTGTCTTATCTATGGAACAGGTGAGTTGGTACCTTTCCAGGCAGAAGTCATAAAGTGGCTAAGCTTTCATGCTTTCAATAAGCCCTCCTGGTGGATGAAAGTTCCAAGGCAACCCCTGGAAGATGGAAGTTCCAAGGCAGCCCCCTGGAGGTAAAAGTTCCATGGTGCTTTGGTCTGCAAATCAACTGTCAGCTCTGGAGAAGAGATCTGTCTTGGAGCAGCACATAGTTTGAAGAACTTGTCCTGTAGGGAATGTCTGGTAAGAGGGAAGTGAAGGGTTATATTTGTATTTCTATGGACTAAGTAGGAAATGGAGAGCTGGGGAAATGAGAAAAGAGAGAGAGAGGAAAAAATAATTAAACAACCTCTAAAAAAATGAAGGTTCTCAGTAACAAAGCTGAGCTCCTGGCCATGAAGGGAAGGGAAGTCAGACATGCCCCGTTAAACCCCTCTCCCTTTTATGGTTAAGACACAGCAGCTTCCCAGCATTAATGTTAAAACAGAGATCATAAGACTGACAGAATGGACTCTTTGTGGCAACAAGATACCAAACTACAAACAAGACCTAAAGCCATGCCAGACAAGAGTAACAAACTCTGTTCTAACTGCTACAAGGTGTTTCTTTTTCTCTAGCAGCCAAAGGAGCACTGGTCTAGAGATAAGCAATATTAAAATAATTGTAGCTTATCACCAGATACTAACTGACCTCCTGTTTCACAAGCCATAATGACAACTTTGATTGGACAAGAGACTGATTTCAGGAACTTTCTCCAGATAAGAAGACCACCAATCATGGACTGGTTCTGGTCAGTTTACAGAGGCTTCCCACTTGAGTGCTTTTGCATCCTGAGAAGACCTTTTGACATATAGGGCCTAATTGTAATATGTTTAAATGTTAACATCTTCACCACAAGGTTAACATGGGTCATATGTTACATACGTTTGTTCAATAAGCATGCATCAGGACCACCTTCATGAATATTTCTAGCTTCTTCTGTAACCTGATGAATATGTATATTTAGCCAATCTGTTCAGAATAAAGCACCTTACCCCAACCCCTCCTTCTTTGAAGTGCACCTCTCTGATCTTTGCCAGAGGCTATGCTTCCCAGCCTGTGAGAAGGCCACCTTGCAGGCTGTAACCCTTTATAAGAAATAGTCTCCTTTTTCCAAATTTATAATCCTGTTTTTTTTTACATTAACAATACTTAATCATAGAATTATCCCCCACTTCCTGACGGTGTTCAATTAGAGAAAAGCCCCACTTTTTGAGTCCTCCTGCAAATCACCTAACATAAGCCCAAGTCCTATAGAAAAGATTCTAAGAAGTACATTCTAGCACCATATTAATGAGATGCCCCAATGTGCTCCGTGGTGTATGTTTTCTCCCTCCGTGAGACTTTGTTCAAGGTGTTCCTCACGTTCTTTGTCTGGAGGGTACCAGCAGAAGATACATGATGGGTTTACATAGCACAAATGATTAAAGTCTCATAACTTACGCCTGTTTGGCACTTTGTTTTAAAATATTTCAGAGTATCATTTTGTTTTATGCCAAGAGATTTTTCTAAAATTAAGTATGGCATCATCATAAAACAGTAGAACTGAAGTGCAGGGAAAGCAGCAACTGTAAAAGCGACTCTTGAATTGCAGGGTTCTAGGAAATGCTATCCTAAGTCATACTCTGCTAAGAATTATGTCATCTTTTGTGTGGAGTTCACGGAAAAGTTAATCAGGTTCTCATCGTCATCCCTGAATCTTACAGCTGACTAGAAGTGTTTGCAGGATAACATAAATATACAAACTCTGGATTGGAATGGGAAGATTGAGGGGAGGTTTCTGTCAGTCTTACTTCCAAATGAAGTTAGTTAATTCAATAAACAGGAACTCAGTGACATTTAGCAGGTTTCATCCAGCCAACTGATGCTGGATCTGCAAAGACCAATTAAACATAGTTCTTGCCCTCAAGGTGTCATAGGAGGCAGAAAGAAATTATTTAGGTAGACATGATAAAGCCAGTCCCTGGCAGAAAACTCCTTTTAACAAAAAGCAGCTCAAAAATAGCTCCCTTTCTAACCTTATGCAATTCAAAGAAATCACTTCTCTTCTAACAACAAGCAACCTGAAAGAGCAGACAGTAAAACACAGATAAGACAGCTCAGACACAGAAGGAGGTGGGGGAAGTCTCCTGGGTAATTATCAAACTTCACACTTATACAATGGGCCCCAGTAAAACAGTGGGCCTTAATAAGGACATTCTTTTCCCTTTAGGCACACTAAGCTAGAGAAGCTAAAAACACACTCCAGGGGATGCCTGCAGCTGCAAGAAGATGTACTGAAACAGACACAGAAACTCTCCCTCCCAGATAAGCAGGACAAAGAAACACAGACTAAGAGTCAGCCTATGTGGTCAGGGAATGGGATAAGAGCTGATAAAAAAAAAAAACAAAACAAAACAAAAACTCTGCTCTGTACAGATAGCACACCTCGTCCTAACTAAACTGTCAGGCCCTAGGAGGATAAGACATCCCCTCTTCACAAGCCCCCTCCTCGCTGCTAGCCCATTTATAAAAACCCTGACATTTTTACTACAACTTGGCAACTGGCTCAGGACCCCTCTCTGTGATGGAGAGCTGTTCTTTCCTTTTGCCTATTAAACTCCTTCTCCAAACTCACCCTGTCTGTGTGTGTGTCTGCGATCTCGATCTCCTTGGCCATGAGACCAAGAACCTTGGTATTTACCCCAGACAACGAGGCTGCTTCAAAGGGTCTCACAGTCTCCTGGGAGAGGAGATCCATTAATTCAATCCAGAGTTACCTGTGATGGCCTATGGTGTGCTGGGCACTGTGCTAGCTGCTGTGCATACAACAGTGATCAAAAGAGGCAGAGGAATCCACCCTGGAGGAGTCTACGTTCTCTGAGGAGTGACTTTAGGGGAGTGACTGACAATTTACAAGCACTGAAAGACATTAATAAGCAATGGCTCTACTAATCCAAACTTGATTCTGTCTCTGTAAGTAGCTTTGAAAAGTCCCATATGCTACAAATTCTGTATCACATGCTATATTTCCATTATTCCCTATTCTTACATGCCCACACCAGAGTCACTGAGCTGAGTAGGGCACACCATGATGCGATTGTGATTACATATCCACCAAAAAACACCCCTGATGGGCCAAGAAAATACAACAGTTCTGTACATGTTACATGAAGAGGCTAGGCTGTGGAGAATTTGTTACCTAGGGGAGCCCTTGTGGTAGCTTCCTCCAGTGGACAGCAAACCCCCACGACTATACTTAAGCTATACTAGCTTGTCTCTCTATTCATTCTCATTTTCTTTGAAAACTCCCAGGAATGTTTTATTCTTCTCTAACTGCATTTAAGCTGTAAACAGGAAACCTACAATAATCATATAATAATAACCACAAAACCCACATAGCTGAAAATTTTTTTAAAACACTAAGTATCTCATGACTCAGAGGATAGATTTTGCTGAAAGATATGAAATACTTTATTTGGGAGGATATCTGTGGAGTAATGCTCCAAGTAGTAGAGTCTACTGCTGCAGACTCTGTGGGGACAACATGTTCCTAATATGTAAGTTCCAGACTCTTCAAACACTACTCTAGCCCCAGATAAAATAGCAAAAGGGTGAGCTTCCAATTAGTAGGAGTGCAGAAACAGATAATTATGCAAGCAATTACAACAAACTGATGTGCTCTACCTAACACTTTAAGAGAATGAAGGTAGGCTAAAAGAGGATTTGGCAGGGAAAACTAGCCTAATGGAGGGGTGACAGAGAAAGCTTGCCTGAGGAAGTGCTCTGCAAGCTGAAATAACCAGAAGATCCCCAGAGGAAGGCAGAGTGTGTGTTTGGGGGGAATATTAAACAAAGATGGGAAAACATGGCTAAGGTTCTGTGAGCCAAAGACAATACAGATAACCTGGTGGCCTTGATTGTCTCAACCCCTTCTCTACAGGGGCCACATTTTATTTTCTGGATTTGACCTGAATTTCAATACATTCCAGTGTTTGGATGTGTATCAATGTTTTCAAGCAACTTCCTTCTGATGGGCATTTAGATCATTTGAAGTTTTCTGCTCCTGCCAAGAAAACTAGAGTGATAACATTGTTCAAAAATCTTTGTATGCCTGTGTTGTTATTTCCTAGGAATAAACAATTTTTTTTTTTGAGACAGGGTCTTCCTCTGTCGCCTAGGCTGGAGTGCAGTGGCACTATCTCTGCTCACTGCAACCTCCACCTCCCAGGTTTAAATGATCCTTTCACCTCAGCCTCCTGAGTAGCTGGGACTACAGGCACACGCCACCATGCCAAGTTAATTTTTATATTTTTTGTAGAGATGGGGTTTCGCCATGTTGCCCAGGCTGGTCTCAAATTCCTGGACCCAGGCAATCCACCCGCCTCAGCCTCCCAAAGTACTGGGATTATGGGATGACCCACTGCCCCTGGTTGGAATAAATAATTTGAAGGGAAGTTACCGTATCTGAGGGTTTTTGTGCTTATACCATTGGTGCTTATTCCCAGGCTGTACAGTCCTACCTGCAAGGGTGCTAATGCTGGTTCACCACATCCTCACTGTGGTAGGTATTCTCTAAATATGGCCATCATCAAGAACTTCCTTCCCTGTCTGCACTCATTGATTGTCATGCTATGAGATGGAGTCTAACTCCCTTCCCCTTGAATATGGGCTGTGTTGGAGCAATAGAACGTGGCAGAAGTGATGCATGTTTCTTCCAAGTCTAGGTCATAAGAAGACTTAATTCCACCCATGTCTCCTAAAACTCTCACTCTTGGAGTGTTCCTTCTGAGAACACAAACATCATGCTAAGAGAACCCCAAGAGATAGGGAAAGGCCAGGTGGAGGATACAAAGTTGTAAACCTCAAATAAGCCAACAGTCAGCATGAAAATCCAGTCATGTGAGTGAGTCTACTTGGAAGTCCAGGCCAGTGGAGCCTTTGGAACACCACAGTTGCCATTCATAACTGACTACAACTGCATGAGAGACCCCAAGAAAGCTGATACCCGCCAACCCATAGAACTATGTGGGACACAGATACATTTTTTGCTTGAAGCCGCCAAGTGGTGGAGCATTTTTTAAAATGTAGCAACAGATAACTGGATCATTCACCATCACTTTTTCTCTTTTATTTAATTATCTTACCCTGTGAGTAGGTATAAGGAGGATGATCAGATTTTAGCCCATATATAGAATATCTCTTATGCCCTTGTTTAATTAAAGAAATGAGATCCAGGCAATCCTACTGATTAGATATTAGGTGACTGGTATAATGATGAGTCAGAAGTTGTCATCGCCCAGGACCCCAGGACCAAACACTAGAACCTTCTAACATATTTTACTATTTCTTGATGTAAGACATTATAGGACAGGGTTTAATAAAACTGGCTTTGGAATGAAGCAGATCTGAGTTAGAATCTGAGCTCCAGCACTTACTACTTCTGTGAACTTAGGCAGTTACTATGATTCTGTGGACCTCCATTTCCTGATTGGCTAACTGGGATGATGGGAACAGTTAAAAGATAAGTGAAGGCACATCTTTTGATGCTGTGTCTGGTACGTTAGAAGGAGTAAGTAAATGAGAACTGTTATTGCTATTATTATTAGTAGTAGTAGTAGTAGTAGCAGCAGCAGCAGTAACAATAGCAGTAGCAGCAACAGTATTGTGATTTATTAAATGCCCAATATATTCTAGGTATTGTTATCATTATATAAGGGTTTTTTAGTCAAAAGCAGTTTGAATCTCTTCTTGTCTGCCTGGAACATGGCATCAATTCTAGATCCATATCACCCTCTTCCACGCTTCCTTGATCAGGGAAGATATAGCTTTTCTCTGCAGGATAACTTGTAGGAGGCCAGCCCTGGTTATAGCCTCCATGAGTCTTGTCTGGGTGAGGCCTTGAGACCTAATTCCATTTCTCCTGCTCTCCTGGAGGTGGGAAACATGGAGACCCAAACAGCCCAGCCATGGCCTGGGAAAAGTCATGCACACTGTGCCTGGGTAAGCCACACATCAGCATGGAGGACTATGCCAGGACAGCTGGGCTTCTAGTCTATCCTTGGTCCAGAAAAAGGGCATTGAGTGTAGGGGCAAGATTTATGTCATTTTTTCATTTCCTTTTTTTTCTGCAGACCGTACTACTCTTAGTTGTTCTGTGCTAAGCGGAATTAAAATGACAAACTGTAAATGAGTGAAGACCTCACAGACAGATTTCACAGATGTGTCTGGAGAAAATGGTACCATTTCCTCCCTGGGTTTGTGGGACCTTTTGTAAGTGCCAATGGGATGGGTGAGACCTCTTTGAAGTCTCTGAATGGGATCTGAGATTCCTGCCGGACAAATGTACAGAAAGTCTGAGCCCTGAACAAAGGGCTTTTCCTACTTTTAAACATCTTAAGGCGGGAACTACGTGAGGCAGGAAGCAAGTTACAGAAGCAAGAAACAAAGGCAGCATTTACAACATTTCTTACATCTTGAGAGAAACATGTCTTGCAACCTAAACTTATCGGTCTTGCGACCCTGCAGCCGTGCAGGAACTCGCTGGGCCTGTAATAAACTTTGAGGAATGTGGAGCTGGGGAGTATAGATAAGGTCCACTGTCCACAGAGAGAAGACAGGCTGTTAATATTCTCTTTTAACTTGACTGTAAGGTCGGGGGGGGTCATATTTTGCAGCAACTTTAAGAGGATTTTAAAATATCTATTACTACTATTAGGTTATAGTTGATTTCATTAATTCCTTCTTCAATTTAAAGCTATGGAGTTTGTGACAAATTGTTATGGCAGCAATGGAAGGTTAATTCAATAGGGAAACACATTTCTCATATTGAAGTAATCAGAGAATCTCATTCTAGAACATATGAGGTATCATTAGACATGTTTCAATATTTTTGATCTCCTTCATTAGCTTATACTTCTTTAAACAAGTTTGTCAGGAATATCTAGTGAGTGAATGACTCCTTGGATAACCAGTTTGCCTGTGTGGAGCAGATATTGGGCATCAGAGTTGCACTGTTATTGGAAATTTGGTCATATGATAATATGTCAAACAATCAAGTGCTCATGGCTTTGCTTGGCTCCATGGCTTTGTTTGGCTCCATTGCTCCAAGAAAAATAAGAAAGGATTTCCATATGGCAATGAGCAGTATTTATTAACAATGCTCAATAACTGGTGTGTGTGAATATGGAAAATCAAACAGGTGTTATCTCCTGCAAGGGAACTCCTGACATTTGATAAAATCCACTATTGTAGGGTGTTGTGAATAGATTTAAAGGGGAGCAGTGGGTTTCCAATTGATCACTGCATATGGATAGCATTTTTAATTTGTGTTTGATACTCAGTGTAACAGGCTGGTTAACACTTTGGCAGCAGTGATCCATTCATTTCTCATTAACCCACTCTGTGGATGGAGAATGGATTAAAGCTTAACGTTTTAGTAGCAATCCAGCCTATAAAAGAAGAAAGGCCTCATGTATTTATTATACTTAGCAGATTTGAAGAATGTAAAGGAGTGAACCAAGATAAGGAGGAAGTATGGGTGACGAATGTGAATCAAAACAGATGACCATATCATGATGGGTAACATTCACAAGATTAGTAACATTCACAATGCAAAGGACTTTGCATTTCAAGAGACATAGGTTGAAAATGTGTTCCACCACTTAAGTTGCTTAACCTCTCTGTTCCTCAGTTACCTCATCTGCAAGTGGGGATTATAATATTATACATCATAGCGTGTCCTGAGAGAAGCTGTTCCCGACCACTTGGGCTAAGGGGCCCCCCTCTGTGTTTCGAGCCTCCCCTTTCTCATGCCCACCATGGTTTTCATCTGTTGTTTTGTCATTATCTTCAATATGGCTCCCCGTCCCCACCAACTGTGAGCTCTTTGAGGTCTATTAACCTGCAGAAAACATGGATGTGTGAGAAAAGTCCACCAAAGCACAGATCCTGGAGCCTGGTGCTCACTGATGCTCTGACACATTTATGTATGAGTGATGATGACCCATGCCACTCAGTACAGTGTAGCTATTTTTTTGGGGGGGGTAGGGGGATGGAGTCTCGCCCTGTCACCCAGGCTGGAGTGCAATGGTGCTATCTCAGCTCACTGCAACCTCTGCCTCCTGCGTTCAAGCGATTTTCCTGCCTCAGCCTCCTGAGTAGCTGGGATTACAGGTGTGTGCCACCACTCCAGGCTATTTTTTTTTTTTTTTTGTATCTTTAGTAGAGGTGGGGTTTCACCATGTTGGCCAGGATGGTTCCGAACCCCTGACTTCGTGATCCACTTGCCTCGGCCTCCCAAAGCGCTGGGATTACAGGCGTGAGCCACCGCACCTGGCCCACTGTAGCTATTTTTATACAACTAATAAACATCAGTTAGTGTGTTGGAAATAATATACCGTAAATGACTGAATACAGCAAATCTTTCAGCTCAACTTTCTATTAATATAGAGGGTTTATGTGTTTTTTATCCCCACACCTTGTTCAGAACCTTATCATACCACTATAAAACACACATTTTCCCTTTCACAGTGCATCTTGGACAATGCAGTTTGAAGCTGCTATGAGTACTTCTTTGGAGCCTTCCTGTATACAATGAATTGATATAGCAGAGTAGGACTGCAATAAATACTTATTGGAAGAATGCAACATTCCTGTCTGTTATTTTTACTTTGTAGATGGGAGGCATATGTGCCATTTAGGCTTATCTCAGCAGGTTCAAGAACGTGAACCCAGTGATTATGGGACTTGGAAAGTCCAGGTAACATTTTTCACTTCTACAGAAAGGCCACTCTGCTTACTTTCCTCCTGCCTCTTTTGGTCACTCCTTCTCAGTCTGTTTCCTTGAACCCTTCCCCTTGCCATTACATATATATATATATATATATATATATATATATATATATATATATATATATTTGACTATGTTACAGTATTCTCTAGGGGTCTTACCTTACAGTGTATCAATTGGGTCATGCTCCTGATGATCATCAGTGATGCCAAAAATACAAAAGTGCCACATAACATAATCATTCTAGCAATGGTTTTCAGAAATGTCCTGTTCCCATGCCACCTGGATGTGGAATCCAGATGGTGGCCTGAGAAGAGGCTCTAGTCTTTGGCTCCAGGCATAAGTCTCAGAACATGCCAGAATAGAGATTTACCTTTGAATCATAATTATACTGCAAAATAAGGAAGAGGAACCTTAGACCTGAGAAGTTATGGGCAATTCCTGAATCAGATTGACTGAGAAAACCCCAAGCAAACACTAAAGAGGCATAGGAAAAGAGAGCTGTAAAAGTACACAGTAACTCAAGGGGGAATTACAAATGTGAACTGAGTTCACAGGTCAGAAGTTGGGATACTGAAGAAGGGACAGTATTGGGGGCAGGCAGTGGGGCCCCACTCCCCACTATGGAAAGCAGTTGGAAGCATAGGCTCCTGCCTGCAGGTGCAAGTACCTTCCACCTTCACATTAGTGCTGGTGTCCTTTGCTTAGATGTTCCATGTTTCTTTCTTTGTTCTCCAGTGTCTACTATGGATGACTATGAACAGCACTGTTATGACTCTAGTATGGGGCCCAGAGCACCACTGCGCCATTTCAAAATGGTATGAAGGTTAAGATGTGTGTCCTGCTTTTTATGACATGTAAAGGATTAAATCTGTTTTCCTCATACAGCCCTCTGGAAAGTACCCAGCCAGTCACAAGGACAGTCTCCTCATGAGAAAATAAGTACTACTCTGGGAAAATCTGTTTTTGATGACGTATATCCAGGGGTCTGTTGCAGCAAAAAAATAACTTCTTGTGTACCCAGAAAAGATTTCTGAACAGGTAAGTTCATGTGAACTCAGTTCCTCTGGTGGGATCTCAACAGAGAGTTTGAGAATTAAAGTGACCCTGAATGGTTCTTCCCCTGTCTCAGGGAAAGATGGGGAAGGATAATAATATATTTACTCCTAATTCAAAGGCCTAAACTTGAACAGAGGACTCAGGCTGCAGGTATGTTGTGGGGAGATGTTATTAATCACGATATGTTGCCCTAAACTGAAGTGTAGCAATTGTGTCCTGTGTGCCAGGCACTTTGCAGAGTATTTCACATGCTTTACCTCATTTAATCATCTCCAATAATTCTATAAGGTAGGTACAATCATTATCCCCAGTTGACAAATGAGCTTCCAAGGCCCAGAGAGGTCACACAACTTGCTCAAAGACACAGCTTGTGAATGTGTGATCTGGGATATAAACCCAGGCTGTGGCTCCAGAGCTTGCATTCCAGATGGCTTTCCCCACTGCCTCTAAGGAATGGATGTTAAGGGCTAAGAGACAGTCCCACGAGTCAGGGTTACACTTGCAAGCACCAACATTTATATTCCTTATATCATATAATCCTCAACACAAGAGGTGTGAGTGTATAAATATGCTTACTTTTTAGAGAGATCTCAAGATAGAATTGTTAGGGAGCTGAGACTGAGGCTCTGGATTGTATGGGTGTTTTCCCTAACATCAGGCGGCTCTGAAGGGATCTACTGCCTCGTTCTAGAAGCCACATTGTGTTAGCCAGTCATCCTTCTTTTATCCCTTCTCTTCGACAAGCTCAAACGCTTTTGTACCTATTCTGCTAGATATTTGTTGGGGGCAAAGCCAGAACCAGAAGACAACACAATCCCTGTCTTTGAAGCATAGACATTCTATTCAGGGTCAGAAAATCAATGCACAAAATAATTAATAAACACTTAATTGATTCCTTATGGGTCAAATTCCAGTAGGTCAGAGAAGATATATGAAGTGCTTAGAATACTTCAAACCATTAGATGTGTTACTACTTCTGCAGTGGTGTTTGATGCCAACTGTTGCTTATAAATTATAAATAATTTTCCTTGGCATCATTCTCCTCACATCACTCCGCCACTATCACTCCACCCAAGAAATTATTTAAACTTAAATATCCAGTATTGATATCATCAGAACATCTTGTTTTGCTGTTTTTCAAAAATTATTTATATATTTTAATGCACACATAAAAATTGTATATATTTATCAAGTAAAACATGATTTTTTTTTTTGAGATGGAGTATCACTATGTTGTCCAGGCTGGTCTCAAACTCTTGGGCTCAAGCAATTCTCCCACCTCAGCCTCCTGAGTGAGGCAGTGCTCCTTTTGCAGGGGCACTAGCTGCAGGGAGTCTGTCCCTTGCAGACCCCTGGCCCAGCAACAGATGAATCAAGTATATTGACACACAGATATTCTGCTTCGCCAGTGCAGCTGAGGGTCCGAGGCCACTCACAGACTCCAAGGAGAGTCCTGTAAACAATGGCAGCCGTGGCCCTGAGCAGCTCGCACTTCAGGCATTTATTTGGAATAGAATTAACAAAAGAAGCTTGGAGTAAACACACTCGTGGATAATTAACATGATTAAGAGAGAAGTTTTATGAATGATTAAAGCTCAGGTACTGTGATCTAAAGTAAATACCACTAGGGTGCAATTTCCCTGGTCGACCTTCCCTCTCCCCCCCCATAGGGCCATCTGGCTCAAAGGTTAGTTAATGGAGGTAGGATAAACAGACTTAACTGGGGAAGCCTCTATTGTCCCTAGTATTTACCCTATGACCTAATGCCCTAAGGTAAGAACAAGCCGCCTTCAGCCTGTTCAATTATTACAAGCTATGTAACCTTTCGGCCTTCCAAAAAGGTTTGTGACTATTCCCTATAACTTTCCCTAATATTTCTGCCACCATCCTGAGCAAATTCCAACACCTGAGTAGCTAGGATTACAGGGGAACACTACTGTGCCTGGTTTACATGATGTTTTGAGATACATCTTCATTGTTGAATGGCTTAATCAAGCTAACTAACACAGGCATTACTTCACATACTTAGCATTTTTTGTGTGTGGAGGGAACACAAAATCTTCTAGCTATTTTCAAGAATACAATACATTGTCATTATTATAGTCAACATGATGTACAATAGATTTTTTTTCAAAGTGAAAGCAAGTTTATTAAGAAAGTAAAAGAAAATGAAAATGGCTACTCCATAAACAGAGCAGCCCCAAGGGCTGCTGGTTGCCCATTTTTATGGTTATTTCTTGATGATATGCCAAACAAGGGGTGGATTATTCACGCTTCCCCTTTTTAGGCCATATAGGGTAACTTCCTGATGTTGCCATGGCATTTGTAAACTGTCATGGCACTGGTGGGAGTGTAGCAGTGAGGACAACCAGAGGTCACTCCCGTTGCCATTTTGGTTTTGGTGGGTTTAAGCCAGCTCCTTTACTGCAACCTGTTTTATCAGCAAGGTCTTTATGACGTGTCTTTTGTGCCGACCTCCTATCTCACCCTGTGACTTAGAATGCCTTAACCATCTGGGAATGGAGCCCAGTAGATTTCAGCCTCATTTTACCCAGCTCCAATTCAAGATGGGGTAGTTCTGGTTCACATGCCTCTGACATTTCCCCCCTCCCTTTTATAAGTGAACCCTTAACCCTAAGGGTTGTAGAGGGATGAAGATCCATCTTCTGTAACTTCTTCAGGTTGAGCAGGGGCGACGATATTCCTGCCTAACTATTAGGGTCTCTTGTGTTCAGGGTAGAGAGGAACTCAGTTAGAAAGCATCAGTATATTGAGGGCCATTTATGATTCTTGAGTTTTGACAAGAGGTGATATCTGGAAGATTAATACGTGTTTAGTTTAAGAAAACATTCAGTAAGCTTGTCCTGTATTCCTACACAAAGAGTATAACAGCAATATATTCCACAAGAGTAAAGCAAAATAGGTAAAGTTATTCCAAGTAAACTAAATTAGAAAGTTTTTCATGAACTGAGCAACTATTGGAATTAAGCTGATATGGGTTTGTTAGCTGATTGTAATGTGCCCAGAATTAGAATACTGATCCAGATTTTTACATTACCCATCATCCCTCTTGTTTCTTCTGAGCAGCAGTCAGAGATCACTGGTTGGTTTACAGGCATAAGCAGGGTTAGCCTAAATTGCAGAAACAAACTTAAAAACAACTGATGAGATTAGAATTTAATAACAAGTGTGCCACAGTTCTTGAAACATAACTAAAAGGCAGTACACTTTTTACTTTCCTGAAAAAATATTTGATTTAAGCTCTTATTTTCAAACTAACTAAAGCTCTTTCATATATAAACATCACACACATAACGCATATAAATACATAGACAGATAGAAGATAAAGGATCATCCCCTAAGCTGGGAATTGAACCCTGAACCCAGGCTGCCATTGTGAAAAGAGAAAGCATGGCCACATCGTTACAAGGTCAAGCTCCCAAGGGCATAACTGACCAGAGGGAAACATCCAGTTTACACACACACATACACACACACACACAGAGAGAGAAAGTGCCAGAAATCTGACTGGTAAGAAATTCTTATCCTTTTGCTGGCATGCCAGGCTTCTGAGTTCCCTTTCCCTGAGCAGGCCTAGTGACCCGGCTGGCTACACCATAGCCCTAGGCACCAAGCAACAACACAAAGGAAAAATTATCTTTTTCTGTTCTGGCCAGAGCAAAATCCATGTGAAAAAATATAGACATTACCCACTCTGGTTAGCACCCACAATTAAACTCGCAAGGTTTAAACTTTTCCCTGGTTGGGCCCTGTCATTGTTAATCCAGCCTCCGACCAGGAGTTTCAACATGTGGTTTCTGGGCAAGATTGTTGCCCTGAGTAATAGAAAAGAAAGAGAAAGGAGAGAAAGAAAAGCATTGCCTGTGGCAGGGTGGGGACGGCGAAATGATCAGGGAAGCCAGAGAAAGACCCACCCATTGCAGTGACACTGAAAAGTTCAGGCGGCTGCTGCCAGTTGAGCAGGGATCTTTTCCAGCAATCCTATCAGCTCTCGAGTTTCCCCTTTTAGGGAGGAAAAAGCTTCCCATGTCCCACAATCCTGTACATGCCTAATCTTATCACCCATAGCCATCAGCAAAGAATGCAAGGCAGATTAATCCAAAGAGAATAGCAGTTCACATTCCACAGTGCCGAACCCGTTCTTAGCTGAGAGGGACTTTACCGACAGGAGCCTCTAACCCCCTGAATCTTAGAAGGGACCCTAACCCTCCTAAGTCAGGCCTCTAACCCAAGGTCAGTCAAGCATCCTTGCCTTTTATTAAGAGGGGCCTCTAACCCACTCTGTCTTAGGAGAGACTCTAACTCCCCTAAGTTGGGCCTCTAACCCAATCCCATTCTTTACTCAAGTACCCCACCACTTACCCAAAGTCATCCAATCAGTGCTGCACTCTATTTCCTTTGGGTTGGTGGGGGTGGTTTCTTCAGTATTGTCCCTTCAGGATTCACCAGAAAGATGTTACAGGACCCCAACACTTACCCAAAGTTAGCCGTTGAGTCAGGGTTTCTGCACTATAGTCCCTTCTGTGGTTGCCAGAAATATGTTACAGGACAGGGGTCTGGATCCAGACCCCAAGAGAGGGTTCTTGGATCTCATGCAAGAAAGAATTTAGGGCGAGTCCACAGTGCAAAGTGAAAGCAAGTTTATTAAGAAAGTAAAAGAATAAAAGAACAGCTACTCCATAGACAGAGCAGCATACAATAAACCTCTTGAATTTATTCCTCCTATCTGAAACTTTGCATTCTTTAACCAATATCTCCCCACTCACTCCCCAGCCCTGGTAACCCCATTCTACTCTTTGCTTCTAGGTTCAACTTTCTAGATTCACATGTAAGTGAGATCATGCAATATTTTTCTTTCTGTGCCTAGCTTATTTAACTTAAATAATGGCCACCAGGTTAATCCATGTTGTTGCATGTAACAAGATTTCTGTCTTTCCTTCTTTTTAAAGGCTGAATACTATTCCACTGTGTACATATGCCACCACAATGTTCTCCAACTCGCCTTGCCACTATTTCTTGCTGAGCTTCATTTTCCCCCTGTATACATTAGGGTTCATAGTTTATATTACAGTGTTGATGTGTTCAACACATCGTGATTGGAAATAATAATCATTGTCATTACTCTTGATAGTCATTTAATGGGAGGGAATGATCAGATTGCACTGGAATTGCATTCATATTTAGAGGGGTAATATTAATATTAATATCTGTTATAAATACTGACAACAGAACAGGGAGTGACTGGGAATTTGAAGCACTTATAAACTTGAGGCTTGATGAGGTGGCATAAAGGAAACTACAAAGGAATCCGGCTCCTACTTCCTGCCTCAGGGCTCCTCTCCATGCTGGGTGTGGACCATTTGACTAATAAGGGTGGCACCTGCTCAATCAAGAACGACTGCTAGGGTGCTGGTCTAGGCAACTAGGTGGATGTTGGTGACCACATCCAAGCAATTTCCTTCCTCAGTGTCTTGGCAACTTGTACTGTTCTCTCATTGACTATCTCCTCTCCTCTTAGCTTCAATCAACCAGGAAAGCAGCAATAATAAAGGCTGTAGTTCACTCAGCACCCTCTCTGTACCAAGCACTTCATTCATTCCAGATATAAACATTAATTGAGGGCCTTTCTTTTCGGTGTATACACAGTAGTGGAATTGCTGTATCATATGATAGTTCTATTTTTTTTTTTTTTTTTTAGTTTTTTGAGGCACTTCCATACTGTTTAAAAATCAAAATAAAATATTTTACAAATATTTTCAAGCAGACAGACATATCAAGTATAATAAATAGATTCTACTTTTAAGTACCCTTTTCTGAGCCAGAATTAAATCTTGGTCCATTCAGAAAATTTTAAATCCACCTTCTTCATATTCTTTCTAGTAAAATTTAAGTGTTTCTGCTTATAATTTGCAAGTAACAGGAAACTGGCCCAGCATTTAAATCTGTCTACTAACTTCACCCCAGTAACTGACCTTTCACTGTGACCTTCCACAGTTGTTCCCAGCAATGTCAATATCTTTACTTGAAACATGTGATGGAAAGTTCACAGGCTCTAGAGCCATACATTGTCCATTATTACAAAAAAAAAAAAAGGCTACTGTAAACATCTTTGATCATAAGTCTTTTTACATTCAATCAGTTATTTCTTAGAATCAATTTTAGAAGGGAAAATGTGGCTATTTCTAAAAAGCCTAAAATGGACAGGCCCTGTGCTAATCACTCATACACAATGCAACAAGAAATAGTGGATTTTATTCTTTTTTAATTGAAGTAAAAATATACATATAAAATTTATCATCTTTATCATTTTTACCTGTACAATTCAGTGGTAATGAATACATTTATTTTCTTTTTTCCCTTCATCCCTCTCTCCCTTTAACCTTCCTGGCCTCTCATAATCACCATTCTCCTCTCTACCTTCAGGCCACCACCCACTTTTTTAGCTTTCACATGAGAACATGAAATATTGTCTTTCTGTGTTTTATTTCACTCAACATAAACGGTTCCAACCATGTTGCTGGAAATGACAGAATTTCATTCTTTTTTACAATGAAATGATATTCCATTGTATATATGTACCACATTTTCTTTCCATTCATCTGTTGATGAAAACTTGGGTTGATTCCATGTCTTTGCTATTGTGAATAGTGCTGCAATAAACATGGGACTGCAAATGTCATTTTTATATATTGATTTATGTGAATAATGTCATTGGTATTTTGATAGGAATTGCACTGAATTTGTCAATTACTTTGAGAAATGTGGTCATTTTAACAATATTAATTCTTTCAATTCATGAGCACGGAATATATTTCCATGTTTAAGTCTCAATTACATTTATGTATGTTCTGATCTTTATTGTTTATTTTCTTCTACTAATTTGTGGTTTGGTTTGTTCTTTCTTTTCCAGTTCCTGGAGATGCATCATTAGGTTGTTTATTTGAAGACTTTCTACTTTTTTGACAGGAGCATTTATTGGTATAAACTTCCCTCTTAGTGCTTTTGCCATATCCCATAGATTTTGGTATTTGCTTCAAGAAATTGTAAACAATTTGGAGCATGTTTGTATAAGGTGTAAGGAAGGGATCCAGTTTCAGCTTTCTACATATGGCTAGCCAGTTTTCCCAGCACCATTTATTAAATAGGGAATCATTTCCCCATTTCTTGTTTTTGTCAGGTTTGTCAAAGATCAGATGGTTGTAGATGTGTGGTATTATTTCTGAGGGCTCTGTTCTGTTCCATTGGTCTATATATCTGTTTTGGTACCAGTACCATGCTGTTTTGGTTACTGTAGCCTTGTAATACAGTTTGAAGTCAGGTAGCTTGATGCCTCCAGCTTTGTTCTTTTTGCTTAGGATTGTCTTGGCAATGCGGGCTCTTTTTTGGTTCCATATGAACTTTAAAGTAGTTTTTTCCAATTAACAAATGGGATCTAATTAAACTAAAGAGCTTCTGCACAGCAAAAGAAACTACCATCAGAGTGAACAGGCAACCTACAGAATGGGAGAAAATTTTTACTATCTACCCATCTGACAAAGGGCTAATATCCAGAATCTACAAAGAACTTAAACAAATTTACAAGAAAAAATCAAACAACCCCATCAAAAAGTGGGCAAAGAATATGAACAGACACTTCTCAAAAGAAGACATTTATGCAGCCAACAGACACGTGAAAAAATGCTCATCATCACTGGCCATCAGAGAAATGCAAATCAAAACCACAATGAGATATCATCTCACACCAGTTAGAATGGCGATCATTAAAAAGTCAGGAAACAACAGGTGCTGGAGAGGATGTGGAGAAATAGGAACATTTTTACACTGTTGGTGGGACTGAAAACTAGTTCAACCATTGTGGAAGACAGTGTGGCGATTCCTCAAGGATCTACAACTAGAAATACCATTCGACCCAGCCATCCCATTACTGGGTATATACCCAAAGGATTATAAATCATGCTGCTATAAAGACACATGCACACGTATGTTTATTGCAGCACTATTCACAATAGCAAAGGCTTGGAACCAACCCAAATGTCCAACAATGATAGACTGGATTAAGAAAATGTGGCACATATACACCATGGAATACTATGCAGCCATAAAAAATGATGAGTTCATGTCCTTTGTAGGGACATGGATGAAGCTGGAAACCATCATTCTCAGAAAACCACTGCAAGGACAGAAAACCAAACACCGCAATGTTCTCACTCATAGGTGGGAATTGAACAATGAGAACACATGGACACAGGAAGGGGAACATCACACACTGGGGCCTGTCGTGGGGTGAGGGGAGTGGGGAGGGATAGCATTAGGAGATAAACCTAATGTAAATGATGAGTTAATGGGTGCAGCACACCAACATGGCACAAGGATACACATGTAACAAACCTGCACGTTGTGCACATGTACCCTAGAACTTAAAGTATGTAAAAAAAACCCATAAAGTTTTAAAAAAAACAATTAGGAGCATGTTGTTTAATTTCCATGTGTTTGTGTATTTTCCAAGGTTCCTCTTGTTATTGATTGCTAGTTTTATTCCATTATGGTCAGAAAAGATCCTTGATATAATTTCTGTTTTTAAAAATTCATTTAGGCTTCTTTTGTGGCCTAAGATATGATGTATTCTGGAGAATATTTCATGTGCTGATGAAAAGAATGTGTCTTCTTCAGTAATTGGATGAAATGTTCTATAAATGTCAGTTAGGCCTATTAAATCTAGTGTGTAGTTTAACTCTGATATTGTTGTTATTGTTGATTTTCCATCTAGATCATTTGTCCATTACTGATGGTGGAGTGTTAAAGTCCCCCACTAATATTGTATTGCAGTATATCTCTCCCTTTGGATTTATTAATGTGTGCTTTGTAGACTTGGGAGCTTGCGTGTTGGGTGCATAGAAACTTGTAATTGTTATATCCTCTTGCTGAGTTGACCCCCCTTTATCATTATATAGTGATCTTTTTTGTCTCTCTTTAAAATCTTACATTTGTAGTCTATTTTATCTGATAAAAGTATAGCTTATCCTGACCTTTTTTGGCTTCCAGTTGCATGGAATATCTTTTTCCACCCCTTCACTTTCAGGCTATGTGTGTTTTTATAGGTGAACTAAGTCTCCTGAAGGCAGCATATAGTTGGGTTAACACCCCAACTACTTCTTTATCCATTCAGCCACTCTGTGCCTTTTAATTGGAGAATTAAGACCATTTACATTCAGTGTTATTATTGTTCAGTAAGGACTTACTACTGGCATTTTGTTGCCTGTTTTCTGGTTGTTTTGACTTCTCTCTTCCTTTCTTCCCTTATTACTTTCTACCTTTGTGGTTAAGTGATTTCTCTGGTAGTACGTTTTAATTTGTTGCTTTTAATTTTTAGTGAATCTATTATAGATTTTTGTGCCATTGTTGTCATGAGGCTTACACAAAATTGTACAGATATAACAAGTTATGTTAACGATACAACTTATAAATAAAAATAATAGAAACCAATGAAGGCAAAAACACACAAAATTTCTATACTTTAACTCCACCTCCTCCCCATTTTGCTGAGGTTGGGGGAAGTGAATTCAGCTTGCTTCTATACCACCATGTTAAGACCAGAAGTTATTATTCTTTAGTTACAGGGAGAAAACAGGTTCAGAGAGTTAGAGGGTCTTGCCAAGAGCCACTTCTTCCTCTAATGCAGTGTTCTCAGCTTTTCTTCCATTCATCACCCACTTCATTGGGATCCTGAACACGAATCACCCACTCCCAATGCATGTGTCCATGTCTAGCAATTATAAATATATAACCCATATATTGTCTGGATCAGTTGAGCTCATGCCCAATTCTGTCCCCAGAGATATTGCAGCTTCATGCTGGATGGAGTTTGTTCCAGGCTGTCATATGGTCTGTGCCTTTTTTGCTACTGTTATCACAACATTCGATGCTTTCCATGACCTAATCCTGACTACATTTTCATTCCCAGCCCCCTTTACTCTTGGATTCACAATTATTATTGACATTGGTTTTGGTATAATATAGAACACAAATGAATTCCAATCCTGGCCCTGACACTTAAGTCATTCTGCCATTAAGCCTCAGTTTCTTCATCTGCAAAATAACAATAATCTTACCTACTTTGTAAGTTGCAGGGAGGATTAGTAAGTTAATGGATCTAAAACTCCCAACTCTCAGTACCTGGCCCACAGGCTACACTAAATAAGTGGTTTTTATTATCTGTCACATATCTCTGTATCACTGACACAGGGGAGGTCATGAGACAGGCACTCAGTAAGTGTGTGTAAGACTGAATTAGAGGGAAATCTTGCAAAAGACTGGAAGAGTAAAATGTAGGAAATCACCCACCAAATGGAATCTGTGGCCAATGACTTTCTCTTTCGGTTCACTTTCCTTTTTTCAAGTCTTTTGCTTGTCTTAAGAAAGGATGTGGGCTGGTGAAGGAAACTCTAGGTAATGAGCAATTTGAGCACATATTTGTTCCAAGGAATATTGAATATTTAAGCCTCTAGAGTGAGTAACTGTAGCTGAGGGAGAGAGGAGTCATAAGGAGCTGAATTAGCTGGGGCTTGCTTTTATTGCTTTCATTCTTCCAGTCCAAATAAATGAAAATGTAAATGCATCACTGTCCCTAGTATCTTACCTCCTAGGATCAGGAATACATTTATTCGTGGGGCCTAAGAATCTCGAGGTGCCCATTGAGATAGGACTGCCTCGTATTACATGCAACTAATGGAGGGAGTCTGAGGTGTTTTTCTTTTTTTTTTTTTTTTTTTTTTTCCGAGTCTTGCTCTGTCACCAGGCTGGAGTACAGTGATGCGATCTCAGCTCACTGAAACCTCCACCTCCCAGGTTCAAGCAATTCCCCTACCTCAGCCTCCCGAGTAGGTGGGACTACAGGTGCATGACACTACACTGGATAATTTTTTGTATTTTAGTAGAGACGGGGTTTCACCATGTTGGCCAGGATGGTCTCGATCTCCTGACCTCGTGATCTGCCCACCTTGGCCGCCCAAAGTGCTGGGATTACAGGCATGAGCCACCGTGCCTGGCCTGAGATTTTTTTGTAAGCCAAAGAGTAGGCTTTTTGAGGAGCAGTGCTGCAAAAGATCTCAGTATTTGTAACTTTAGAAATTGTGATATGTACTCTCCACTTGAAGATGTGTGATCCTGAGGTTTCTTGTGGCATGTGTAATCCAGTGGGGATAAAATAGGGTTAAAGCCAATATTTCCCCATTTTTGGACTACATTATTTGCTTATGTTGGTGCTTACCAAAAGAAATTACTAAATAAATTTATTAGATTTCAGTTGCTGAAATTATCAGGGACTCTTCCTGAAATGTGTGTAGGTGTTTTTATAGGCATTCCAGGAATAATATGCAACATAACATGTTTTAAACACAATCTTTGTGTTTCTAATATATGTTTTTTTCTTTGAGCGGCTGGAAGATCAGCAGTGGGAAAGTTCAAGGTTACCCCAGAAGAAAAAAAAGTTAGTAGAATGCATGAGACAGAGATATATCAAGCCCATGGCACCTTATCAGGTTGACAGAAAAGCAAAAGCCTCCTTCTCACGTGATACAGATCAGAAGAGATTCAAATGTGAATGCCACTGCTGCCAGGGGTATATGGGAAACACTTCTGGGATCTCAACCAGGAAGAAAGTAACCTCCCATTCTTCCTGGGATAACCTAACACAAGAACTCAATAACTTGATGCTCAATCCTGGAACTATCCAGCCTACTCTCCTACAAGAAAGGGCACAGGAAAGAAAGAAGAAGAACCCAAAACAGAAGCCTGAAACAGAAGCATCATTTCAGAGGCTCCTATAAACATAAGCAGAAAAACTCTTGAGACTACCATCCTCAGGTAAAGGAAGATCAAAATAAATGGGGTCATGAACGTCAACATTACCAACTGCTTGAGTGGAATCCTTTTGAAAACATGGTCAGGAGGAGTAACAGCATCCAGTCTTATGACAAAGAATCACATCAGCTGGCAATTCAATCCAATTGTGGCATCAGCATCTGTCCTCCAGTATTTTAGCATCACCCTGGCATATGCTGGAAGCAGTTGCTTTTTGGCAATGGCAACCGGGTAGCAATGATTCTATACTCTTGGTAATATTGTTTTCATGGTGCAAGCTGTCATTTTCCCTCCTTAGGTTTCAGTCTTTCCTCCCTTACCATGTTGACAATAAGGTATAAAGCATCTACGCAGTGTTTCTGATTTCCTGTTTTTTAAATGGTTTCATTTCACTTTATTGATTGGATCCCAGAAGCACTAGGTCTGTTGAAATATACTTGTGTGTGTGTGTTTGTGTTCACTTTTTATTTTGAAATTATAGATGCACAAGAAGTTGCAAAGATAATACACCCTTCACCTTGTTTCCCCCAAGACAGTTTATAGCTTACATAACTATAGTATAGTATCAAAATCAGGAAATTGACATTGGAACAATGTGTATGTAGTTGTGTCATTTTATCATATGTGGAGATATGTGTAATCACCAATCCAATCAAATTACAAAACTGTTTCATCACCATAAAGATCTTTCTCATGCTATCCCTTTGTAGTCACACTCACCACCATCCCAGCACCATCTCTAAGCTCAGGTAATAACTCAACTGTTCTCCATCTCTCTAATCATTTCATTTTAAGACTGTTACTTAAAAAAGAATCATGCAATATGTGTCCTTTTGGGGTTGGCCTTTTCCATTCAGCATAATGCCCTCAAGGTCCATACAGTTTGTTGTGTGTATCAAAAGTTGCTGATTAGCATTCCATGGTATGGATATGCCATGGTTTCTTTATCCATTCACCTCTTGATGGACATGTTGGCTCTAAGATTTGGGCTATTACAAACAAAGCTTCTATGAACAAGTCTTTTTGTGGACATTTGCTCTCATTTATAATAGCCAATTCAGCTGCTGTAATAGATATCTACTGATATCTCATTGGAACTCTTTGTAGGCCCCTCCAATACCTGTACCAACAAAACCCACTCATTTTTTGTTAATGAATAGGAATTGCTTCGTGGCTTGAAACAGTTTAGGTAGGAATATTCTGTTACTTTCATTCAGAATCATCCCTACTAACACAATGAGCAAGGTAGCTTTTTTTTAAGGATGCATTTTATTATACTCCAAAATAACCTCCATGAATTCTAATCCCTTCTATGCTATTTTAAAACTCTGCAATCATTTGCAAATTACACAAGTTCTTTGTGCCTCAGCGTTCTGATCTGAGAAAAAGGAATTGTAATATTACCAAACACAGAGGACTTCAGCTATATGAACTAAATGCAATTATGTCAGTAAAGTGTAAGAAATGCTTCCTAGTATGTTAGTTAAATTAGTTATATATCTCTTAATCCTCTTACTAAAGATATCACGGAGGTGATATCTTTATCGGTGGCTCACGCCTGTAATCCCAGCACTTTGGAAGGCCGAGGCGGGCGGATCATGAGGTCAGGAGATCGAGACCATCCTGGCTAACACGGTGAAACCCCGTCTCTAGTAAAAATACAAAAAAAAAAAAAAAAATAGCCGGGCGTGTTGGCAGGCGCCTGTAGTCCCAGCTACTCGGGAGGCTGAGGCAGGAGAATGGCGTGAACCCGGGAGGCGGAGCTTGCAGTGAGCCAAGATCACGCCACTGCACTCCAGCCTGGGTGACAGAGCGAGACTCCGTCTCAAAAAAAAAAAAAAAAAAGATATCATGGATGTACAGATGGTATTTTTGGAAGGTCTGACATGATGATCAAATGAAACAAAATAGAAAAAAGTTCTTAGAATAGTACAAACTATTAGATGTACCATTACACCTACTGTGATATTTAAGATATCCCATAGTATGGTTTTCACAATAGTTTATCATTGCATTTATCAAATGATACTTTTTGAATCAAAAATATATATTAAATGAAAAATACTTATATGCATCAGAAACATAAACTCTAAAGATGTCATTTACTGTTTGAGACTTGGGAAATGGTACTTAAATTTCACACTAGATTGAGAACTGTGCCAGCTACTATGTGGAATTTCATAGAAAAATTTCTCATGTTCTAGCCATTGAACACCTCATAGCTGACTAGACAGATTTGCAATGTATGCAATTTTTTTTAAAGTCACACATATTGTGCCTACGAAGGTAAATTCCATCTTATCTCCTGACAGGAATGGAAATGATGTTCCTATTTATGCTACTTCCAAAAGATCAATTAGTTCAACAAACATTCATTGACACCTGCCAGCTTTCAGGCAATGTCTTAGATTCTGAAGGTGGTGACATTGAGAAAGACTGTAACTAGTCAGTGTGCTAAATTCACAAATTGCACGGTATTTTAGAAAGTGTTAAGTGCTGTAGAAAAGGGGAGAGTCAAGCAAGGCAAGGGAAATTTGGAGTTTGACAAGGAACTGGGTGAGCTGCAGATTAAATTATTACACAGAGTGACCAGGGTAGGCTGCATTGAGAAAGTGACATTTTGACGAAGATGTGAAAGGGCAGAGGAGTCAGCCAAGCAGATACATGGGGTCAGAACTTTCCAGACAGATCAAACAGTTTGGAAAAAGTGTCAGAGGCAGAGCCTGCCTGACAAAGCACAGACACTGCAAGGACACCAGTGCAGCTGGGAGCAGGAATGAGGCCTGAACAGAAGGCAGAAGATGACAGGGTGACAACGACAGGATCCTGTTGGACCTGGTAAACTTCTACTCAGTAAGTTAGTCTGAAAAGAACAACCAAGGTGCATAAATATTGAAGGCAAGTCTGTGTGGGGTAGTTGAGTTCAGGCAAAGGAGGGCCATGGGAAGAACAGTCAGAGAAGAGGACATAGGGATAATCTGCATGTCTTTTATATATGTGTGTGTGTTTATATGTATATATATAATATACATATACACACACATAATTTAACCTGCAGCTCACCCAGTTCCTTGTCAAAATCCAATACATATAATACATATATACACACACACATAAAAGATACATAGTGTGTGTGTGTGTGTGTGTGTGTATATATATATATATAATCTGCATGTCTTATAGCTATACACATATATGTGACAGGCAGTTTATCCCTTATATATGTATATATACACATATCCCTTATATATGTATATATACATATATACACATATAAAAGATCTATATACACACACATACACACATACAAACACACATAATGCAGAGTATCTTTCAGAAAAAGGTAAACGATTAATGAGTGATTATCAATTATTTGTCATGAAAAACAAAGCTAAATACCTACACCCTCAACAATTTTTAATTAACCCAATGATTCCATGAGATCCATGCAGCAGGCATGAGCATGCTATTAGCACTCCCACACAAGAGATACCAGACCAAATGGAAAGCTCCTGTATCTATTAAGCTGAGGCACTAGCACCAACATGCAGAAATTCGTGCTGTGGGTGGAGGAATCTGCTTCCTTCTGCTTCATGCCCTGAATGTTCTTACTGCCTTATATATTCCACAATGGAAACTGGAGAAGCAGGCAATCCAGAGAACCCAATGGTTGCAGAAAAAAGAAAGCCCCAAGAAAAGCCTGCTGTGTTTAGCCAAAGAACCAATCAATGCATGAGACATGTAATTGAGTAGCCCCAATTCTACATGTGCCTTGAGATTCTCAGTCCTTACACACAAAACTATTCATGGTCCCTGAAGGGAAAAAGTTACAGAAAACAAGCCCATTAGGTTTCCATCATGTTTATATTTGTCTATTAGTATACACTCTCTCTTCTATGAAGGAACATGGGGTCCAGTAAAGCAGATGTGCTATCTGTTGTGGCCACTGCTTTATCCCCTATTCCTAGAGCAGGCCATGGTGCAGCACAGGCCCTCACTGCCTGCTTATTTCATTAAATGAATGAATGAATATGTAAATATGAAAGAGGATGGAGAGACAAGGCTAGAGGATGAAGCCAGTCATGAAGGCTGTGAGTGGCAAAGGAGCTGGCTGTTCCTTTTTCCAAGAAGAATTGCAGGTCTTATGCTCATTTCACTCGAGCCTCCCAACAGATGTTCAAGCTAAGTACTCTAATCCTCCTTTGACATTTCAAGGGACTAAAGATGTCGTCATGTACCCAAGTTCTTTCCTATGTGCTCTACCCTTTTACATGCTGGGTTAAACCTCAAGGTGGTCTCAAGATAGCTATAATTTTTCCAGGCCTCATGGATTAAAATGTTTATATCCCTAAGCAAAAGAGGAATTTGTGTGTCTGCTATTTCCTAGGAGCAAAAAATTATTTCACAGGAGTCCCCAGGATATATTTTCTTCTTTCACCTAGGCCAACACTGGGTCACATACCCATTTCTGAAGATAGAAAGGATGACCATTAAAGTCTGAGATGGAAAGATCTTGGAATACAATGGATGTTGCGGAGTCAAGCACAGTATTCCCTACACCAGCATACACACTGTTGTGAGAGGCTTGTGTATGCAGGGGGAAGGCAGGGAGAGTGAGATAAAGAGAACCTGCAGCAGGATAGATTTCAAACTGCAACATTGTGCACTGAGCAAAAACAGACTGAATGTTTTGATGTGCTGCTTATTCCCACTTTATAGGTGAAGAAATTGAAGCTTAGATATTAAGTGATTAGCTCCAGATCACATAGCTCTTCTAAGAAGAAGAGCCAGGTATTCCACCCAGGAGTCCACTTTCCTAATCTCCAAGCTCTACAGGTTCTACAGGCTGTGAGAATGTTGTCTCCCTTAACCATGCTGAGCCTCAGATTCCTCATCTGTATAAAAGAGATAAGGGAAATAGTTACTCTACATGGACATTGTGAGATCTAAGTGAGATAATACATGTAAAACACTTGGGAACTCAGTAGATTAAGTAAACAGTAGCTCTTCCCATCACTGAATCTATTATACAACACCCACCACTTGGATGACACACAGACACTCACCTAAATGAGCAACCAATTACTGAGGGCTGGAGGTAGGATCATCTGGGGGAGGGGACATTGTCAGGACAGGAAAGAGCACTGATGCTGCAGACCCCACAGCAAAAAGTCACAAAATCTCCTGTGAAAACTTCTACCGTTTCCCTAAGGATGCTGTGTGGGCATCAGCCTCCTCCTCCATAACATTTTCTTCAGCAACATCCTTCATTCAGTCTCACCATCAGATCTCACCTCCGCAGCTCCCTGGTCCCAGCCCCAGCCACAATCTCTATTCAGGACTGTAACAAGGTATCTCTTCAGTGAATTATGGAATGCAGGCCCATTCTGATGGCAGATTTGAGGTTGAGGGAGTAAGAGTCTATCAAACCTTTGTTATGAATGAAAATCATGTGAAGAATGCACAACCACTAGATGCTTCTGGTCAAAGTGTAGAACAACAGTCACAAACCCTAGTGAATTCATGCAGAGGGATTTGCTATGGTCACTCATTACTATTATTTTTTATTATTAATAACAGGTATAGTAGTTACACTTTGTTGAGTATCAAGTACTATCACACTGCAAGGAGCTGGACGGCCTCCCTTTCCCAGGCAAGGGAAGCGTGAGCTTGGAACCACAGCATGACAGAACCCTTCACTCCACTGGAAAGTGGGCTGAAGCCAGAGAACCAGTGGTCTCGCTCAGCGGATCCCACTCCCATGGAGCCCAGCAAGATAAGAACCACTGGCTTGAAATTCTCACTGCCAGCACAGCAGGCTGAAGTCGACCTGGGATGATCGAACTTGGTGGGAGGAGGGGCGTCTGCCATTACTAAGGCTTGAGTAGGCAGTTTTCCCCTGACAGTGTTAAGGAGGCCAGGAAGTTCGGATTGAGCAGAACTTACCACAGCTTGGCAAAGCAGGTGTGGCCAGACTGCCTCTCTAGATTCCTCCTCACTGGGCAGGGCATCTCTGAAAGAAAAGCAGCAGCCCCTTATAGATAATACTCCCATCTACCTGGGACAGAGCACCTGTGGGAAGGGGCAGCTGTGGGCGCAGCCGCAGCAGACAAATGTTACTGCCTGCTGGCTCTGAAGGGAGTAGCAGATTCTGACAAGGAGGTTTCTCCCAGCACAGCGCTCGAGCTCTGCTAAGGGACAGACTGCCTCCTCAAGTGGGTCCCTGACCCCTGTGCCTCCTGAATGGGAGAGACCTCCCAGCAGGGGTCGACAGATACCTCATACAGGACAGCTCTGACTGGCATCAGGGTGGTACCCCTCTGGGAAAAAGCTTCCAGAGCAAGGAGCAGGAAGCAATCTTTGCTGTTCTGTAGCCTCCACTGGTGATACCCAGGAAAACGGTCTGGAGAGGACTTCCAGCAACTGCAGCAGACCTGCAGAAGACGGGCCTGACTATTAGAAGAAAAACTAAAAAACAGAAAGCAGTAACATCAACAAAAGGACCCCCACACAAAAACCTCATCCAAAGGTCATCAGCCTAAAAGATCAAAAGTAGATAAATCCACCAAGATGAGGAAAAACCAGTGCAAAAATCCTGAAAATTCCAAAAACCAGAATGCCTCTTCTCCAAATGATGGTAACTCCTCTCCAGCAAGGGCACAAAACCGGATGAAGAATGAGTTTGACAAACTGTCAGAAGTAGGCTTCAGAAGATGGGTAACAACAAACTCCTCAGAGCTAAAGGAGCATGTTCTAACCCAATGCAAGGAAGCTAAGAACCTTGATAAAAGGCTACATGAACTGATAACTAGAATAACCAGTTTAGAGAAGAACATAAATGACCTGATGGAGCTTAACAACACAGGACAAGAACTTCGTGAAGCATACACAAGTATCAATAGCTGAAATAATCAAGCAGAAGAAAGGATATCAGAGTTTGAAGATCGACTTACTAAAATAAGGCATGAAGACAAGATCAGAGAAAGAAAAGTGACAAGAAATGAACAAAGCCTCCAAGAGATATAGGACTATGTGAAAAGACCAAACCTATGATTGATTGGGGTCCCTGAAAGTGACGAGGAGAATGGAATCAAGTTGGAAAACACACTTAGGATATTATCCAGGAGAACTTCCCCAACCTACCAAGACAGGCCAACATTCAAATTCATGAAATACAGAAAACATCACTCTATTACTCCTTGGGAAGAGCAACCTCAAGACAAATAATCGTCAGATTCTCCAAGGTTGTAACAAAGGAAAAAATGTTAAGGGCAGCCCAAGAATAAGATCAGGTTACCTACAAAGGGAAGCACATCAGACTAATAGCGGATCTCTCTACAGAAACCCTACAATCCAGAAGAGAGTGGGGGCCAATATTCAGCAGTCATAAAAGAATTTTCAACCCAGAATTTCACATCCAGCCAAAATAAGCTTCATAAGGGAAGGAGAAATAAAATCCTTTCCAGAAAAGCAAATGCTGAGGGATTTTGTCACCATCAGGCCTGCCTTACAAGACCTCCTGAAGGAAGTACTAAATATGAAAAGGAAAAACCAGTACATAACCTGAACAGACCAATAACAAGCAACAAGATCAAAGCCATAATAAAAGTCTTCTAGTAAAGAAACGCCAGACCTGATGGCTTCACTACTGAATTCTACCCAACATTTAAAGAAGGACTAATACCAATCCTACTCAAACTATTTTGAAAAATAGAGGAGGAGGGAATACTTCGAAACTAATTCTATGAGGCCAGTATTACCCTGATACCAAAACCAGACAAAGACACATCAGAAAAAGAAAACTACAGGGCAAAACCGCTGATGAATATTGATGCAGAAATCCTCAACAGAATACTAGCAAATCAAATTCAACAATACGCTAGAAAGAATCATCATCATGACCAAGTGAGATTTATCCCCGGGATGGAAGGATGGTTCAACATATGCAAATTAATGTATGTGATAAATCATTATCAACAGAATGAAGGATACAAACCATATAGTCATTTCGATCGATGCTGAAAAGCATTTAATAAAACTCAATATTTCATCATGATACAAACCCTCAAAACACCGGGGAAAGAAGGAACATACTTCAATGTAATAAAAGCCATATACCACAGACCCACAGCTAGTATTGAAGTGGCCTCGCTGTCCGGGGTAACATCCAGGGTTCTTGGTCTCACAGCCAAGGAAATCAAGGACATGGGCACACCAAGAGTGAGGTGTAGAGCAGAAAGTTAATAGGAGAAACAAAGAGAACAGCTTTCTACTACAGAGAGGGGTCCCAGAAAAAACGGTTGCCATCCAGCAGTGAAAGGCAGGGGTTTTTATAGATGAGCTAGTGGGGAGGTAGTATCTGATCACCTACATAGGGTACAAACAACCGGTTAGGACCAGGTGTACCATCTGCATAGGGTGTGAATCTCTGGCAGCCCCCAACCTAATCTTTTATTATGCAGGCGGGTCCTCAGCCTGAGCTACTCCATGTTGCTCATTTCATTCTTACTGTGCATGTGCTAAAAACGAGGAGGTGGAAAGCCCATGGTGGACATGCCTGGCCCCAGGTGGCCTTTTCCATCTGTGCAGCTGTTGGCATCCCCCTATGAAAGCGTCCAGGTTCCTATCTATCTATGATAGAAAATCAATGTACCAACATTTTATCTCTATGTACCATCTCAAATACAGGATTTAAACTTTCAAAAAAGATACAATTCTCAAGAGTATTAAAGATCCAGAAATAAATTTAACAAAACTGTGTAAGGATTCTTTGCAGAAAACTTAAAACTTTATTAAGAGAATATTATCAGTCAAATTTCCAGATTAAGAATAACGTTCTTGGTTTCAGTCTTCATTTGTCTTGCTTGAAACCTATGGTTGCGCATCACCTATAAAATAAATATTAAATTAGGGCCCGTTACTCAGCAGATTTTTATTCATATGACACTAGAGGTATACAACTACCGTGTTGATGAACTAATATCAGAACCCTGAGGGTGAGTGACCCTTTAGCTTACAGCCAGTTAGCCTCTGAATAAACTCTGAAGGTAGACTTCCAGGCATATTAACAATATTTTTAATTCATGCCACTTTTTCTAGTAGAATAAGGAAACGAAGAGACTGTTCAAGTTCAGAATGAATTAAATCAAGTGTATTTTGTATGTATAAGTGGAAAGCAAAAAAAAAAAAAACACATATACTTTAAATGAAAATTCAACGAAATAAAATCCTAAGGGAAAAAGATATTTTAAAGTATCATTTAAATAGTCTGATATGAAATGACACTCTGAATATAGAATATGCTTAGAACGGCCTAAGTGAAGGAAATAGAAAAGTCAGTATTACATTTGTTTTGTCTCTCTTGTGAAAAAGTGTAAAAACGTTACTTTGGACTAGTGTAGCCATCATGTAGTTGCTTTAAGTAGGGCGAACATTTGTCACTATTTTCACGGGTACTCCTGCCTCTTTACATGCCTACAAGCAGTTCAGTTTATACAGTAAACTGAATATCCACGCTAGCTTTAAGCCATTACCAACACAGTTAACATCACAATATAAACTGATGCTTATTATAAACATGTTATGTATTTGTTAAAAACAGGCCTCTATAAAAATATTTGAAAATTATTGGCTGTTGGTAAAATGACTTACATTTAAAAGTCAGAACACGTTTTCATCTTTCTTTAAAAATGACACATAAAATTGTATATATTTATCATGTAAAACATGACGTTTTAAATATATATATATACACATTGTAAAATGGCTACATCAAGCTAATTAATATATGCATTACTTCATATAGCTGTGAAGACACTTGAAATCTACTGTTTTAGCATGTTTCATTTCTTTCATATCGTAATCCAATTAGTTTTGACCCAATTTTTCTCTGTCTCTTGAAGTCTTGGCCTCAAGTGATCCTTCTGCCTCGGCCTCCCAAAGTGCTGGAATTAAAAGCATGAGCCACCACACCTGGCCCTCTATCCCTGATAGTGTGTAAGGCAGCCATTTGGGGTCTGAACTACATTCAAAGAACCTTCAGACGTGAAGTATGATATTAAAGTAGCAGTAATTTTACCTCTGTGTCACACAAAATACTGTGAAAATAGAAATACAATAGTTTGCATCTTAAATGAATAACAAACCTGCTTCCAGCACTTTAGTGAGATCAAAAGTGGGCATAATACCCTCCCTGACATCAGGACCATCTCCAGGCTCATCCTCTATCTTAAGCAGAGCCAGTTCCTGTTGAAAAGCTTCCATGTCAGGCCCTTAAAAGATAAAAAGGTCATCAATTTACAAATTAAAACATGAACTATGAACGAGGAAATGATAGTATTTATTCCCTCATCATTATGAAATAAAAACCGGTAGGCTAATTATTTCAGGAATCTGCTGCCAGGAAAACAGGAAAGCAGAGATATTCGAACATTGCCCTTTTCTTTCCCAAGGCTGGCCCTAGACAACTTACTTGTCCCTTTTATACTCATTTGTTCTTATTCTTATCACATTAAATCAGCCATTTGTTTGAGTCAGTCTGACTAGACTATGAGCTTTAGGCAAAAATTTGGCACTGACATCTCCAGCACTTAGTATATTACGTGGTATGAGGAAGCATCAATAAAGGTGTGTTAAAAAGTTTCTTAAAAAATACATGACGTGTCCACAGATGGCAGACTAGGAAGCTGCAAGCTGCCATTCTTCCACAGCAACAAAAAACAGAAAATGGCTGAACAAAGCATACAGGAGCTCTGGAAAAAGGTTTATGGCAACCATGAAAATACCCAATCAATAAAAAGCCTCCATCAAAGTGGTAGGAAAGCTTAGTGGCTTTTTATGCATCCTTGTCCCACCCCTCCACACAGCAGCAGTAGGAAATGTTTAAGATTCCTTCCTAATGCTTTCTGTCCTCCTGTTACTGGTATGTCATAAAATACAATGCATAAATAGACCTCCACCACCCATAAGCATTATTTTCCACTCTCCCTTCACCTTGAAAAGCAGGCACTGCTTGATTTTCAATCTCCCCACTAGGTGCAATACCCTGATTATCAGTTGGTGGTTCCTCTTCTTGACGTTTTTCCTCAGTGGGCTCCTGGACCTAAGGGTGTAAGTGTGTGTGTGAATAAAAAGTCAATAATATAAATACACAAATGCATATGTGCATCGAATCACACATCTAAAGACATTTTTCCAACATATATAAACACATACACACACATATAGATAGATAGATGATAGATAGATAGATAGATAGATAGATAGATAGATAGACAGACAGACAGATACATACATAGAGATAGAGAGAGAGAGAGAAATATCCATATCCATACAGGTAACACCAGAATATAGTATTCCTGAACCAAAGTTTCCTTCATGAGATGCCATCATCATTTTTTATCAGCATGGAACACCTGTATCAGTGTATGTATACTAGCTCAAAAATATTTTTAAAATAAATTGTGTTAATAGAAAACATCAAATGTTAAAAGACTCACAATCACAGATCCAACCGGCTGGGAAGACTCTTGGTCATTTCCTCTTTCTGAGGATTGGGATCTTGCTCTTAGAAGCTCACTCATATTTCCCACTGCAAACAGAATATTGTTATTTGGAAAAAGTGTGTAAGAACTTAGTTATATATATGAACATTCCACGGCAAAATGGTGATTTGTACTTTTTTAATTTTGAAAATATTTTCAAATTAAGTCACAGAGCAATGATAAGTACACATGCTTTCGAATCAAACTAAGGACAGATTTGTTTGTATCATAGTCGAAGAGGCATAGAAATCCCCTTAACGCCATAGCAAAAGACAGAGGACATTTCTGCGTTTTGGTTTCACAATTAGACTCTCCATCATGAAGACATTTAGGAAAAAACGGGCAGAGAATTGAAACTGAAATGACTACTGCTTTTGTCCCACTCTGATTTGCTAGGCCCATTTCACCCCCACACCCCTCTCAAAATCAAGTCTTGTTGGAAAGCACAGCCTCGCCCATTCCTTCCTATGATGTCCATGGCGGAGGTGAGAAATTGTGAAACAGAGTGAACGTTATGCTCCTCACAGGACACCTCTGCCAGGCACTCTACAGACCTCGGGGCCACAGTCACCAGCCCACCGCGCTCCCAGTTCCCAAGCCCCTTCGTTACTGACCACACGGTCCCTTCCCGCGTCCCTACTGAGGAGTTTGGAAACTGTCCTCTCTCAGAGGGTTCCAGGAGTTTTCGAGACTCAAACACCGCTAACTGCACCCCCAGCACTTGCCCCATCTTCAGGCAATCCCTCCCCTCTGCGGCCCACCTTCCTCCCTCATCCCAGCCCAGTCAGGACAAGTCCCATGGTGGCGTCGCGACCTGGGAGGAGCTGGATGACGGCCCCGAGGCCCTTTTCCCTCAGAAGCCACAGACTGTGCCGCAGGACCTGTCCAAAGCCAGCTGGCTCCTCCACACATTCTCTCACAACTAAATTCCCAGTAACACCGTTCTGCAGACCTACCGGCTGAGTCTTGGTCAGTGAGAAAGAATCAAGATGGCGGAAAGAATGAAGACACTCTCTCTCCTTGCAGACCTCTGTGCGGACACAAGACGGGCAGCAAGGCGCCTGCGCAACAACAGACACGCATAGCAACAGACATGGGCACCAACAGGTCTGTGCAGCATGCGCACTGAGTGGGGTATTCGCCTCGTGACTGAAGTTTTCCTGCCTCTGTGGAGTAAACCACCAGCGCTCCTGACAACGAAAATGAACTTGCAAAGCACTTTTCTTTTTTCCCCGCCCACCCTTTCTTTCACTTCCAGTGGCGTTAGAGAATATGAGCCTCAGGTTACTCTAATAATGTGTTTCAGAAAAATTCACCATCATAGAAATAAATCTTAAATATTTTAATACCTGTTTTATATACGCTTCCATAAATCATTTTCTTGCCTCCTTCACGAGTTTGCTGTCATGCTTGCAATGGTCTCACCCACTGCAATATCATAAGACATTCATAGTTTTTGGTTGCATTATTGTACGTTCAAAATCTTTGATCCATCTGGACAAAATTAAAGTGGTAGGAACTCAACATTATTTGTTGAATCCCTGTTTCACCCACTGTTTTGAAATGGCTCTTATCATCACCTACATCCCCACTCAATTTTGTATGTAACTCTCTTCTTTTAATTTTCTTCCATTGAGTTGTTTATACCTGTACCACTACTACACTATTTTAATTGCTGTAGCTTAATTATATTTGAAATGTGAAATAATGCTTGCCCTCCCTCATTGATTTCTCCTTTTCTATCAATTCTGACACGTTGGTCTTTCAGATGAACTTCAGAATCATTTGATCAGGTGCTAAAATATTACTGTTGAGACACTAGTTATTATTTTTATATTACATGTTAACTCTGGGACAATAGCCATCTTTCTATTTTAGAATCTCTCTATCAAAAAAAAAAAGCCACTCCTCAATTCCTCAAGTCTTTTAACATATCCCACACAATGATTGTGTTATTTGCTTCATATTAGTTCTTCACATTCAAATTAAATTTATTCATGGGCACTTTTATTTTTCTATTCCATTGCTGACACGTGTTTGCTTCTACTCCACTATGTTTTTCACACAAGTCAAACAATCTGTTTGGAAACCATGTGATTCTATACCTAGAAAATCCCAGAATCTCTGCCCAAAAGCTCCTTGATCTTATAAACAACTTCAGGAAAGCTTCAAGATACAAAATTAATGTATAAAAACCAGAAGTGTTTCTGTACACCAACTACCTTCAAGCGCAGAGCCAAATCAGAAACACAATCCCATTCACAATTGCCACAAAAAAAAAAAATAAAATACCTAGGAATACAGCTAACGAGGGAGGAGAACAATCTCTACTATGAGAACTACAAAACACTGCTCAAAGAAATCAGAGATGACACAAACAAATGGAAAAACATTTCATGCTCGTGAACAGGAATAAGCAATACTGGCAAAATGGCCTAATTGACCAAAGCAATTCATACATTCAATGATATTCCTATTAAAGTACCAATGACATTCCTCACAGAATTAGAAAAAAAGTACTTTAAAATTCATATGGAACCAAAAAAGAGCCCAAATAACCAAGGCAATCCTAAGCAATAAGAATGAAGCCAAAAGCATCATATTACCTGACTTCAGACTATAATACAAGGCCACGGTAATCCAAACAGCATGGTACCGGTACCAAAACAGTCACAGAGACCAATGAAATAGAATACACAGCCCAGAAATAATGCTGCACACCTCACACCTATTACCACCTGATCTTCAACAAAGTTGACAAAAACAAGCAATGTAGACAGGAATCCCTATTCAATAAATGGTGCTGAGATAACTGGCTAGCTGTATGTAAAAGACTGAAACTGGACCACTTCTTATTAAAAAAATTAACTAAAGGTGGATTAAGAACTTAAATGTAAAACCCAAATCTGTAAAAACCCCGGAAGACAACGTAGGCAACGTCACTCCGGACACAGGAAAAGGCAAAGGTTTCATAACGAAGATGCCAAAAGCAATGGCAACAAAAGCAAACATTGACAAATGGGATCTAATTAAACTAAAGAGCTCCTGCACAGCAAAAAAAAAAAAAAAAAAAAAAAAAACAAAACTATCCACAGAGACAACAACCAACACACAGAATGGAAGAAAATGTTTGCAAACTATGCATCTGTCTAAGGTTTTGTATCCAGCATCTATAAAGAACTTAAAGAAATTTACCAAAAAACAAACAAACAAAAAACACTAAAATGACACGCCACGCGTGGTGCCTCACACCTGTAATTCCAGCACTTTGTGAGGCCAAGATGGGCAGATCACTGGAGGCCAGGATTTCAAGACCAGCCTGGCCAAGATGGAAAACCCTGGCTCTATCATCAAATACAAAAATTAGCTGTGCGAGGTGGTGCACACCTGTAATCCCAGCACTTTGTGAGGCCAAGATGGGCAGATCACTGGAAGCCAGGATTTCAAGACCAGCCTGGCCAAGATGGAAAACCCTGGCTCTATCATAAAATACAAAAATTAGCTGTGCGAGGTGGTGCACACCTGTAATCCCAGATACTAGCGTAGTTGAGGCAGCAGAATAGCTTGAACCTGGGAAGTGGAGGTTATAGTGAGTGGAGATCGTGCCACTGCACTCCAGCCTGGGCAACAGACCGAGACTGCATGTCAATAAACAAAACAAAACAAAACAATCCATACCATTAAAAAGTGCGCCAAGGACATGAACAGACACTTTCAAAGGAAGACGTGCACGTGGCCAACAAGCACATGAAACAAAGTTCAAAGTCACTGATCATTGGAGAAATGCAATTCAAACCACAATGAGATATCATCTCACACCAGTCAGGACGGCTATTATTAAAAAGTAAAAAAATACAATAAAATAACAGATGCTGGTGACATAGTAGAGAAAAAAAACATGTATTCACTGTTGGTGGAAGTGTAAATTAGTTCAACCATTGTAGGAAACTGTGTGCTCATTTCCCAGAGACCCAGGATATTATCCAGGAGAACTTCCTCAACCGCGCAAGACAGGCCAACATTCAAATTCAAGAAATACAGAAAACACCACTCTGCTACTCCTTGGGAAGAGCAATCTCAAGACAATAATCATCAGATTCTCCAAGGTTGAAAAAAAGGAAAAAATGTTAATGGCAGCCACAGAGAAAGGTCAGGTTACCTACAAAGGGAAGCTCATCAGACTAACAGCGGATCTCTCTACAGAAACCCTACAAGCCAGAAGAGAGTGGGGGCCAGTATTCAACATTCATAAAGAAAGAATTTTCTTTTATTTTTATTTATTTATTTATTTATTTTTATTTTTTATTATTATTATACTTTAAGTTTTAGGGTATATGTGCACAATGTGCAGGTTAGTTACATATGTATACATGTGCCATGCTGGTGTGCTGCACCCATTAACTCGTGATTTAGCATTAAGTATATCTCCTAATGCTATCCCTCCCCCATCCCCACACCCCACAACAGTCCCCAGAGTGTGATGTTCCCCTTCCTGTGTCCATGTGTTGTCATTGTTCAATTCCCATCTGTGAGTGAGAACATGCAGTGTTTGGTTTTTTGTCTTTGTGATAGTTTACTGAGAATGATGATTTCCAATTTCACCCATGTCCCTATAAAGGACATGAACTCATCATTTTTTATGGCTGCATAGTATTCCATGGTGTATATGTGCCACATTTTCTTCATCCAGTCTATCATTGTTGGACATTTGGGTTGGTTCCAAGTCTTTGCTATTGTGAATAGTGCCGCAATAAACATACGTGTGCATGTGTCTTTATAGCAGCATGATTTATAGTCCTTTGGGTATATACCCAGTAATGGGATGGCTGAGTCAAATGTATTTCTAGTTCTAGATCCCTGAGGAATCGCCACACTGACTTCCACAATGGCTGAACTAGTTTCCAGTCCCACCAACAATGTAAAAGTGTTCCTATTTCTCCACATTCTCTCCAGCACCTGTTGTTTCCTGACTTTTTAATGACTGCCATTCTAACTGGTGTGAGGCACAACCAGTACCAGCCGCTGCAAAATCATGCCAAAATGTAAAGGCCGTCGAGACTAGGAAGAAACTGCATCAACTAACGAGCAAAATAACCAGCTAACATCATAATGACAGGATCAAATTCACACATAACAATATTAACTTTAAATGTAAATGGACTACATGCTCCAATTAAAAGACACAGACTGGCAAATTGGATAAAGAGTCAAGACCCATCAGTGTGCTGTGTTCAGGAAACGCAACTCACATGCAGAGACACACATAGGCTCAAAATAAAAGGATGGAGGAAGATCTACCAAGCAAATTGAAAACAAAAAAAGGCAGGGGTTGCAATCCTAGTCTCTGATAAAACACACTTTAAACCAACAAAGATCAAAAGAGACAAAGAAGGCCATTACATAATGGTAAAGGGATCAATTCAACAAGAAGAGCTAACTATCCTAAATATATATGCACCCAATACAGGAGCACCCAGATTCATAAAGCAAGTCCTGAGTGACCTACAAAGAGACTTAAGACTCCCACACAATAATAATGGGAGACTTTAACACCCCACTGTCAACATTAGACAGAAAGTTAACAAGGATACCCAGGAATTGAACTCAGCTCTGCACCAAGCGGACCTAATAGACATCTACAGAACTCTCCACCCCAAATCAACAGAATATACATTTTTTTTCAGCACCACACCACACCTATTCCAAAATTGACCACATAGTTGGAAGTAAAGCACTCCTCAGCAAATGTAAAAGAACAGAAATTATAACAAACTGTCTCTCAGATCACAGTGCAATCAAACTAGAACTCAGGATTAAGAAACTCACTCAAAACCGCTCACCTACATGGAAACTGAACAACCTGCTCCTGAATGACTACTGGGTACATAACGAAATGAAGGCAGAAATAAAGATGTTCTTTGAAACCAACGAGAACAAAGACACAACATACCAGAATCTCTGGGACACATTCAAAGCAGTGTGTAGAGGGAAATTTATAGCACTAAATGCCCACAACAGAAAGCAGGAAAGATCCAAAATGGACACCCTAACATCACAATTAAAAGAACTAGAAAAGCAAGAGCAAACACATTCAAAAGCTAGCAGAAGGCAAGAAATAACAAAAATCAGAGCAGAACTGAAGGAAATAGAGACCAAAAAAACCCTTCAAAAAATTAATGAATCCAGGAGCTGGTTTTTTGAAAGGATCAACAAAATTGATAGACCGCTAGCAAGACTAATAAAGAAAAAAAGAGAGAAGAATCAAATAGATGCAATAAAAAATGATAAAGGGGATATCACCACCAATCCCACAGAAATACAAACTACCCTCAGAGAATACTACAAACACCTCTACGCAAATAAACTAGAAAATCTAGAAGAAATGGATAAATTCCTCGACACATACACTCTCCCAAGACTAAACCAGGAAGAAGCTGAATCTCTGAATAGACCAATAACAGGCTCTGAAATTGTGGCAATAATCAATAGCTTACCAACCAAAAAGAGTCCAGGACCAGATGGATTCACAGCCGAATTCTACCAGAGGTACAAGGAGGAACTGGTACCATCCCTTATGAAACTATTCCAATGAATAGAAAAAGAGGGAATCCTCCCTAACTCATTTTATGAGGCCAGCATCATCCTGATACCAAAGCCGGGCAGAGACACAACCAAAAAAGAGAATTTTAGACCAATATCCTTGATGAACATTGATGCAAAAATCCTCAATAAAATACTGGCAAACCAAATCCAGCAGCACATCAAAAAGCTTATCCAGCATGATCAAGTGGGCTTCATCCCTGGGATGCAAGGCTGGTTCAATATATGCAAATCAATAAATGTAATCCAGCATATAAACAGAACCAAAGACAAAAACCACATGATTATCTCAATAGATGCAGCAAAGGCCTTTGACAAAATTCAATAACCCTTCATGCTAAAAACTCTCAATAAATTAGGTATTGATGGGACGTATCTCAAAATAATAAGAGCTATCTATGACAAACCCACAGCCAATATCATACTGAATGGGCAAAAACTGGAAGCATTCCCTTTGAAAACTGGCACAAGACAGGGATGCCCTCTCTCACTACTCCTATTCAACACAGTGTTGGAAGTTCTGGCCAGGGCAATTAGGCAGGAGAAGGAAATAAAGGGTATTCAATTAGGAAAAGAGGAAGTCAACTTGTCCCTGTTTGCAGACGACATGATTGCATATCTAGAAAACTCCATTGTCTCAGCCTAAAGACAGAATTTTCAACCCAGAATTTCATATCCGGCCAAACTAAGCTTCGTAAGGGAAGGAGAAACAAAATCCTTTCCAGAACAGCAAATGCTGAGGGATTTTGTCACCGTCAGGCCTGCCTTACAAGAGCTCCTGAAGAAAGCACTAAATATGAAAAGGAGAAAGCAGTACCAGCCACTGCAAAAACAAACAAAAAAATGAAGACAAACAACACTATGAAGATACTGCATCAACTAATGTGCAAAATAACCAGCTAGCATCATGATGACAGAATCAAATTCACACATAACAATATTAATCTTAAATGTAAATGGGAGAAACGCCCCAATTAAAACACACAGACTGGTACATTGGATAAAAAGTCAAGACCCATCGGTGTGACAGATACAGAAGACCCATCACACGTGCAAAGGACACACAGGCTCAAAATAAAGGGATGGAGGAATACTGACCAAGTAAATGAAAAGCAGAAAAAAAAAAGCTGGAGTTGCAATCCTAGTCTCTGATAAAACAGACTTTAAACCAACAAAATACAAAACTAGCTTTCAAAGCCACTGATCATTGGAGAAGTGCAATTCAAATCACAATGACATATCATCTCACACCAGTCAGAATGGCTATTATTAAAAAGTAAAAAAACTAAAATAGAACAAAATAACAGATGCTGGTGACATTGTGGAGAAAAACACTTATTCACTGTTGGTAGAACTTAAATTAGTTCAACCATTGTAGGAAACAGTGTGCTGATTCCCCAGAGACCTAAAAGCAAAACTACCATTCCATCCAAGCAATCCCATTACTGGGTATACAGCCAAAGGGATATAAACTGTTCTGTCATAAAGACCCATGTACGCATATGTTCACTGCAGCACTATTCACAATACCAAAGATATGGAATCAACCAAAAAGCCCATCGATGGTAGACTGGATAAAGAAAATGGAGTACATATATACCATGGAATAGGATGCAGCCATAAAAACGAAATGACATTATCTCCGTGGCCAGAACATGGATGGAGCTGGAGGTCATTATACTTAGCAAAGTAATGCATGAACAGAAAACTAAATACTGCATGTTCTCACTTATAAGTGGAAGCTATAAATGGGAAAAAATAAACACACAGAGGAGAACAACAGACACTGGGGCCCACCAAAGAGTGGAGGATGGGAGGAGGGAGAGGATCAGGAAAAAATAGCTCATGAGTACCAGGCTTAATACCTGGGCGACAAAATAATCTGTACAACAAACCCCCATGACACAAGTTCACCTGTATAACAAACCTGCACCACATGTATGCCTGAACTTAAAAGATACAAAAAGAATAAGAAAAAAATAGATTTCAAAACAAAATCTTTGAGAAGAGACTAAAGGTCACTATACAATAATAAAGGGGTCAATTCATCCAAAGGATATTAACAATTTTAAATATATATGCACCCAACACTTGAGCACGCAGATATATAAAACAAATTCTATAAGAGCTAAAGAGAGAGATAGCCCCCAATAAAATAATAGATGGAGACTTCAGCAACCCACATTCAGTATTGGACAGATCTGCCAGACAGAAACTCAACAACAACAACAACAACAAAAATAGAGTTAATCTGCACTACACACACATGGATCTAATAGATATTTACAGAACATTTCATCCAACGACTACAGAATACACGTTCTTTTCCTCAGCACGTGGATCATTCTTAAGGACAAGACCATGTGTTAGGTCTCAAAACATTAAAAAAAAAAACCTGAAATAATATCATGGATCTTGTCAGACCACAATGCCATAAAACTAGAAATTAATAACAAGAGGAATTTTGGAAACTATACAAATACATGAAAACTGAATAATCTGCTCCTGAATGAATAATGGGTCAATGAAGAAGCTAAGAAGGAAATTTAAAAAGTTGTTGAAACAAATGATAATGGAGACACAACATACCAAAACGATGGGATACAGCAAAAGCAGTACTCGGAAAGAGGTTTATAGCTATAAGTGCCTACAACAAAACAGGTAAAAATTTCAACTAAACAATCTAATGATGCATCTTAAAGAGCTGCAAAGAAAGAGCAAACCAAACCAAAAATTAGAAGAAATAATAAAGATCCCAGCAGAAATAAACGAAATTGAAATGAAAAACCCCTACAAAAGAGCAGTAACACAAAAAGTTGTTTTTTTAATAAGTTAACCAAAATTGACAAACCATTAGCCAAACTAAGAAAAAAAGAGAGAAACCCAAATAAATAAAATCAGAAATGAAAAAGGATTTGAGAGGCTGAGGCAGGTGGATCACTTGAGGCCAGGACCTCAAGACCAACCTGGCCAACATGGCAAAACTCCAACTCTACTAAAAATACAAAAAATTAACCACGTGTGGTGGTAGGCGCCTGTAATCCCAGCTACTAGGGTGGCTGAGGCAAGAGAATTGCTTGAACCCTGGAGGTGGAGGTTCTAGTGAGCTGAGACTGTGCCATTGCATTCCAGTCTGGCGATAAAAGGAGACTGTCTCGAGAAAAAAAAAAGAAGAAAAAAGAAAAAGAAATAAAAAAGGACACATTACAAAACTGATGCTGCAAAAATTCAAAGGATCATAACTGGCTCCTATGAGAAACTCCATGCCTATAAATTGGAAAATCTAGAAAAAAATGGACTAATTCCTAAATACATACAACCTCCCAAGATTGAACCAGGAAGAAATCCATAAACTGAACAGACCAGTAACAAGCAACAAGATCAAAGCCATAATAAAAGTCTTCAAGTAAAGAAACGCCAGACCTGATGGCTTCACTACTGAATTCTACCCAACATTTAAAGAAGGACTAATACCAATCCTACTCAAACTATTTTGAAAAATAGAGGAGGAGGGAATACTTCCAAACTAATTCTATGAGGCCAGTATTACCCTGATACCAAAACCAGACAAAGACACATCAGAAAAAGAAAACTACAGGGCAAAACCGCTGATGAATATTGATGCAGAAATCCTCAACAGAATACCAGCAAATCAAATTCAACAATACGCTATAAAGAATCATCATCATGACCAAGTGAGATTTATCCCCGGGATGGAAGGATGGTTCAACATATGCAAATTAATGTATGTGATAAATCATTATCAACAGAATGAAGGATACAAACCATATAGTCATTTCGATCGATGCTGAAAAGCATTTAATAAAACTCAATATTTCATCATGATACAAACCCTCAAAACACCGGGGAAAGAAGGAACATACTTCAATGTAATAAAAGCCATATACCACAGACCCACAGCTAGTATTGAAGTGGCCTCGCTGTCCGGGGTAACATCCAGGGTTCTTGGTCTCACAGCCAAGGAAATCAAGGACATGGGCACACCAAGAGTGAGGTGTAGAGCAGAAAGTTAATAGGAGAAACAAAGAGAACAGCTTTCTACTACAGAGAGGGGTCCCAGAAAAAACGGTTGCCATCCAGCAGTGAAAGGCAGGGGTTTTTATAGATGAGCTAGTGGGGAGGTAGTATCTGATCACCTACATAGGGTACAAACAACCGGTTAGGACCAGGTGTACCATCTGCATAGGGTGTGAATCTCTGGCAGCCCCCAACCTAATCTTTTATTATGCAGGCGGGTCCTCAGCCTGAGCTACTCCATGTTGCTCATTTCATTCTTACTGTGCATGTGCTAAAAACGAGGAGGTGGAAAGCCCATGGTGGACATGCCTGGCCCCAGGTGGCCTTTTCCATCTGTGCAGCTGTTGGCATCCCCCTATGAAAGCGTCCAGGTTCCTATCTATCTATGATAGAAAATCAATGTACCAACATTTTATCTCTATGTACCATCTCAAATACAGGATTTAAACTTTCAAAA